>NC_000017.11:18066868-18369898 GCF_000001405.40 Homo sapiens | reverse complement strand
GAAATAAACTCTTCTATTTTATAAATCACTGGTTTTTTGGGGTTTTTTTTCCTAATAGGTTGAGAATCTAATCCTGGTACCCCATCTTCTCTCCATCCTGAGAAAGCTTTGCCTGCTCTCCTTACTCTCATCATCATCAACCTCTTCACCTTAAGTGGGTTATATTAGAATTTTTATAAGAGCAGGAAAACTTTCCTTTTCAGTGGCGCCTTCTTTTATCCCAGCAGCCCAAAGCTCATGGGCAGCAAAGGTAAGCAGAAAACCTTTTGCTCTGAGAGGCAGGGGTGAGAGACATAAAGTCAGAAGAAAATTGGCCAGGCACGGTGGCTCACGCCTGTAATCCCAGCACTTTGGGAGGCTGAGGCAGGTGGATCATGAGGTCAGGAGTTCAAGACCAGCCTGGCCAACATGGTGAAACCCCGTCTCTACTAAAAATACAAAAAAATTAGCCGGGCGTGGTGGTGGGCGCCTGTAATCCCAGCTACTCGGGAGGCTGAGGCATGATAATTGCTTGAACCTGGGGGGGCAGGGGTTACAGTGAGCCGAGATCGTGCCACTGCACTCCAGCCCGGGTGACAGATCGAGACTTTCTCAAAAAGAAAAAAAGAAAGAAAGAAAATCAAACTAACAGCCACCTGTGTAGTGTAAGTCCAGTGAAATGCTTAGGTGTGTCATATGTTGTTTAACATCTGCTAGGACTCAACATTCCCCGAGGGCACAACCGGGGTCAGTGCAGTGGAATCCTCAGCACTTACAGGAGCCGGCGAGGGAAGAAATGACTACGCCCTTATCAGTGGACACAGACACTCTAAAACATATTTTATTTATGGCTGGGCATAGTGGTTCATGCCTGTAATCCCAGTGCTTTGGGAGGCTGAGACGGGAGGATTGCTTGAGGCCAGGAGCTTGAGACCAGCCTGAGCAACATTGCAAAATCCCATCTCTATCTCTACAGAAAATAAAAAATTAGCCAGGCGTGGTGGTATGTGACTGTAGTCCCAGCTACTTGAGAGGCTGAGGCAGAAGGATCACTTGAGCCCAGGAGTTTGAGACCAGCCTGGGCAACATCGTAGACTCTGTCTCTACAAAAAATTAAATTAAAAAAAATTAGCCAGGCACGGTGGTGCATACCTGTGGTCCCAGCTACTCGGGAGGCCAAGATGGTAGGATTGCTTGAGCCCAGCAGCTTGAGGCTGCGATAAACCATGATTGTGCCACTGCACTCCAGCCTGGGTGACAGAGCAAGACTTTGTCTCAAAAGAAAAAAAAAAGAAAGAAAAACACAAAGACAAAACACTACAAGAGGCAGAAAAAGAATGGAAGACAAAAATACAAAGAAACAAAAGCAACAATTAGAAAACAGTAAAAAAAAAAAGGCAGATATTAATCCAATTATATCAACAATTCCTTTGCATATCAATGGTCCAAATTAACCGATTAAAAGAGAGAGATTGGGCTGGGCGAAGTGGCTCACGCCTGTAATCCCAGCACTTTGGGAGGCCAAGGTGGGCGGATCACGAGGTCAGGAGATTGAGACCATCCTGTCTAACATGGTGAAACCCTGTCTCTACTAAAAATACAAAATATTAGCTGGGCGTGGTGGCGGGCGCCTGTAGTCCCAGCTACTTGGGAGGGTGAGGCAGGAGAAAGGCGTGAACCCAGGAGGCAGAGGTTGCAGTGAGCTGAGATCGTGCCACTGCGCTCCAGCCTGGGCAACAGAGCAAGACTCCATCTCAAAAAAAAAAAAGAAAAAAAGAGAGAGATTGTCAGAGTACAGCAAAAAACAAGATGCAACTATATGCTCCTTGTAAGAACTACACTTTAAAGATGTATATATTAAAAGTAAATGGATAAAGAAAGATCTACTATGCCAACACTAATCAAAAGGAAGCAGGAGTCCCTATATTAATTTCAGACAGTACAGGCTTCAGGGCAAGGAAAGTCATCAGGAACAGGACAGGTGCTGGGTGGCTTCCCAGCACTTTGGGAAGCCAAGGCGGGCAGATCACTTGAGGCCAGGAATTCAAGACAAGCCTGGCCAACATGACAAAACCCTGTCTTTACTAAAAATACAAAAATTAGCTGGGCATGGTTGCACTCGACTGTAATCCCAGCTACTCCTCAGGCTGAGGCACGAGACTCACTTGAGCCTGGGAGGCAGAGGCTGCAGTAAGCTGAGATCATGCCACTGTACTCCAGCCTGGTTGACAGAGACTCTGTCTCAAAAAAAAAAAAAAAAAGAAAGAAAAGAAAAGAAAAAGAAAAAGGAAGGAAGGAAGGAAGGGAAAGAAAAGAAAGTTGTGAGGGATAAGGACAGGTCATTACATAATGATTAAGGAGTCAATGCTCAAAGAAGACATAACAGTCCTTAACATGTATGATCCTGACAACAGAACATCAAAATATGTGACTGAAAAAGTGACAGCGCTGCAAGGAGAAACTATTATAGTTGGCGACTTCAATGTCCCTCTATCAGAAACGGACAGATCCAGCAGGCAGAAAATCTGTAACTCAGTAACACCCTCTGTAACTGGATATAATGGAAACCTATAGACTATTTCATACGATGACAGCAGAAAAAAAAGAAAAGAAAAACGCTTTGGTTTTTCCCGTATCTTAGGCTGGAGAGCAGTGGCACGATCACAGCTCACTGCAGCCTTGAACTCCTGGGCTCAGGAGATCCTCCCCACTCAGCACCCTGACTAGTTGGGAATACAGGTGTGCACTTCCACACCTGGCCAATTTTCTTTCTTTCTTTTTAATTTTTTTCATCATGTAGCACAAAATGTCATAATTTTTTTAATTTTAATTTTTCATAGAGATGGGATCTTGCTATGTTGCCCAGGCTACTCTTGAACTCCTGGCCTCAAGCAATCCTCCTACCTCAGCCTCCCAAAGTTCTAAGATTACAGGTGTGAGCCTGAGTCACCATGCCCAGCCACAAATAAAATATTTTTTAGCTGGGCGCGGTGGCTCACGCCTGTAATCCCAGCACTTTGGGAGGCCAAGGCGTGTGGATCATGAGGTCAGGAGATCGAGACCATCCTGGCCAAAATGGTGAAACCTCATCTCTACTAAAAATACAAAAATTAGCCAGACGTGGTGGTGGGTGCCTGTAGTCCCAGCTACTCAGGAGGCTGAAGCAGGAGAATTGCTTGAACCTGGGAGGCAGAGGTTGCAGTGAGCCAAGATTGTGCCACTGCACTCCAGCCTGGAGACAGAGCAAGACTCCATCTCAAAAAACAAAAAAAAAAAAAAAAAAATTTAAGTATCAGTAGGCCGGGCACAGTAGCTCATGCCTGTAATCCCAGCAGTTTGGGAAGCTGAGGCAGGTGGATCACTTGAGGTCAGGAGTTTGAGACCAGCCTGGCCAACATGGCAAAACCCCGTCTCTACTAAAAATACAAAAAAAAAAAAAAAAAAAAAAAAAAAGCCAGGTGTCATGGTGCATGCCCGTAACCCCAGCTACTCGAGAGGCTGAAGAAGGAGAATCACTTGAACCCAGGAAGCAGAGATTGCAGTGAGCCAAGATCACGCCACTGCACTCCAGCCTGGGCAACAGAGACTCTATCTAAAAAAAATAAAAAAATAAAAAATGAAGCATTCAGTGCTGGAGAAGAAATGGGAAATGGGTATTTCCCTAAATTGTTGCTGGGAGTGTGAATTGTTACAATGCTTGTAGAAAGCAATATGGCAATATTTACTAAAAGCTTGACCCAGAAATCTTACTTTGGATATTAAAAAACTCACGGGTTGGGCACAGTGGCTTATGCCTGTAATCCCACCACTTTGGGAGGCTGAAGCGAGCAGATCATCTGAGGTCAAGAGTTCGAGACCAGCCTGACCAACATAGTGAAACCTCGTCTCTACTAAAAATACAAAAATTAGCAGGGCGTAGTGGCGCACGCCTGTAGTCGCAGCTACTTGGGAGGCTGAGGTGGGAGAACTGCTTGAACCCGGGAGGCGGAAGCTGCAGTGAGCCGAGATCACACTATTGCACCTCAGCCTGGGCAACAGAGAGAGGCTCCGTCTCAAAAAAACAAACAACAGGCCGGGCGCGGTGGCTTGTGCCTGTAATCCCAGCACTTTGGGAAGCCGAGGCAGGTGAATCACGTGAGGTCAGGAGTTCGAGACCAGCCTGGCTGACATGGCGAATCCCTGTCTGTGAGAAAAATACAAAAATTAGCTGTGCACGGCCGGGCGCGGTGGCTCATGCCTGTAATCCCAGCACTTTGGGAGGCCGAGGCAGGCGGATCAGAGGTCAGGAGATCAAGACCATCCTGGCTAACACAGTGAAACCCTGTCTCTACTAAAAATATAAAAAATTAGCCGGACATGGTGGCGGGCGCCTGTAGTCCCAGCTACTCGGGAGGCTGAGGCAGGAGAACGGCGTGAACCTGGGAGGTGGAGATTGCAGTGAGCGAAGATCGAGCCACTGCACTCATGCCTGGGCGACAGAGCGAGACTCCGTCTCAAACAAACAAACAAAAAGAACAATTAGCTGGGCATGGTGGTGCACGCCTGTAGTCCCAGCTACTCGGGAAGCCGATGCAGGAGAATTGCTTGAACCAGAGAGGCAGAGGTTGCAGGGAGCCAAGATCGCATCACTGCACTCCAGCCTGGGTGACAGAGCGAGACTCCATCTCAAATAAATAAATAAATAAAACAAAAACAAAAAACAAAAACACTCACTATGTTGGCCAGGCGCAGTGGCTCTTGCCTGTTATCCCAGCACTTTGGGAGGCCGAGGAGGATGGATCACTTGAGATCAGGAGTTCAAGACCAGCCTAGCCAATATGGTGAAACCCTATCTCTACTAAACATACAAAAATTAGCCGGGTGTGGTGGCTCACGCCTGTAATCCTAGCACTTTGGCAGGCTGAGGCAGGTGGATCACAAGGTCAGGAGATCAAGACCATCCTGGCTAACATGGTGAAACCCTGTCTCTACTGAAAATACAAAAAATTAGCCAGGCGTGGTGGTGGGCTCCTGTAGTCCCAGCTACTCGGGAGGCTGAGGCAGGAGAATGGCATGAACCCAGGAGGCAGAGCTCGCAGTGGGCCTAGATCGCGCCACAGCACTCCAGCCTGGGCAAGAGAGGGAGACTCCGTCTCAAAAATAAAAAAAAATTAGCCAGGCGTGGTGGCGGAGGCCTGTAGTCCCAGCTACTCAGGAGGCTGAAGCAGGAGAATGACGTGAACCCGGGAGGTGGAGCTTGCAGTGAGCCGAGATCGCGCCACTGCACTCCAGCCTGGGCGACAGAGCAAGACTCTGTCTCAAAAAAAAAAAAAAGTTTTTTTTGTATTTTTTGTTTGTTTGTTTTTCGAGATGATGAGGGTCTCACTCTGTTGCCCAGGCTGGAGTACAGAGGCAAGATCATTGCTTACTGCAACCTCTGCCTCCCAGGCTCAAGTGATCCTCCCATTCAGCCCCCCAAGTAGCTGGGACTACAGGCGACTGCCACCACACCCAGCTAATTTTAAAATTATTTGTAGAGACAAGGTTTCACCATTTTGCCCAGGCTGGTCTTGAACTCCTAGGCTCAAGCCATCTGCCTCGGCCTCCCAAAGTGCTGGAATTACAGGGGTGAGCCACTGCGCCCGGTTTTTATCATTCTTATAATAATTATTGTTATCATTTGACAAATAAAAAAATTTATGACGCAGCCTCAGGTGGTCCTGACATGTGGCCCCGGTTTTTATCATTCTTAACAATAGGTAATGTTCATTGAGTCCTTATTGTGTGTCAGTATTTTATTTATCTTATTTTATTCTTCTTGAGACGTTGTCTCGCTCCGTCCCCCAGGCTGGAGTGCAGTGGCGCGATCTCGACTCACTGCAACCTCCGCCTCCTGGGAGGCAACATAGTTAGACCCCCATCTCTACTTCAACCTGGGGGACAGAGTGAGACCCTGTCTCAAAAAAATAAAAATAAAAAATAACAAAAATAATAATAATAAAGTGTCTGCTCTTGGATTATACACCTACAGAGTAATAATGTTGCAGTTTGGACGCACATTTGTCCTACTTTAAATGACCACCCTGCAAACTAAAAGTAGTACCATGAACAAAATTCACTCATAATCCCACGGCCCAAGCGACAGGCTTAAGTGAGGAAGGCCCTGTGTAGTCTTCCTGGAAATCTTGGTCCACACACCAGCCCTGCAGCCAAAGCGGGTCAGTTCTGCAGGTCCCTGCCCCAGGTGCGCAGCTGCACTACGCGGCCTCCGGCCCGCCCCGGAGAAACAGGCCCTGCCCGCCGCTGCGCCGCAGCCAATAGCGCGGGTGCGTTTGGTGGCGGCCCATGCTTGGCTGCGCTCTCTGATTGGGCGCCTCCGGGGGCGGGGCCAAGCCCAAGCCTGGCGCGCAGAGTGCACCTTCCTGAGCTCGAGCGGTCCAGCGCCAAGTTCGGGGTTTGGGGTTGGAGCGGCTGGTCACGTGGCTGGCCCGCGGCGGTGCGCGGGGCGTTGGGTCAGCGGGTCTGGGACTGGTGGCACCGGCGGCGGCGTAGGACGGAGGCGTCGCTAGGTACGTGCGCGGGCCGTGTTCCGGTAGGTGGGCGGCTTCGGGTCCGAGGGCCGCGGCGTCCCAGAGCCCGGGGGGTGCTTCGGCGTCCTCGCTGTCCCCCGCCGTACCCCACCCTCTGCAGCCGCAATGACGGGAGGGGAGCGCTTGGGTCGCGCCTGGGCTGGGGATCGGGCGGCGGCCAGCCGCAGCGCCCCAGTTCCAGGCACATTCGGTATGATGGGGTGGCGGCCCGTGGCCTTTGGCAAGAATGCGAAGGCTTATCGGGGATGTGAGTAGTAGCTCTCCACTGAACACTTTTCTCGTTGAGCATTTTCGATTTAAACAATCCTAGCTCCTTCACAACAAAGCTGCAAGTCAAGTGCTACTGTTTCCCCCATTTTACAGGTGAGGAAGGTGGTGGGGCCCTGAGAAAGGAGGCAACTTAAATGGCAGAGCCCGGAATAGAACCCGGGTTCTCAAAGCCTGCGCCCCTAAAGGCTGCGCGCAGGGTCGCTCCACTTTTGGCCCGTGCCACCAGATCCCTGTGGGGAATGAGCTCTTCCTGTTGCCCGCAATCTGCCACCCCCTGTTCTAGGAGACAAATGTTGCACTGTGAAGTTCTTGGCCCGGTGCCTTGGCTTCGAGATTCCGGGAGTTAAGTGACCCTTGGTCCAGCTGAGGTCAGCACAGATGCGGGCCTTCAATCGGGCAGTTACCCAGAGAATAGACTGGAAACACCAGTTTAGGTTCTTGCAGAAATAACATTGTAGGCCGGGCGCGGTGGCTCATGCCTGTAATCCCAGCATTTTGGGAGGCCGAGGTGGGCGGATCACTTGAGGTTAGTAGTTGGAGACCAGCCTGGCCAACATGGTGAAACCCCGTCTGTACTAAAAATACAAAAAAACCTGGCTGCCCATGGTGGCACACACCTATAATCCCAGCTACTCGGAAGGCTGAGGCAGGAGAATCGCTTGAACCCGGGAGGTGGAGGTTGCAGTGAGCGGAGATCACGCCACTGCACTCCAGCCTGAGTGACAGAGTGAGACTCTATCTCAAAAGAAAGAAAGAGAGAGAAAGAAAAGAAAAAAAAGAAAAGAAATAACGTAAATTTATTACTTGGGGGAACTTGGAACGGAAGTGGGTAATTGTGTTTTTATTTAGTGCAATGTCCTGGGACAAGGCCTTGGAACTGAAGAGAAACCATTGTTCAGATTCTGGCTCTTATATGGCTTTAGACAAGTTAGCTCCCTGGGCCTCAATTTCCTCTTCTGTAAAGAAGAGAACACAAAATGTGTGTGAGATAGAAGATGTGCAACAAGTTAGTTCCCTGAGCAGATCCTTGGCTGGATCCTCTTATGTGACAGAGGCCCAGGTAAGATTTGGAGGCATGGGGAGGCTGGTGACCTTGCAGGTGACTTCACTTACTAGGTCTTTTTCCCTGACGTTGAGGATCATGCCACACATGAGCAACAGTGCCTCTACAGAAATATCCAATGTTGTAATGACTGATGTTGCAGTGAGCTGTGTTGGCTGGGGGACTTACCAGGTATTACTGAATGTTAATGAAGATGTCCCTAAGATTCCCAATTTTCTTTTTTTTTTTTTTTGAGACGGAGTCTCACTCTGTTGCCCAGGCCGGAGAGCAGTGGCGCGATCTCGGCTCACTGCAAGCTCCGCCTCCCGGGTTCACGCCATTCTCCTGCCTCAGCCTCCTGAGTAGCTGGGACTACAGGCGCCGCCACCACGCCCAGCTAATTTTTTTTTATTTTTGTAGAGACGGGGTTTCACCATGTTAGCCAGGATGGTCTCGATCTCCTGACCTCGTGATCTGCCCGCCTCGGCCTCCCAAAGTGCTGGGATTACAGATGTGAGCCACTGCACCCAGCCCCCTTTTTTCTTTTTTGTTTTTTTTTTTGAAACGGAGTCTAGCTCTGTCACCCAGGCTGGAGTGCAGTGGCATGATCTCGGTCCACTGCAATCTCTACCTCACTGGTTCAAGCTATTCTCCTGGTCTCAGCCTGCTGAGTAGCTGGGATTACAGGCATATGCCACCATGCCTGGCTAATTTTTGTTTTTGTTTTTTTTTTTTTTTTTGAGACAGAGTCTTGCTCTGTTGTCCAGGCTGGAGTGCGGTGGCACGATCTCAGCTCACTGCAACCTCCTGGGTTCAAGCGATTATCTTGCCTCAGCCTCCTGAGTAGCTGGGGTTACAGGTGCGCACCACACACCCAGCTCATTTTTGTATTTTTAGTAGAGATGGAGTTTTACCGTGTTGGTCAGGCTGGTCTCGAACTCCTGACCTGGGGTGATGCACCCGCCTTGGCCTCCCAAAGTGCTTGGATTACAGGAATTGAGCCACTGCGCCCAGCTAATTTTTGTATTTTTAGTAGAGATGGGGTTTCACCATATTGGCCAGGCTGGTCTCAAACTCCTGACCTCAAGTGATCCACCCACCTCGGCCTCCCAAAGTGCTGGGATTACAGGCGTCAGCCACCGCGCCTGACCGCTTTTTTTTCTTTCTTTAGAGAGACGGGGTCTCCCTATGTTGCCCAGGGTGGTCTTGACTCTTGTGGTCCTGTGACTCCCCAGACTTCAGGTGTGCAAGCCTGATTTCTGACCCTTGGCCAGTCACACTTTCTCCTTTGTCTGGCCTTTGAACTTGGGGTGCTCTGCACTTGTTTACTCTGCGTAGATTGCTCTCATCCCAGATTTCATGGTTGGCTCCTTTCCACAGCTCAGATTTCAGCTCCGGGACGTTCCCTGACCCAGTCTAAAGTAGCCTTGCACCCATTTATTGCATCTTTCTTTCTTTTCTTTTCTTTTTTTTTTTTTTGAGACAGGGTCTTGTTCTCTTGGCCAGGCTGGAGTGCTGTGGGAAAATCTGGGCTCACTGCAGCCTCAACCTCCGGGACTCAAGTGATCATCCTGCCTCAGCCACCCAGAGTAGCTGAGAATACAGGCGTGCGCCACCAGGCTCGGGTAATTTTTTGTATTTTTTTTTAGAGACAGGGTTTTGCCATGTTGCCTAGGCTGGTCTTGAACGCCTGGGCTCAAGTGATCTTCTCGTCTCAGCCTCTCAGAGTTCTGGGATTACAAGTGTAAGCAACCATGCCTGGCCTTGTGTATTTCTTTTTGGTTTTTTTTGTGATGGAGTCTTGCTCTGTCACCCAGGCTGGAGTGCAATGGTATGATCTCGGCTCACTGCAACCTCCACCTCCTGGGTTCAAGCGATTTTCCTACCTCAGCCTCCCGCATAGCTGGTATTACAGGGGCCCACCACTATGCCCATCTAATTTTTGTATTTTTTAGTAGAGACGGGGTTTCGCTGTGTTGGCCAGGCTGGTCTCGAACTCCTGACCTCAGGTGATCCGCCCGCCTTGGCCTCCCAAAGTGCTGGGGTTACAGGTGTGAGCCACTGTGCCTGGCCAAATAATTTTTTTTTTTTTTTAAGATAGAGTCTTGCTTTGTTGCCAGGCTGCGGTGCAGTGGTGTGATCTCTGCTCACTACAGTCTCCGCCTCCTGGGTTCAAGCCATTCTTCTGCCTCAGCCTCCTGAGTAGCTGGAATTACAGGCGGGCGCCACCACACCCAGCTAATTTTAGTATTTTTAGTGGAGATGGGGTTTCACCATGTTGGCCAGGACAGTCTTGATTTCCTGACCTTGTGGTCTGCCCGCCTTGGCCTCCCAAAGTGCTGGGATTACAGGCGTGAACCACTGCACCTGGCCTTTTTTTTTTTATTGAGACACAGTCTCACTCTGTCACCCAGACTGGAGTGCAGTGGCACAATCTCGGCTCACTGCAGCCTCCACCTCTGAGGCTCAAGTAAGTCTCATGCCTCAGGTGTGTGCCACCACACCCAATTAATTTTTTATATTTTTGCTATAGACAGGGTTTCACCATGTTAGCCAGGCTGGTCTCAAACTCCTGGCCTCAAGTTGATCTGCCCACCTCAGCCTTCCAAAGTGCTGGGATTACAGATGTGAGCCACCTTGCCCAGCCTAATTTCTAAATTTTTGTAGAGACGTGGTTTCACTGTGTTGCCTAGGCTGTGGTTGAACTCCTAGGCTCAAAGGATCCTCCTGCCTTGACTCCCCTAAGTGCTGGGATTACAGGCATAAGCCACCATACCAGGCCCTTTTTTTTTTTTCCCCTGGAGACAGAGTCTTGCTTTGTCACCCAGGCTAGAGTGCAGTGGTGTGATCTCGGCTCACTACAACTTCCGCCTCCCGGGTTCAAGCGATTCTCCTGCCTCAGCCTCCCAAGTAGCTGGGGTTACAGGTGCCTGCCACCACACCTGGGTAATTTTTGTATTTTTAGTCATGTTGGCCAGGCTGGTCTCGAACTTATGACCTCATGATCCGCACGCCTTGGCCTCCCAAAGTGCTGGGATTACAGGCATGAGCCACTGGGCCCAGCCCAACCTGTAATTCTTTAGGAAGATTTATATTCAAACAAGTCCTTTTTTTATTTAAAAGAAAAAAACACACACACACAGGGTCTTACTCTGTCACCCAGGCTGGAATGCACTGCCACAATCACGGCTCATTGCAACCTCTAGCTTCCAGGCTCAGGTGATCCTCCCACCTCAGCCTCCTGAATAGCTGGGACTACAGATGCATGCCACCACGACCAGCTAATAATTTGTATTTTTTGTAGAAATGGGGCTTTGCCATGTTGCCCAGGCCAGTCTTGAACTCCTGGGCTCAAGTGATCCTCCTGCCTCAGCCTCCCAAAGTGCTGGAATTACAGGCATGAACCACCACACCCAGCCCAAGTACATATTTTAACTAACAGCTTCACAGGAACTCTGTGGATTACTTAGAGCATGTGCTTTGGGGTTTCGAGTCCTGCCTCTGTGGCTAACTTTCTGTGCAGCCCTGGGCTAAGATATTTTACTTTTCTTTGAGACAGAGTCTCGCTCTGTTGCCAGCCTGGAGTGCAGTGGTGATCTTGGCTCACTGCAACCTCTGACTCCCAGGTTCAAGTGATTCTCCTGCCTCAGCCTCCCGAGTAGCTGGGATTACAGGCGTGAGCCACTACGCCCGGCTAATTTTTGTATTTTTAGTAGAGATGGGGTTTCACCGTGTAGGCCAGGATGGTCTCGATCTCCTGACCTCCTGATCCGCCCACCTCGGCCTCCCAAAGTACTGGGATTACAGGCATGAGCCACTGCGCCCAGCCACAATATTTCACTTTTCTAACGTCGTTTTTCTTTCTTTAGTTCTTTTTTTTTTTTTTTTAAGAGTCCTAGCCCAGGCTGGGCGCGGTGGCTCACACCTGTAATCCCAGCACTTTGGGAGGCCGAGACCATCCTGGCTAACCGGTGAAACCCCATCTCTACTGAAAAAATAAAAAAAAAATTAGCCAGGCATGGTGGTGGGTGCCTGTGTTCCTGGCTACTTGGGAGGCTGAGGCAGGAGAATGGCATGAACCCGGGAGGTGGAGCTTGCAGTGAGCCGAGATCGCGCCACTGTACTCCAGCCTGGGCGACAGAGTGAGACTCTGTCTCAAAAAAAAAAAAAAAAAGAGTCCTAGCTCAGTAGGTAGGACTATAGGCCCATCCCACCATGCCCAGCTAACTTTTTTTTTTGTAGCAATGCCCAGGCTGGTCTTGAACTCCTGGCCTCCCAAAGTGCTGGGGTTACAGGTGTGAGTTGCCATGCCTGGCCCTGAGCCTCAATTTCATTACTTGAAGTATGAAATAAATTAACACATTAAAGTGTTGCTAGGATTAAAATGAGGTCCTTATGTATTCAAAAATCGTACAGAGATTTTTGAGGCCCTTCTTATAGCAAAACTCCCATTTACATTTTTCTGGAGCCTGGAGAAATGTGTCCAGACTGAGTGAATAGGTGCTATTTGCTGTACTTACATTATCATTTATAAAATACTACTGGTGGTCATCCTGGAAAGATGATCCCAACTGCCTATATCCTGTTCATCATTAACTTGTGTGTCCCAAAAAATCTTTTGAAAAGTTGCTAAATAGTGAATATTTACTATTTTATGAGGGCCTGCCAGTTCCCTGCCAGTGGAATTGTTTCAAGTCAATGATTCATCTGTTCAGTCATTTGGAAAATACTCTTTTTTTTTTTTTTTTTTTTTTTTTTTGAGGTGGAGTCTTGCTCTATGGCCAGGCTGGAGTGCAGTGGTGTGATCTCGGCTCACTGCAAGCTCTGCCTCCCAGATTCAAGAGATTCTCCTGCCTCAGCCTCCCAAGTAGCTGGGACTACAGGCATGTGCCACAACGTCCAGCTCATTTTTTGTATTTTTAGTAGAGATGGGGTTTCACCAGGTTGGCCAGGATGGTCTCCAACTCCAGATCTTGTGATCTGCCCACCTCGGCCTCCCAAAGTGCTGGGATTGCAGGCGTGAGCCACCGTGCCCGGCCGGAAAATATTCTTCATGTATAGCAGTGTTGGGTACCGCAGGAGATTTTTTAAAAAGTAGCACTCAGTCCTTACCTTCAA
This sequence comes from Homo sapiens, assembly GCF_000001405.40. Taxonomy (NCBI): domain Eukaryota; kingdom Metazoa; phylum Chordata; class Mammalia; order Primates; family Hominidae; genus Homo; species Homo sapiens. Next base: position 18,356,920 of record NC_000017.11, on the reverse strand, counting down.
GGAACTTAGTTTAGTTGTGGGAGATAAGCTATATCCATGAGAAGTTTGGCTGAGAGGAGGCGGAGTTGGGCTCCCTGCAGGTGGGGAGGAGGGTCAGTTCTCATTTCTGAGGGAGATGAGCTGACGTCTGCAGTTTGGAAAGGAACCAGAAGTTCCACATGGTGGTTTTGCAATAGAACATGCTCGTGTTTACCAAGCAATTCTGAGGGAAAGGCTAAAAAAAGTGTTAGTTTATCAACTTGATAGAACTAACAGGTTTCGATGAGCTTTGATTCAATATAATGCTGCGGCCAGGCATGGTGGCTCACGCCTGTAATCCCAGCACTTTGGGAGGCCGAGGCAGGCGGATCACTTGAGAGGAGTTCAAGACCAGCCTGACCAACGTGATAAAACTCCATCTCTACGAAAAATACACAAATTAGCCAGGCGTAGTGGCGCACGCCTGTAGTCCCAGCTACTCAGGAGGCTGAGGCAGGAGAATCACTTGAACCCAGGAGGCGGAGGTTGCAGTGAGCCAAGATCACGCCATTGCCTGGGTGACAGAGTGAGAGTCTTGTCTCAAAAAAATAAAAATAAATAGGTGGGGCGCGGTGGCTGACACCTGTAATCCCAGCACTTTGGGAAGCCAACGTGGGCGGATGACAAGGTCAGGAGATTGAGACCATCCTGGCTAACACAGTGAAACCTCGTCTCTACTAAAAATACAAAAAATTAGCCGGGCATGGTGGCATGCGCCTGTAGTCAGAAGATTGAGGCAGGAGAATCTCTTGAACCTGGGAGACGGAGGTTGCAGTGAGCCGAGATCATGCCACTGCACTCTAGCCTGGGCAACAAAGACTACATCTCAAAAATAAATAAAAAATAAATAAAATAAATAAATTTAATTCTGGAAGCTACACATGTTTTTCCCATTTTTTTAGGCAGCTTCGAACCAGTGCAATGACGATGCCAGTCAACGGGGCCCACAAGGATGCTGACCTGTGGTCCTCACATGACAAGATGCTGGCACAACCCCTCAAAGACAGTGATGTTGAGGTGAGATTTTTGGGGTCTTCACAGATTTTTTTATGTTGGAGGCCTTCATTTAATCTTTAGTTCTAATTACAAATTAATTAGGGACAGCCTTGAAATGAGTATTATCCTGCTGGATTTAGAGGTGGTGGCAGACAAAATGGCTACAAATCCTTTGAGGGTAAATTTAAAGATTGCTGGGTTTCTTCAAAGTGTGGAGCACTGTGCAGGGTGCTCTGGAGAAAAGCGAGAAGGGGAGAGATCACTGACAGTTGACCCTTTCCTGACAGTTCACAGGGAATATAGATCTATCTAGACATCTGAAAGCACCTTTATTTTATTTTATTTTACTTGTTTATTTATTTTTTTGAGACAGAGTTTCACTCTTGTTGCCCAGGCTGGAGTGCAATGGCGTGATCTTGGCTCACTGCAACCTCCACCTCCTGGGTTCAAGGGATTCTCCAGCCTCAGCCTCCTGACTAGCTGGGATTGCAGGCACCCACCACCATGCCCGGCTAATTTTTTTTTTTTTTTTTTTTTGAGACAGAGTCTTGCTCTGTCGCCCAGGCTGGAGTGCAGTGGCGTGATCTCAGCTCACTGCAAGTTCCACCTCCTGGGTTCATGCCATTCTCCTGCCTCAGCCTCCTGAGTAGCTGGGACTACAGGTGCCTGCCACCACACCCGGCTAATTTTTTGTATTTTTTAGTAGAGGTGGGGTTTCACCATGTTAGCCAGGATGGTCTCGATCTCCTGACCTCGTGATCCGCCCACCTCAGCCTCCCAAAGTGCTGGGATTACAGGCGTGAGCCACCGCACCCGGCCTTTTTTTTTTTTTTTTTTTTTTTTTTTTTTTTTTTTTGAGATATAGTCTTGCTCTGTTGCTCAGGCTGGAGTGCAGTGACGCGATCTCAGCTCACTGCAAGCTCCATCTCCCGGGTTCACGCCATTCTCCTGCCTTAGCCTCCCGAGTAGCTGGGACTACAGGTGCCAGCCACCACGCCCTGGCTAATTTTTTGTATTATTTTTTTTTTTTTAGTAGAGACGGGATTTCACTGTGTTAGCCAGGATGATCTTGATCTCCTGACCTCGTGATCCACCTGTCTCGGCCTCCCAAAGTGCTGGGATTACAGGCGTGAGCCACCACGCCCGGCCTAAAGCATCTTTTCTTTTAAGGAAGAAGAACAAGGAATAAGGTTCAGGGAGGGAGAAACTTGGTGAAATGTAGGAATAAAAATAACAGGATGGTGGTGTTAAAAATTAGGTGGGACACTTAAAGATAACTTTCTCTTCAATCATTTTGTTTTTCTTTTTCTGAGATGAAGTCTCGCTCTTGTTTCCCAGGCTGGAGTGCGATGGCGCGATCTCGGCTCACTGAATCCTCCACCTCCCAGGTTCAAGCGATTCTCCTGCCTCGGCCCCCCGAGTAGCTGAGATTATAGGCGCCTGCCACCACACCCATCTAAGTTTTGTTTTTTTGTTTGTTTGTTTTTGAGACAGAGTTTTGTTCTTGTCGCCCAGGCTGGAGTGCAATGGCGTGATCTCGGCTCACTGCAACCTCCGCCTCCCGGGTTCAAGTGATTCTCCTGCCTCAGCCTCCCGAGTAGCTGGGATTACAGGCATGTGCCACCATGCCCGGCTAATTTTGTATTTTTTAGTAGAGACGAGGGTTTCTCCATGTTAGTCAGGCTGGTCTCGAACCCCCGACCTCAGGTGATCTGCCCATCTCGGCCTCCCAAAGTGCTGGGATTACAGGCGTGAGCCACCACGCCCAGCCAAGTTTTGTATTTTTAGTAGAGATGGAGTTTCACCATATTGGCCAGGCTGGTCTAGAACTCCTGACCTCAGGTGATCCACCAGCCTCGGCCTCCCAAAGTGCTGGGATTACAGTCGTGAGCCACCGCACCTGGCTATCATTTTGTTTTTGTTAATTCATTGATTAGTGCTTTCTCAGATACTAAAACCTTTGAGGAGGATTCATTCTATTCCATAATGTGAAAGAGTGTCTTTTCTCTTTAGGAGGTTGTAATTTGGATCAGAGCAAAATTTTAAACTAAAATTTCCAAATATCAAGCATCTGTTTTCTTCTCATAAGGTTTACAACATCATTAAGAAGGAGAGTAACCGGCAGAGGGTTGGATTGGAGCTGATTGCCTCGGAGAATTTCGCCAGCCGAGCAGTTTTGGAGGCCCTAGGCTCTTGCTTAAATAACAAATACTCTGAGGGGTACCCGGGCCAGAGGTATGTGAATATCTTCAAAGGCCTGGTTCTGACACAGTCATAGGGAGTACTCAGTCAGCCTAGGACCTAAACAATTTGGAAATTTCAGAAAACAATAAGCTTCCCAGCTGTAGGATTTCTGTTCCACGCCTGCTCTCTGACAGAACTCTTTTATTCCCAGCATGTGATAACACTGAAGAGCTCAGCGCAGGTGTACTCAGGGGCACATTTCACAGTTCTTTGGGGGCTTTCTAGAAAAACAGGCCAGTTTGTAAGGAGTATTGAGCCACTGGACTGGTGTGTGGCCTCTGTCTAGAAAAGGTCAGTGTCATCTGAGGGATGCTGCAGAAGGTGGCCGTTGCCATGTGAGTCATCGAGTCTGTATTGGGAATGGTGTGGAAGTGGAGGCTGAATCTGGATTACTGAAAACCGTTTCTGCATTATAAATGTTGGATTTACACATGCAGTGGCTTTCAGTTGACTCTTTCACCCTCAGAATTACAGTGTTATATTCGTTTTTGTTTTTTACAGTCATCATCAGGCAAAGAAAATAAATTACAGAATTAGACATGGCTTTTGCAAATGTGTGCATTTTTGTCCCAAAGGAAACAGAAAGGTCACCCTTGGAGAAGGAATTGCCATTCTGTCCTGAGATGCCCCTGAAGCTCTATGTAGAAGACTGAGAATCAAGTTGAAGGCATTGTCTTTCTCCTATTGTGAATAACTAACTTTTGCATTGTGCCTTAAAGAATTCACCAGGTGTTTTCTTTATTTCTCTCTCTCCTTTCTTTTTCTTTTTCCTTCCTTTCTTTCTTCTTTCAGGCTAAGGTATTTTGTTAACACCAGGTGTTTTCTTTTTTTTTTTCTTCTTTTTTGAGACATGGTCTTTCTCTCACCCAGGCTGAAGTGCAGTGGTGTGATCAAGGTTCACTGCAGCCTTGGTCTCCTGGACCCAAGCCATCCTCCCACCTCAGCCTACTGAGTCGCTGGGACTACAGGCACACACCACCACACCCAGCTAATTTTTTGTAGAGACAGAGTTTCACCCAGGCTGTTGTTGCCCAGGCTGATCTCCATCTCCTGAGCTCAAGCAATCCACCTGCCTTGGCCTCCCAGAGTGCTTAGGATTAGAGCTGTGAGCCACTGCACCCGGTCCACACCAGGTGTTTTCAAAACTAATATTTCATTCGATTCTCACAGCAATGTATCGAGCAAGGGGTGATGTTTTCTACATTTTTAAGAAGGGGGACCGGGCGCGGTGGCTCACGCCTGTAATCCCAGCACTTTGGGAGGCCCAGGCGGGCGGATCACGAGGTCAGGAGATCGAGACCATCCTGGCTAACACGGTGAAACCCCGTCTCTACTAAAAATACAAAAAATTAGCCTGGCAAGGTGGCGGGCGCCTGTAGTCCCAGCTACGTGGGAGGCTGATGCAGGAGAATGGCGTGAACCCCAGGGGGCAGAGCTTGCAGTGAGCCGAGATCGCGCCACTGCACTCTAGCCTGGGCGATAGCGAGCCTCCGTCTCAAAAAAAAAAAAAAAGAAGGGGACTGAGTGTAGTGGCTCACCCCTGTAATCCCAGTGCTTTAAGAGGCCAGGGCAGAGGATCATTTGAGGCTAGGAATTTGAGACCAGCCTGGGCAATATAGTGAGACGCTGTCTCCAAAACAAAATTTAAAAATTAGCCGGACATGGTGGCATGCGCCTGTAGTCTCAGCTACTCAAGAAACTGAGGTGGAGTATCGCTTGAGCCCAGGAGATCAAAGGCTGCAGTGAGCTATGATTTTGCCAATGCACTCCAGCTGGGGTGACAGAATGAGACCCTGTTTCTAAATTTAAAAAAAACCCCGAAAAACCACAACTTAAATAGAAGTGTAATTACATCGTTTATTCATGTTAAAGGGCTTGTTGTTTTTTTTTTACACGGAGTATCGCTCTGTCACGAGGCTGGAGTGCAGTGGCACAATCTCGGCTCACTGCAGCCTCCACCTCCCAGGTTCAAGCGATTCTCTTGCCTCAGCCTCCCAAGTAGCTGGGACTATAGGCACGTGCCACCACACCCGACTAACTTATTTATTTATTTATTTTTTGTATTTTTAGTAGAGACGGGGTTTCACCGTGTTAGCCAGGCTGGTCTCGATCTCCTGACCTCATGATCCGCCTGCCTCTGTCTCCCAAAGTGTTGGGATTACAGGCGTGAGCCACTGTGCCCAGCCAATTAAAGGGCTCTTTTAAAAGGTAATTATTGGCTGGGCGTGGTGGCTCATGCCTGTAATTCCAGCACTTTAGGAGGCCGAGCTGGGTGGATCATGAGGTCAGGAGATCGAGACCATCCTGGCTAATACGGTGTAAACCCCATCTCTACTAAAAAAAAATACAAAAAAATTAGCCAGGTGTGGTGGCTGGCGCCTGTAGTCCCAGCTACTCGGGAGGCTAAGGCAGGAGAATGGTGTGAACCTGGGAGGTGGAGTTTGCAGTGAGCCGAGATCGCGCCACTGCACTCCAGCCTGGGTGACAGTGAGATTCCGTCTCAAAAAAATAATAAAAATAAAAATAAAAGGTAATTATTACATGTTTTCATTATATTTTGTTAATATAATTTAATATTAATCTACCTTTGGAACATTATTTAAAATCAAAGGCAATATTTGAAAACAATAGGCAAGGCGTGGTGGTTCACACCTGTAATCCCAGCACTTCGGGAGGCTGAGGCAGGTGGATCACCTGAGGTCAGGAGTTTGAGACCAGCCTGGCCAACATGTCGAAACCCTGTCTCTACTAAAAATACAAAAATTAGCTGGGTGTGGAGGTGCGTGCCTGTAATCCCAGCTACTCTGGAGGCTGAGGTAGGAGAATCGCTTGAACTTGGGAGGCGGAGGTTGCAGTGAGCCGAGATCGCACCACTGCACTCCAGCCTGGGAGACAGAGCAAGACTCCATCTCAGAAAAAAAAAAAAGAAAACAGTGTTGACCTAACGTTAATGACTTTGCTTGATACAAACCTAAAAACAAAGTTCTGGGTTTAAAACAAAATGTTATGTATGTGTGAATAAATGAATGACAAGGTCTCGTTGTCTTGCCCAGGCTGGAGTGCAGTGGTGCAATCTCGTCTCATTGCAGCCTCAAACTCTTGGGCTCAAGCAATCCTCCTGCCTCAGCCTCTCTGTAGCTAGGACCACAGGTGCGTGCCACCACACCAGGCTAATTTTTAATAGACATGAGGTCTTGCTGTGTTGCCCAGGCTGGTTTCAAACTCCTGGCCTCAAGCAGTCTTCCCACCTGAGCCTTCCATATTACTAGGATTACAGGTGTGAACAACCACATCTGGCCTATTTATTTTTTATTTATTTATTTATTTATTTTGAGACGGAGTCTCACTCTGTCGCCCAGGCTGGAGCGCAGTGGCACGATCTCGGCTCACTACAAGCTCCACCTCCCGGGTTCACGCCATTCTCCTGCCTCAGCCTCCCGAGTAGCTGGGACTACAGGCGCCCGCCACCACACCCGGCTAATTTTTTATATATTTTTTAGTAGAGACGGGGTTTCACCATGTTAGCCAGGATGGTCTCCATCTCCTGACCTCGTGATCCGCCCGCCTCGGCCTCCGAAAGTGCTGGGATTACAGGCGTGAGCCACCGTGCCCGGCCTATTTTTTATCTATTTTTATTTTTTTGAGACAGAGTTTTGCTCTTGTTGCCCAGGGTGGAGTGCAATGGTACAATCTCGGCTCACCGCAACCTCCGCCTCCCAGGTTCAAGCAATTCTCCTACCTCAGCCTCCTCAATAGCTGGGAATACAGGCGTGCACCACCACGCCTGGCTAATTTTGTATTTTTAGGAGAGATGGGGTTTCTCCATGTTGGTCAGGCTGGTCTCGAACTCCTGACGTCAGGTGATCCGCCCACTTCGGCCTCCCAAAGTGCTGAGATTACAAATGTGAGCCACTACGCCGGGCCCGGCCTATTTATTTTTTTTAGAGTTAGGGTCTCACTGTGTTGCTCCAGCTGTAGTGCAGTGGTACAATCAAAGCTCACTGCAATCTCCAACTCCTGGGTTCAAGTGATCCTCCCACCTCAGCCTTCCAAGTAACTAGGACTATAGGTGCAAGCCACTATACTTAGCTCATTTGTAAAATTTTTTGTAGAGCTGAGATCTCACTATGTTGCCTAGCTGGTCTTGAACTCCTGGCCTCAAGCAGTTCTCCCACCTCAGCCTTCCAAATCTCTGAGATTACAGACATGAGCCACTGCATGTAGTTACTTTAAATTTTTTTTTGAGACTGAGTCTTGCTGGGATGCCCAGGCTGGAGTGCAGTGGGGCGATCTCGGCTCACTGCAACCTCCACCTCCTGGGTTCAAGAGATTCTCCTGCCTCAGCCTCCCGAGCAGCTGGGATTACAGTCACCCGCCACCACTCCCGGCTAATTTTTGTATTTTTAGTAGAGACGGGGTTTCACCATATTGGCCAGGCTGGTCTGGAACTCCTGACCTCAGGTGATCTGCCCACCTCGGCCTCCCAAAGTGCTGGGATTACAGGCGTGAGCCACCATGCCCAGCCTAAGCTTGACTACTTTAGGGACCTCATAAAAGTTGAATCATACAGTGCTTGTCTTGTGGTGACTGGTTTGTTTCACTTAGCATAATGTTCTCAGGCTCATCCCTGTTGTATTAATAGCATGTGATAGGATTTCTTTCCTTTTTTTTTTCTTTTTCTTTTCTTTTTTTTTTTTGAGACAGGGTCCAGGCTGGAGTCCAGTGGCGTGATCACAGCTCACTGCAGCCTTTACCTCCTGGGCCAAAGTGAATCTTCCCTTCTCAGCCTCCCAAGTAGCTGGGACTATGGGCACACACCACAACACCTGGCTAATTTTTTGAAATTTTTTGTAGAGATGGGGATATTGCTGTATTGCCCAGGCTGGTCTCGAACTCCTGGGCTCAAGCAATCCTCCTGCCTTGGCTCCTCAAAGTGCTGGGATTATAGGTATAAGCCACCTCTCCCAGCCAAAACCCCCTCTTTTTATAGATGAGATATTTGCTCCAAGTTGCACAGCTGGTTTGGTCTCTTGACTGTAGATTCCAGAGGCATTGGTGGAACACTTGATCATGCTGGCTTCAGCATCTGCATGTTAACAAGCTCTTCTCATTACTTCTCTCCACTTTAGTTTCACTGTCCCACCCCTAAGCTTCTTTGGCCTCTGTGAAGCACAGACTTTCTGGGTCTGAGTGGATCTAAGTCTCCTGCTCTTCTCCCACAGATACTATGGCGGGACTGAGTTTATTGATGAACTGGAGACCCTCTGTCAGAAGCGAGCCCTGCAGGCCTATAAGCTGGACCCACAGTGCTGGGGGGTCAACGTCCAGCCCTACTCAGGTGCTTGTCTCATCCATATGGCCTGGTGCAGCCTCTTCATGTGCATCCCCCAGGGCCGACATGCACCAAGAAGAGTCCTAAGATGGACTGCCATGGACTGCCATAGGCCGGGCCCAGTGGCTCACGCCTGTAATCCCAGCACTTTGGGAGGCGGAGGCAGGCAGACCACCTGAGGCCGGCAGTTCAAGACCAGCCTGACCAACATGGAGAAACCCGGTCTCCACTAAAAATACAAAAATTAGCTGGGTGTAGTGGCACATGCCTGTAATCCCAGCTACTCGGAGCCTGAGGCAGGAGAATTGCTTGAACCTGGGAGGCGGAGGTTGCAGTGAGCTGCCGAGATGGCGCCATTGCATTCCAGCCTGGGCAACAAGAGCGAAACTCCATCTCAAAAAAAAAAAAAAAAAAAACTGCCATAAATAAAAGATAAGTCACGCATCCCTCTGCATTACCCTTGGGCTCCCAGCTCTATACCCCCTCCCAGGCAGTGCCCTCTCTCTGAACTTCACCTCTCAAGGCTGGTGGTGAAGGGGCACCTCCTGGAGCTCAGGGAAGGTACAAGGCCTGTTCTCGCCACTCCTGGGTGAAGGCTTAGTGGCCAAGGTCCCGGATGCCACTTGGTACCTCAGTTAGAAATAATCATGTCTCCTCTGGTCCACTCGTTTCAGGCTCCCCTGCAAACTTTGCTGTGTACACTGCCCTGGTGGAACCCCATGGGCGCATCATGGGCCTGGACCTTCCGGATGGGGGCCACCTGACCCATGGGTTCATGACAGACAAGAAGAAAATCTCTGCCACGTCCATCTTCTTTGAATCTATGCCCTACAAGGTAAGCATGTGTTTCTCTCCTAGCTTTTATTTCCTTGGGAAACCTCTGATGCTTGGCTGTGCCTGCAGGGGTAAGTTTGGTTTATGTGTCACTACAGGAAGTCCCCACCTCGCACCGTTTTTAATTTCCTTGCAGCGGGGACTCCTCAGGTTTTCAGGACCCGCTGGGGCAGCTGGGATGGAGAGACGAGGGTCTGAGCTGAGGCCACAGGGAAACCAGTGAGGGAGGCAACTACTGAGGAGAGTTCAGATGTGGCAGGGGCAGTGGCAACTGCTTGGAATAGCAACCCTGGGGAATAGCAACCAGGTCACTACAGTTGGACCCCAGCAACAGCCACCACCTCTGCAGCTCTGCCCTCGCCTGGTGACATCTCTGCTCGGAGCCCCTGTGGGCCAGCAGCAGCACAAGGATGCAGTAGCTACAGGCATGGCAACGTCCCCAGCTCCAGCACCAAAACCAGCAGCCCGGCACCATCCACAGCCACAGTCCTCCATGGCCACGTTAGGGCTAGCCCCTGCCTGTGTATAGTGGCTACAGAGGAACAGACAGTGGTTTGACTTAGGGCGTTCAACTTTAGGATAGTGCAAAAGTGACATGCGTTATTAGCTGTACTTCAAGCCCCCCATACGACCATTCTGCTTTTCAGTTTCAGTACAGTATTCAGTAGATTACATGAGATAGTCAACACCGTATTATAAAATAAGGTTTGTGTTTGACTATCTTGCCCAGTGGAGGGTACCACAGTGTCCTCAGCATGTTTAAGGTAGGCCAGACTAGGTTGTGATGTTTGGTAGGTTAGGTATATTACATGCATTTTTGACTTTATGATATTTTCAGCTTAATGATGAGCTTATTGGAATGTAACCCCATAAGTTGAGGAGCACCTGTATGGCTCAGGTGTACACCCCATTGCCATTGCCACCCCACTGCACATACCTGATAACGCAGCCAGCCCAGCAGTGGAACCAACACCATCAGAACCAGTGCCAAGTGCTGCCTCTAGGGTGTGCAGGGCCCCAGGCAAATACTTGTTTTTCGTGGGACCCGTCTGTATAAACAGTTGGGTCAAAAAATGCCTGTAAGATGTGTGGGCTTATTCAGGCATGGTGATTTATCTATAAAAACGAAGGATAATGGGAAGAAGAGGTAACTTGCTTTTTCTTTTAGTGTCCAGTGTTGGTGATTCTTTCTAGTGTCCCGGAACCATCTTTTCATGTTCTTTATTAATAAATGTGCCATTCCTGCTTAGTTTCATGTTTGTTACCATGAAAAAAGGTAGCACTGCATCCTTCTGCTTGGCTGGCATTGCATGGTCTTGGGTGCATGCTGTCCATGGTTCTGTGTGTACTCAGCCTTTGTCTCAGTGCTGGTGATTGCACGTGTGCTCTTTTTTGCAGTCATTTCTTTTCACAGAACACCTAGGTGTTTGCAGTCACAGATCTCCTCATTGGCCAAGGCCAGCCTTGAAGCTAGATTTTGAAACATGTCACAATAGTAACAAAATAGTTTGTCTTGGCTGGGCTCGGTGGCTCACACCTGTAATCACAGCACTTTGGGAAGCTGAGGTGGGCAGATCACCTGAGGTCAGGAGTTCGAGACCAGCCTGGCCAACATGTTCAAACCCTGTCTCTACTAAAAATACAAAAAATTCCTCAGGTGTGGTGGTGCACACCCGTAGTTCCAGCTACTCAGGAGGCTGAGGAGGGATAATTGCTTGAACCTGGGAGGCGGAGGTTGCAGTGAGCCAAGATTGCTCCATTGCACTCCAGAGTGGGCGACAAGAGTGAAACTCCATCTCAAAAAAAATAAATAAATAAGAAAGGCAGGGTGCAGTTGCTCACGCTTGTAATCCCAGCACTTTGGGAGGCTGAGGCAGGCGGATCATGAGGTCAGGAGTTCAAGACCAGCCTGGCCAACACAGTGAAACCCCGTCTCTACTAAAAATACATGGTGGTGCACTCCTGTAATCCCAGCACTTTGGGAGGTCGAAGTGGGCGGATCATCCGAGGTCAGGAGTTCGAGACCAGCCTGGCCAACATGGTGAAAGCCTTCTCTACTAAAAATACAGAAATTAACTGGACGTGGTGGCGGGCACCTGTAATCCCAGCTACTCAGGAGGCTGAGGCAGGAGAACCACTTGAACCTGGGAGGCGGAGGTTGCAGTGAGCCAAGATTGCACCAGTGCACTCCAGCCTAGGTGACAGAGCAAGACTCCATCTCCAGAAAAAAAAAGAAAGAATCTGCGTCCCGCACCCAGTTCCCTCCAGCCACCCCCGTCTTTGATGTACATTGTGCAGGCTGCAGTCCTGTGGGTGCAGTGAGGGGACCCACCTCAGGATGGGCATGGAGAGGTGGGGCCTGGGACCCTGGCCAGCTTGGGCAGCAGGAGGTGCAGCTCACCCGCTGTGGGGGTGATTTGAGTCCTGCCCTTGGCGGACAGGAGGAGGAGACAGACCTTATTGGCATTCATCAGCAGCCAGAGGCAGCTCACCTCCACCCCACCGGGCTGCAGAGTTGGAGGTTAGGGGGTGTCCCAGGGCCACTGCCCTGCCCAGCCTTCACCAGACCGCCTGCCTCCACCTTCAGCCCCTGCCCCACTCCACTGCAAGAGCCCCACGCAGGGCCAGGCTAGAGCAACAGCAACATTAACCTTCTATTTTGTGTTTTTGGCCCATCCCCACTGTGACTCGAGAATTCCTCCCTGTCCCTGGTCCTAAGTGACTGCTGGGGTCTCCTTCCTTATCCTCTGTGCACTGTGGACCCCATCTGCAGTTTATTATAAATGCCTATGAATTCTTCTAGGAGTTGTTCTCTTGTCTCATTTTCAAGATTAAAAAAAGAAAAGAAAAACCTTTGAAAAACCCATTAAATTAAAAAGGGAGAAAGCAGCACAGGCTTTTTTTTTTTTTTTTTTTTTTCCGGTAATTGTGGCTACACAAAAAATTTTAGAATTATGTCCATTTTTTTTAAATCTTTTTTTTTTTCCTTTTTGTGGAGAACAAGATCTCACTATGTTGCCCAGGCGGGTCTCAAACTCCTGGACTCAAGCTATCCTACTGCCTCTGTCTCCCTAAGAGCTGGGATTACAGGCGTGAGCCACCATGCCCGGTGAATTACGTCCATTTTTACTGGAGGTCAGCTGTTGATATTTCATTTCATAAAACGGTTTCTTTGCCAAATTCAGGTGACTGAGAAAGAACCACACCCCTGAAGCAAAACACAGCAAACAAAACCACAAATCATCTTTCAGCTTGACTTTCTAGATGAGGTCTTGGTTCCCGAAACCTTGTGGCAAGCTTCTATAGTTGGGTTGGATTATAACTGCCTTTTTTTATTTGGAAAGAGTGACCACCAATCCTGAAACCTTTCACTCCAGATGTGCTGGTAGTTTCTGAGGGGGACACCAAGGTAAGAGGAAGGAAGGTTGGGTCAGGGCCTTCAGAACAGGGAGCCTCTCTGCACATCTCCTCTTCCCTGAGGCTTCTCAGATCCCAGAGCCCAGTTTTTCCTGTGGTGCGCTCTATGCTCTGCTGGTTATGTGTGCTTACCCATGACTTTTTTTTTTTTTTTTTTTTTAAGACAGTATCTGGCTCTGCCTCCCAGGCTGGAGTGCAGTGGCTCTGTCTCGGCTCACTGCAACCTCTGCCTCCTGGGCTCAAGCGATCTTTCCTCTTCAGCCTCCCAAGTAGCTGGGACTAGAGGCGCATGCCACCATGCCTGGCTAATTTTTGTATTTTTTGTGGAGACAAGGTTTTGCCATGTTGCCCAGGCTGGTCTTGAACTCCTGGGCTCAAGTGATCTGTCCAACTCAGCCTCCCAAAGTGCTGGTATTACAGGCATGAGCCACCGCATCCGGCTGACCCCTTTTTTTTTTTTTTTTTTTTTTTGAGACAAAGTTTCCCTCTTGTCGCCCAGGCTGGAGTGCAGTGGCACGATCTCAGCTTACTGCAACCTCTGCCTCCCGGGTTTAAGCGATTCTCCTCCCTCAGCTTCCTGAATCGCTAGGACTGCAGGTGTGTACCACCATGCCTGGCTAATTTTGTGTTTTTAGTAGAGGTGGGGTTTCACCATGTTGGCTAGGCTGGTCTCAAACTCCTGACCTCAGGTGATCTGACCCCCTCGGCCTCCCAAAGTGCTGAGATTACAGATGTGAGCCACCACGCCTGGCTGACCCATATGTTTATAGAAGTTTAATAAAATGAACTTCCTAAGAGATGTGTTGCCAGAAAAGAAAAATTATTTTAAATTTTACATCGAGATCTACAATCTGTTTGGAATTGACTTTTTTTTTTAAACAAATTATATATAATTATGGGATGCACAGTGATGTTATGATTTGTATATACAGTGTGGAACTATTGAATCAAGTTAACTAACATATCCCACTCCTTAAATATTTATTATTTTTCTTCCTGTCTAACTGCAACTTTGTACCCTTTGCTCAGTATCTCTCCATTGTCTGCCACCCTCCAGTGACTGGTAACCACATTCTACCCTGCTTCTGTGAGTTTGATTGTTTTATTTATTTATTTATTTATTCAATTTTAATTTTTTTTTTTTGAGACAGAGTCTCACTTTGTCGCCCAGGCTGGAGTGCAGTGGCACCATCTTGACTCACTGCAACCTCCGCCTCCTGGGTTCAAGTGATTCTCCTGCCTCAGCCTCCCGAATAGCTGGGATTACAGGCATACGCCACCACGCCTGGCTAATTTGTGAATGTTTAGTAGAGACGGGGTTTCACCATGTTGGCCAGGCTGGTCTCAAACTCCTGTCCTCAGGTGGTCCACCTGCCTCGGCCTCCCAAAGTGCTGGAACTGCAGGCATAAGCCACCACGCCCAGCAGTTCGATTGTTTTAGATTTCACATAGAAGTAAGATCACATGGCCAGGTGCGGTGGCTCACACCTATAATCTCAGCACTTTGGGAGGTCGAGGTAGGAGGCTCACTTGAGTCCAGGAGTTCGAGACCAGCCTGGGCAACATGGTGAAACCCCATCTCTACAAAAATATAAGAATTAGCCGGGTGTGGTGGCACTGCCTGTGGTCCCAGCTATTCAGCAGGCTGAGTGGGAGAATCGCTTGAGCCTGGGAGGTAGAGGTTGCAATGAGCCGAGATGGCACCACCGCACTCCAGCCTGGGTGACAGAGTGAGACTCTGTCTCAAAAAAGAAGTGAGATCATGCAGTATTTGTCTGTCTGAGCCTGGCGTATTTCACTTAGCATAAGGTCCTCCAAGTTCATCGGTGTTGTTGCAAATGACAGAATTTCTTTTTTCAGACTGATTATTATTACATTGTTTATATATATATGTGTCACATTTCCTTTGTCCATTCATCTGTTGATGGACATGGCTTTATTCCATAACTTGGCTATTGTGAATAGTGCTGCAGTGAACATGGGAGTGCACATGTCTCTTTGACATACTGATTTCAAGTTCTTAAGATATAGATTCACAAGTGGGATTGCTGAATATGGAATTGATTTGTGTGGGTGAGGCGGGCATCCAGATAACATTTTTGTCCAAATGGATGCCCAGTTGACCTAGTGCCATTGATTGAAAAGGTCATCCTCTCCCCACTGCACTGCAGCGTCACCACTGGCATGGATCCAATGACCTGTGTTGTGTGTGGTTCTGCTTCTGGTTAAGCCAGATGCTCTGCCCTTCCATGAATGCGTGCTGCCTTAATTACTATAATTTGTCAAGCATTTTGTGACACAAAATACACAACGCAATGATGTTTTGTGTAAAGGTTTGGTATGATTTTCCTTTTATGGTTTTTGTTATTTACATTTCATTTTCTATCTTTCTTGCTTTTATATACTTTTTGGCTTTTTTTTTTTTTTTTTTTCAGATGGAGTCTCGCTCTGTTGCCCAGGCTGGAGTGCTGGAGTGCAGTGGCACAATCTCGGCTCACTGCAAGCTCCACCTCCCGGGTTCACGCCATTCTCCTGCCTCAGCCTCCCAAGTAGCTGGGATTACAGGCGCCCGCCACCATATCTGGCTAATTTTTTGCATTTTTAGTAGAGACGGGGTTTCACCGTGTTAGCCAGGATGGTCTCGATCTCCTGACCTCATGATCTGCCCGTCTCAGCCTCCCAAAGTGCTGGGATTACAGGTGTGAGCCACCGCGCCCAGCCCCTACTTCTTGTTTTTCAATGTTGTATCCAGTGACCTTGCTAAATTTGCTTATTCTAACAGTTGGCCCCTAGCATCTTGATTTTCTAGGTATATTGTGTTGTCTGTGTGTAATGTCAGTTTTTAAATTTCTTCTTTCCTAATCGTTATGCCTTTTGTTTCTTTTTCTTGCCTCATTATACTTGGAATAGAAGTAGTATTAGCAGGCATTTTGGTCTTGTTCCTGAAGGTAACCATTTTGGTTTCCATTGTGTGGTCCCGTCACATTTGTTTCATTCTGCAGGTGCTTTTTGGTTCCTTCTCAGCAGGTAGTGCCCCAGCAGCAGGGCTCACTACAACCCTGGGACTCCTCAGGGACTCCTGGGTCTGTGAGCCATACTTGGTTGAGCAGGCTGAACACACCAGTATCCATCCTGTCTCACCCTCAAGTCCTCATCTAGGACATCATTCCTCTTGTCATGGTGGGTGGAGCCAGTTCAAGTGGGAGGACAGGAGGCAGGTGTGGTTGGAGGAAGCAGCCTGAACCTGCCTCCCTGACATTCCACAGGTGAACCCAGATACTGGCTACATCAACTATGACCAGCTGGAGGAGAACGCACGCCTCTTCCACCCGAAGCTGATCATCGCAGGTGATGCGCGGGGCGGAAAGTCACCTTGTTCACCAGTAGCCTGGTGCCTCTTACAGAATGAGGATGGAAAGATGTTCGCACCCTGTTGAGCCCACTGCTAGTTTCTGCCCTGGATAACTGAGTTTCTGGGGTCTACATATATTAGTTTCTTTCAGGATACAGATGTGTGTTTGCTGCTTTTTGTGCTATGTAGATTAAGATGTGAGACTGTTCTCAGAGAAGCATCTAGAAATGTCAGGCCCTGACTGCGCTGGCAATAGTAGTTGGGGCCATCTCAACCACCAAGACGTTGAAGAGTTAGAGTGGTTGCCTTTAGCACAGAGGTGCTTTTTGAGGGCATTCTCCATTTTTGCTCTGAGACTTTAAGGGAAGAAATCTCTGGGCTTTCAGATCTGCACATCTAGAGGCCACTGTGAAGCCAACTCAGCTGGCCGGTGGACATCTCTGATGCAGCTGTGTCACCTTTCCTGTCTCAGGAACCAGCTGCTACTCCCGAAACCTGGAATATGCCCGGCTACGGAAGATTGCAGATGAGAACGGGGCGTATCTCATGGCGGACATGGCTCACATCAGCGGGCTGGTGGCGGCTGGCGTGGTGCCCTCCCCATTTGAACACTGCCATGTGGTGACCACCACCACTCACAAGACCCTGCGAGGCTGCCGAGCTGGCATGATCTTCTACAGGAAAGGTGAGCTCCCGAATGTTGGGTACAGATGGGTACCATGGTTTACATTTCTCCTGTGGGGGTTCAGATTCAGTTGAGGGAGCTGGGAAAAACTCTGACCTGGGATCCTTGGAAAATATTAAGATCCCAGTCCCTTAAAGAGCTGCTTAGGAAGGAGCAGTGACAGGCTTTACAGAAAGGATTCCCGGCCAGGTGAGGTGGCTCGCGCCTGTAATCCCAGCACTTTGGGAGGCCGAAGCGGGCAGATCACGAGGTCAGGAGATCAAGACCATCCTGGCTAACACGGTGAAACCCCGTCTCTACTAAAAACACGAAAAATTAGCCGAGTGTGGTGGTGGGCACCTGTAGTCCCAGCTACTCAGGAGGCGAAGGCAGGAGAATGGCGTGAGCCTGGGAGGTGGAGCTTGCAGTGAGCTGAGATTGTGCCACTGTACTCCAGCCTGGGCGACAGAGCGAGATGCCGTCTCAAAAAAAAAAAAAGAAAGAAAGAAAGGAATCCCCAGAAGGAGACTGTCAGCCACAGCTCCTGCTTCACTTTTGTGCATCCAGGTCCTAGGAACATAGGAGGGGGATCAGCAACCACTATGTGTTAGGATGGCGCCGGTTGCTGAACTCGAGAGGCAGGTGTTTGAATGAAAGGAGGGTGCATGGCTGGCTGGGGGCCACTGGGAGGCCTCACAAGGCTGCATTATTCTGGTGAACTTACAGTGATCCATCATGTTTCTCAAAGAGAAAGACTCATAGTAGTCAAACTAGAAGACATGGATGTATAAACATTAATATCATTTTAGTGAAGGTTTTTCTTTCCATTACCTCATAACCTACCCCTAGGCACTCCCCTTATTTTCGAATTCCCATACCTGGGAAAGCCTGTTAGTGGTCAGGTCATCATTTAGCCTGTGGTGAGACCTGATGCGCCAACTTTGCATCAGCAGAGACACCAGCCCTCTGGTGACTACATTACTCTTTTTTTTTTTTTTTTTTTTTTTTTTTTTTAGTATTTATTGATCATTCTTGGGTGTTTCTCGTGGAGGGGGATTTGGCAGGGTCATAGGACAATAGTGGAGGGAAGGTCAGCAGATAAACAAGTGAACAAGGGTCTCTGGTTTTCCTAGGCAGAGGACCCTGCGGCTTTCCGCAGTGTTTGTGTCCCTGGGTACTTGAGATTAGGGAGTGGTGATGACTCTTAATGAGCATGCCGCCTTCAAGCATCTGTTTAACAAAGCACATCTTGCACCACCCTTAATCCATTTAACCCTGAGTGGACACAGCACATGTTTCAGAGAGCACGGGGTTGGGGGTAAGGTTATAGATTAACAGAAGAATTTTTCTTAGTACAGAACAAAATGGAATCTCCTATGTCTACTTCTTTCTACACAGACACAGCAACAATCTGATTTCTCTATCTTTTCCCCACATTTCCCCCTTTTCTATTCGACAAAACCGCCATCGTCATCATGGCCTGTTCTCAATGAGCTGTTGGGTACACCTCCCAGACGGGGTGGCGGCTGGGCAGAGGGGCTCCTCACTTCCCAGAAGGGGCGGCCGGGCAGAGGGGCTCCTCACTTCCCAGAAGGGGCGGCCGGGCAGAGGCGCCCCCCCACCTCCTGGAAGGGGTGACGGCCAGGCGGGGGCTGCCCCCCACCTCCCTCCCGGACGGGGCGGCTGGCTGGGCGGGGGCTGCCCCCAACCTGCCGGACAGGGCAGCTGCCGGGCAGAGATGCTCCTCACTTCCCAGACGGGGCGACTGCCAGGCGGAGGGGCTCCTCACTTCTCAGATGGGGCAGCCGGGCAGAGACCCTCCTCACCTCCCAGACG
This sequence comes from Homo sapiens, assembly GCF_000001405.40. Classification (NCBI taxonomy): domain Eukaryota; kingdom Metazoa; phylum Chordata; class Mammalia; order Primates; family Hominidae; genus Homo; species Homo sapiens. Next base: position 18,338,227 of record NC_000017.11, on the reverse strand, counting down.
GGGTTGCAGCCGGGCAGAGGTGCTCCTCACATCCCAGACGGGGCGGCGGGGCAGAGGCGCTCCCCACATCTCAGATGATGGGCGGCCGGGCAGAGACGCTCCTCACTTCCTAGACGGGATGGCGGCCGGGAAGAGGCGCTCCTCACTTCCCAGACTGGGCAGCCAGGCAGAGGGGCTCCTCACATCCCAGATGATGAGCGGCCAGGCAGAGACGCTCCTCACTTCCCAGACGGGGTGGCGGCCAGGCAGAGGCTGCAATCTCGGCACTTTGGGAGGCCAAGGCAGGCGGCTGGGAGGTGGAGGTTGTAGCGAGCCGAGATCACACCACTGCACTCCAGCCTGGGCAACATTGAGCACTGAGTGAACGAGACTCCGTCTGCAATCCCGGCACCTCGGGAGGCCGAGGCTGGCAGATGACTCGCGGTTAGGAGCTGGAGACCAGCCCGGCCAACACAGCAAAACCCCGTCTCCACCAAAAAAATACGAAAACCAGTCAGGCGTGGCGGCACGTGCCTGCAATCCCAGGCACTCGGCAGGCTGAGGCAGGAGAATCAGGCAGGGAGGTTGCAGTGAGCCGAGATGGCGGCAGTACAGTCCAGCTTCGGCTCGGCATCAGAGGGAGACCGTGGAAAGGGAGAGGGAGACCGTGGGGAGAGGGAGGGGGAGGGGGAGGGAGAGGGAGAGGGCTGTTCGACTACATTACTCTTACCCGAGGCAGGGTCTTCTTGCCCAGCCCCTGGCTGGGACTAGACACAGCCACATGCCCCCTCAGCTTCTCAGCACCCCGTTGCCTCTGTGCTCCTCCAAGGACCGTTTTTAGCTGTGCTGATGTTTCTGAGGCAGGTAGCCATTCCCACCCGCCCAGGAGACATTTGGTTTTTTCCCCCACTGTGTGTTGATGTGATTTATTTCACCCAGTGCTGAGGGACTCCGGAGCCAGCCTATCAGAGCAAGTACTAGCTCTGCCGCACACCCGCTGTATGACTTTAGGGCTAGCTGTGCAGCCTCTCTGTTCCTCATTTCCTCACCTCTAGAGTGGGGACTATAATAATAGTACCTGTCCCTTTGGACTGCTGTTTTGAGGATTAAATGAATTTATGTAAAGTGATTAGAGCAGTTCTTGGCTCACTAGAAGCTCTAGATAGATGTTACCGATTATGACTGAATAGTAGCTATTATTGATGGTTAACTTTTTCTCAGAAAGGAACCTTATTCTTCATATTAGCCACATGAGCGTTGTCTCTTTCAATGCATCTTGGAGACTCTTTAAATTTTATTTTTGGGGACAGGGTCTCACTCTGTCACTCAGGCTGCAGTGCAGTGGTGCAATCAAAGCTCACTGCAACTTCAACTTCCCGGGCCCAAGCAATCCTCCTACCTCACCCTCCCACGTAGCTGGGACCACAGGTATGCGCCACCATGCCTGGCTAATTTTTAAATTTTTCTGTGGACATGGGTTCTCTCTTTGTTGCTCATGCTGGTCTTGAACTCCTGGGTTCAAGTGATCCTCCCACCTCTGCCTCCCAAAGTGCTGGGATTACATGGACTTTTTTTTTCCCCGGAGATGGAGTTTTGCTCTTGTCGCCCAGGCTGGAGTGCAGTGGTGCAATCTCGGCTCGCTACAACCTCCACCTCCCGGGTTCAACGCATTCTCCTGCTTCAGCCTCCTGAGTAGCTGGAATTACAGATGCCCGCCACCATGCCCAGCTAATTTTTGTATTATTAGTAGAGACAGGGTTTCACTATGTTGACCCAGCTGGTCTTGAACTCCTGACCTTAATTGATCCACCTGCCTCAGCCTCCCAAAGTGCTGGGATTACACGCATGAACCACCACGCCCAGCCACATGGACATTTCTTTAAGGAAAGATGTCCAGGGCAAATTCTTGAATTCTTGGTTACAATGTTAGTGGAGGGAAATTTCTGTCCTTTTTTTTTCTTTTTTTCTTTTTGAGACAGAATGTCACTCTGTCACCCAGGCTGGAGTGCACTGGCGCGATCTTGGCTCACTGCAACCTCTGCCTCCCGGGTTCAAGCGATTCTTCTGCCTCAGCCTCCCAAGTAGCTGGGACTACAGGTGCACACCACCACGCCCGGCTAATTTTTGTATTTTTAGTAGAGACGGGGTTTCACCATGTTGGCCAGACTAGTCCCAAACTCCTGACCTCGTGATCCGCCCGCCTTGGCCTCCCAAAGTGCTGGGATTACAGGTGTGAGCCACCGCGTCCAGCCTGTCCTTTCATTTTTAAGGCCTTGTTCTAGTTGTGTTAAGAAGAGATGCCATCAGAGGAGGCAGGTGGACAGGTGAGGTGCTGAAACCAGTATTCCAGCCAGAGTCATCCATGATGTGTTGGTTTCCAAAAAATAAAGATACTGGTCTGCCCTCAGGAGGCAAGGGTCCCCTCTGCTCCGCTGTGTTACAAATCAGTTCTCCATGCCAGGATAAAGGCCAGGCTTGTGCTTGATTCTTCCCTGGCCAGTCTGGGTTTGAGCCTAAAAAGAAAAAGAGGGGACAGCCCCTATGATCCCACTGTGATGTTTTTCTTCCTCCAGGAGTGAAAAGTGTGGATCCCAAGACTGGCAAAGAGATTCTGTACAACCTGGAGTCTCTTATCAATTCTGCTGTGTTCCCTGGCCTGCAGGGAGGTCCCCACAACCACGCCATTGCTGGTAAAACATCATCTGCCTCTGCTCATCCTGTAGCCCCTAATTCCCATCCCACCTGTCCTCCAAAATCGTGTGCCAGGACTTCCACGCTGGGGAAAAAGCTGGAGGGCTGTCTCTGTGCAGGAGATGCTAACACAGAGTAGGGCATGGTTGAGACTGGCCTAAGGTAGGGACAGTAGGGAATGGCATCCACTCCACGTGTACGGCCACCCAGAGGCAAACCTGTGGGTCAGGCCGAGTTTTGTAAAGTACATGGCACCCTCTTAGGGAAGGAATCTGACAGTTAGGAGAGGGCAAAGCACAGGTGAGAGAGATTGGGGTCCAGACCCTGCAGGATGAGTCCCCTTGCCCTTGATGGGCCTGGCCTGTGGCAGTGGAGGACCCTGTGTCTGATCCTCACACCCTGCACCAGTGCCACGCCAGTGACTCCTGAGTCAGATTCCATGCCTGCCCAGCAGGTTCTCATTGACTTGCTCTTTGTCTCTTTGTACAAGTAGCTTAGGACATTTGTGATGACTCAAGAGTTATCCCGCTGCCTTCATGGAACAAGGACATTGGTAGCACTCATTCCCGCTAAGGGGCTCAGGATGAAGGTGTAGCTTCTCAGGAGACGCACAAGCACTTCTAGAGAGGAACCTGGGGACAGCAGCGATTGGGAGATATTAGGCATAAGGGGTGGAAGGAGCTGGGGTCCCGGGTGTGTTCTCATGTTCTCCCATCACACCTACACACTTGGCACCCACAGCTGCTTTAACTCTGGGATGCAGGGATCACCCCATCCCCAGCTGCTCTGGACGCCCTTTCCAGTTGTTTTCACAAGTATTGATTGGAGGCTCTGTGCGGGATGCAGGCCCGTGGGTTCTCCTTATCCTCCATTCTCTGTGTCCCTTGAAGCAGCCCTCAGGATTGAATGTGAGATACCAGATAAGTCTGAATGGTGCAGGGTAGGACGAAGGCTGCACCTCCTACCTGCGCTCTGACCTTAGAGAGCTGCATAATCTGGCATCAGAGCATCGGCTCTTAGGCCTGCTAAGTAATCGTTTTCACACATCAAGATTAAAAAGGATGTAAAATCCATCTTGCTTAACAGCTTTGGTATGGTAATGTTAGCACAGAACTTCCATGCTTAGGGAAAGGTTACCTCAACAGCAGTTCCTCAGAGAGAAGCATATCAGCTGGGCGCGGTGGCTCATGCCTATAATCCCAGCACTTTGGGAGGCTGAGGTGGGTGGGTCACTTGAGCCCAGGAGTTTGAGACCAGCCTGGCCAACATGAAGAAAGCCCGTCTCTTACCAAAAACATAAAAAATTAGCCAGGCGTGGCCAGGCGCAGTGGCTCACGCCTGTAGTCCCAGCACTTTGGGAGGCCGAGATGGACAGATCACTTGAGGTCAGGAGTTCCAGAACAGCCTGGCCAACATACAGTGAAACCCTGTCTCTACTAAAAAATACAAAAATTAGCTGGATGTGGTGGCACGTGCCTGTAGTCCCAGCTACTTGGGAAGCTGAGGCAGGAGAATTGCTTGAACCCGGGAGGCGGAGGTTGCAGTGAGCCGAGATTGCACCACTGCACTCCAGCCTCAGCGACAGAGCGAGACTCCATCTCTCAAAAAAAATTAGCCAGGTGTGGTAGGATGCACCTGTAGTCCCACCTACTCGGGAGACTGAGATGGGAGGATCATCTGAGCCCTGAACATCAAGGCTGCAGTGAACTGTGATCACGCCACTGTACTCCAGCCTGGGCAATGGGAGTGAGACCCTGTCTCAAAAAATATAAAAATAAAAAATTTTTTTAGCTGGGCATGGTGCTCATGCCTGTAATCCCAGCACTTGGGGAGGCCAAGGCAGGCGGATCACTTGAGGTCAGGAGTTCAAGACCAGCCTGGCCAATATAGTGAAACCCTGTCTCTACTAAAAATACCAACAAAAATTAGCTGGACATGGTGGCATGTGCCTGTAGTCCCAGCTGTTCGGGATGCCGAAGCAGAAGAATCACTTGAACCTGGGAGGCAGAGGTTGCAGTGAACCGAGATCACACCACTGCACTCCAGCCTGGGCAACAAGAGTGAAACTCCATCTCAAAAAAAATAAAAATAATAAATAATAAAAAATTTTTAAAAATATATCATTTTGGAGGAAAAGATAATCCAACGCAAAAGCAAGGGGTGACATTGAAAAGCAAGGAAGCTTGAGTAAAAACAGGAATGTTGTTTGACTCATCATCTGTGTATGATTCTATCCTAGCCTCCTGACCCATTGTCTCTTCTTGTCCAGGGGTTGCTGTGGCACTGAAGCAAGCTATGACTCTGGAATTTAAAGTTTATCAACACCAGGTGGTGGCCAACTGCAGGGCTCTGTCTGAGGCCCTGACGGAGCTGGGCTACAAAATAGTCACAGGTAGAGACACAGATGGTGTTCAGCAGGCCTGTTCTTGTGGTTGTATTAAGGCTTGCTTCTCAGTTTGTGCAACCAGGATGTGGCCCAGGCTCTGCTGCTGCAGCTGCAATGATGGGCCCACCTTGGGAGGAGGTCAGCCTCGCCTCCAACTGGAAAGCCTCCCCCTGCCTCAGACCAGCCAGCCGCCCCCTTGGGTGAGCCACAGATGATGGGAATAGTGGTTGCCATTGGTCACCAGCATAAGGACTGCTTGTCCTCAGAACAGCTTTGCAGGAGGATGACCTGAGGCTCAACTGAGAGGTTGGGCTGTAGTGGTCACACACCTGGTAGGTGGCACCAGGACTGTGTGGTGATGCCTTGCACTGTGCCAGGGGAGTGTCTTCTCTCACCCCGCTGAGCTGGGGGTGCAGGGGCTCTCCCCTCCCAGTTTCCTGCATATTCCTGGGGAGTTGGCTTGCTTTAGGCATGTTTGCTTGGATCTGTACATTCTGGAGCTGATGGGCTGTGAATGAGATGGACTTCCCAGGTCAGGGCCCCACTCTGGGGTGCCATCCACCTCACAGTCACTGCAGCTTTCCACGGAGAACGCATTTTTTTGGCAGGCAGCATACTCAGTCCTCCGGAGGAAGGGCGACTTTATACCTAGTCCCACAAGACTGCCGATTGTGCTAGCAGTGGTGTGGTCCAGGAATATGGGTCCTGCTGTGTGTAGACCTGAGTGCCCACTCTCTGCACCGTGTCCTTTGCCCTTTACAGGGATTACAGGCCCTCTGATCTAAGGATTGGGGAGGGATTACAGGCCTCCTGGTCTAAGGAGTGGGGCTCCCACCCAATCCTGCATGTGCGGCAGTGCCTGGGAAGGCCGGGCCAGTGCTGTCTCCTCAGCAGTACCAGCCGTACCCTCTTTTATGTTCTACTTCACTTACTTTCTGTTCTCCCTTCATCCTCCATGTCTTCAAATAATAAAGCTCAAGAAGTCCTCGTGCAGACTGTGAACTTCAGGGTGCTTTAGCTCAGGAGTCCCCAACCTCCGGGCCACGGACTAGTACTGGTTTGTGGTCTGTTAGGAACCTGGCCGCACAGCAGGAAGTGAGCTGGGCCGAGAGCATTGCCACCTGAGCTCCGCCTCCTGTCAGATCAGTGGCAGCATTAGATTCTCAGAGGAGCTGAACGCTGGTTTGAACTGCACATGTGAGGGATCTAGGTTGGGCCTAGACACTTTCAAGAAACTATCTTTTTTTTCCTTCTGATTATACCTGCATCCTTATGAGAATCTAATGCCCGATGATCTGAGGTGGAAGTTTCATCCCAAAACCATCCCCCGATGCCATCCGTGAAAAAACTGTCTTCCACATAACCAGTTCCTGGTGCCAAAAAGGTTGGGGACCACTGCTTTAGGTCCCTGTTTCTTAAACTTCAATGTGCACACCACCCCTGGGGCTGTTGGTGCAATGCAGATTCTGACCAGGCCTTGGGTGATGCTGGTCTGGGAGCCACCCTTGGAGTTGTGAGGGTTTAGGCCATAGTCCCTGTCACCATGGGCATCTCATGGCATGGGCCTGCCCTCTCCCTGGTGACTGTGTCATTGTCACTCTGCCATCTGAGGACCCGATGCACATGGCTGAGACAGATAATGCTTGCAAATGCCCTCTTTGGTGCCTGGTGCTATGAGAAGCACTATGTCCAGTATCTTACTTAAACTTCATGACAGCCCTGTGAATTATTGGTCTTTTTGTTACAAATGGGCATCTGAGGTTTCACAATGTTGAGCTGCCTGCCTAAAGCCACACGGCAAGTGGGTGGGCACAGCTGGGGGGCTGCAAAGCCAAGCTGGAGCCCTAGCTCACCCGCATCTTGAAAGGGATCCCCGCAACACAGCTCAGAAGCAGAGGCCCCAGTGCTGTCAGCACCCAAGGCACTACCCCAGCTTAATGAAGGTTCAAAGTGGAAGGATCCTCCTGTATGACCTCGGGCCAGGTCCAGAAAACTCTGTTAGCCTTGCTGTTGTCACCTTACCACTTTGATAATACCATCAGCCTCACAGGATCCGGGAAAAACCTACCACAGGCTACAGTGTCTGGCACCTAATGTGCTCTGTGAACATGCCCCTTACCCCCCAAAGTAAATTGAACTGCTGCCCAATATTCATGCTGCCTTCAGGGGAGCCTTTACCATCAATGTTAGGGAATTGCCCAAGCAACTTGTCAGAGAAAACAAGCCAGGAGCAGCCTGAGGAAGCTGTCCCTTCCCCATGGGAGTGTCAGGCCCTCTGCTGTATGATCAGTTACCCCTTTCAAAAGTGCTCTGTCCTTCCTTTCACATTCTTAGGCACGGGCATCTCTCGTGGGGATTAGAATCCCAGGCCATGTGGTGGGGGTGCTCACCTTCCTGACCTCATCTGCTTTGACTGCCTTCATCCTCGCCTTCGTTTCTCAGAGATTCCTTCACGGCATAGAATTCGCCTGCATTTCTACATGTCCAACTTTGTTTCCAGGTGGTTCTGACAACCATTTGATCCTTGTGGATCTCCGTTCCAAAGGCACAGATGGTGGAAGGGCTGAGAAGGTGCTAGAAGCCTGTTCTATTGCCTGCAACAAGAACACCTGTCCAGGTGAGAATCATCCTTGCCTTCTCCTTCACTCCTCTCCCATCTGCATTTCTTCTGGCCAAAGTTGTAGCTGATGAATATATTGGCTCCGGGGACAGACCTCACATAAAAACTGTAGTGGGGGCTGGGCACGGTGGCTCACGCCTGTAATCCCGGCACTTTGGGAGGCCGAGGCAGGCGGATCACTTGAGGTCAGGAATTCGAGACCAGCCTGGCCAAAATGGTGAAATCCTGTCTCTACTAAAAATAGAAGAATTAGCTGGGCATGGTGGTGCATGCCCGTAATCCCAGCTACTTGGAAGGCTGAGGCAGAAGAGTCGCTTGAACCCGGGAGGCAGAGGTTGCAGTGAGTGGAGATTGTACCACTGCACTCCAGCCTTAGCAACAGAATGAGACTCTGTCTAAAAAAAAAAAAACTGGGCCAGGTGCAGTGGTTCACACCTGTAATCCCAGCACTTTGGGAGGCCGAGGTGGGTGGATCACGAGGTCAGGAGATTGAGAAGGCTAACGCGGTGAAACCCTGTCTCTACTAAAAATGCTGTGGTGGCACACACCACGGTCCCAGCTACTCAGGAGGCTGAGGCAGAAGAATTGCTTGAACCCAGGAGGCAGAGGCTGCATTGAGCCGAGACTGCGCCACTGCACTCCAGCTTAGGCGACAGTGAGACTCCGTCTCAAAAAAACAAAAACAAAAACAAAAAATGGAGCGGGGGCAGGGACCATACCTTGGCTGTCTCTTGGCTGTGCCTTTGTACTTGGCCCTGACCCTGCCAGGGAGCAAAAAGACTGATGTAGAGCTGTTGGAGGTGGTACATTCATCAGATGAGGGAGGTCAGGGCCTCCGGAATCCAGAGGCTGCATTTCTCTGTGGGTTGTTAACAAAATATTGATGACGCATCTCAGACCCAGACAGATGTTACCCTCATTTTTAGGAGCAAGGGGCACATCAGACCACTTTGTGTACTAGTAATTAAGTCAGAGTGGCCAAACGTGGTTGTGCCTCCTTGTGCCTTGGGTTCTACTTTAGTTTCTGAATCAGTTGTACTCCTTGCTAGGGACAGCCAGTATCCTCAGGCCAGTTCTCTTTTGCCCACATGTCCCTTTTTAAATGCACCACCATCACAGTGGTGACAATGTGACTTAGGGACAGAGCCCCGTTTATCTTGTAGGTGACAGAAGCGCTCTGCGGCCCAGTGGACTGCGGCTGGGGACCCCAGCACTGACGTCCCGTGGACTTTTGGAAAAAGACTTCCAAAAAGTAGCCCACTTTATTCACAGAGGTAAGGATAAAAGTTTGGAAGTTGCCACATCTTATTGTGTGTATTTAGTTTCTGATTGTGATGAGTAGCTGAGACCCTGCCACTGAAAGACAATTCTGCACCAAGGCTGAGTGTTGGGGTGGGAGACAGCAAAAAACACATGTAAATCACCTTGTCTGAGAGGGTTATAAATTTGGGCTGCCCAGGACATCTGTCCAAGGGTGGGTGCATCTCAGAGTAATTGAGGTAAGCATGGAGACCTTGTGCCCTGCCACACTCCCCAGCTGGGGGACATTCTGACATTTGTGCCTCGGCCCCCAGCCATTGTACCCCCTTTGGTGTGTAGTGTGGGGTGACTCATTTGTGTCTTGTGGCACAGGGATAGAGCTGACCCTGCAGATCCAGAGCGACACTGGTGTCAGAGCCACCCTGAAAGAGTTCAAGGAGAGACTGGCAGGGGATAAGTACCAGGCGGCCGTGCAGGCTCTCCGGGAGGAGGTTGAGAGCTTCGCCTCTCTCTTCCCTCTGCCTGGCCTGCCTGACTTCTAAAGGAGCGGGCCCACTCTGGACCCACCTGGCGCCACAGAGGAAGCTGCCTGCCGGAGGACCCCCACCTGAGAGATGGATGAGCTGCTCCAAAGGGGAACTGTTGACACTCGGGCCCTTTGAGGGGGTTTCTTTTGGACTTTTTTCATGTTTTCTTCACAAATCAAAATTTGTTTAAGTCTCATTGTTAGTAATTCTGGGACAGGTTATTAAAGGATTTAAATTTGAACCTGGCTTTCTCACAGCTGGACATAATTCTAGGAAAATAAAATACTATGTCGCCACTTGGTCATAATCATTTAGATGGTGGTGTAGGGCAAAGCTGTTAGAAAGATTGTAGCGTTTTACTCTCCCTGGGCTTTCCTCCGCCTTGCTGCAACAGAGAGGAAATGCCCATGTCCACAGCTTGTACACACTGCCCCCTCACTATCTTGTTATCCAGTGGCATGCCAAAGGAGAACTGAATTAGCTTCTGAGGCTTCTGCTGTAAATCAGAAGTGTATGTTAGTCAAGAGTAAACAAGATGCACCCAGTATGGTGGGAGGGTTTTGCTGTCAGTAGCTCAAAGTATGGTGTAGAAATGGCCTCCTCCCTCCATCCTGGGAAGTCCCAGTCCCATCCTGGTGTGAGAATCAACCAGGCTTTCCTGCTCCACCTGAGATAACCAACTCCCTCCCGTAATCAGGAAGCCAAATGTCACCTTCCCAAAGAAATTTTATTTTCACGTAGCTGAAGTGCAAAACATAGATGACCATTTTTAATAAGCACAATCAAATTTTTAACCACAGAATGTCTACAAGAATTATAGCTTTAAAAAATACAACCAATTTTTATATTTCAAAAATATTTGAACTCAAATAAATTAATTTCTTAAAAAGTACACTTCTCATACTATGTGTTTGGCATTGACTCTGGTTAACTCTTGTGCAGCAACACCTACGAGATGCTATCACACACGCGCCAGCTGCACTCCTGCACCAGCCGCTGCAACGACTGCACCTCACGTGGTGGCGGGGACTCACATTCACAAGACGGGACGGGAACATGCAGTAATAAAATAGCTTTTTAAAAAATAACACATATAAATTCATCACATAGGATTATGCTTTTCACTGCAACCTTGAAGGTGGCATTTATCTCAATCTGTGACTCCAGCTATTTAGTGGCAGACAATCCCGGTGAGGCAGCCTGTGGTCCCACCTTGTAGGTGGCAGCCCCTGCAATCTGGGGTCTAGCCTGTCGGCGTTTGCTTTATTGTGGGTGGAGCAGCTGCTGCAGAATCTGTGAGTTGACTCACCAGTCCCTACAGTTCTGCTACCAAAGTGGTCTTCAATTTAGGGGCCTGACCCCTCCCCAGCTGGAGACAAGCTGCCATCTCCAGGGCTCGCTGTAAACAGCCTCCACTCTTGGGCTGAATAAGCACTCCCAAGAAGCTGGGCCCCTACCAACAGATTAATCGGCTGCAGAGTGCTCATCCCCTCCCCACACCCCCATCCACCCCTGCCTCCTCCTCCTTTCCACTGCTTTAACCAAACCTTAATGAGGTAAGGCCAGGCTAGGTCAGGGCTCAAAGGAAAATGGGCTCAGGAAAACTTAGTTTGCCCAGCCTTGTCAGCTGAGATTGGTTTTGCTTTCCAGCCAGAAGTAGAAACTTGATGCTTTTTCCTTTTTGCAGTGTTAAAAACCATATCTCCAGTTTTATTATGTTCCATCACAGTTTTGGGGCAAAGCCAGAAAGCTGACTTGTTTGCTTCAAAACACAAACCAAGGCACTGTCTTCTGTGCTTTTCAGGGAGGTGGGAAGGTAAAGGAGACTGCCCACTATAGGGGCTCAGTTCCCCCAAAGGCCTTGCACACCTTCTGATAAACCCCCTGGCTGAGGCAATCCTACTGGCTGTGCAGACAAAGATGTGACAGCAGCACTAGATGCTGACCCAACAAGCAGTGCTGGGCCTGGGCGGTGGGGCATGTTCAGCACTGCGGGCAGCAGTCAGCACATGCAAGACATTCAGTGAGCAGAGGGCTGCCCTCGGCCTCCAACTGCAGCCGCCCTGGCGCGTGAAATGAAATTGGTGGGCCTTCCTAGGATTGTAAAATGGGACTTGTCATTTGTGTGAGGTTGAAATCTACTATACTTTGAATATGGCAACTGTTTTCAACCACTGAAGCAAAGAAGGTAAAGGCCAGATGGGGAATGAAAGGTAAGGTACTGTGGTCTATTTCCAAATTTGGGAGCAATGTGTGTAACTTCAACTGTTGGAGTAAATGAGTTATGGAAAAGCCACAATTTCTAAAATCCCAAGGTTCTACCAAAGGAGTGAGGTTCCTGGGGAAACAGGCATGAGGCAGCAGCTCAGGCTGATGTGTCCTGTGCGATATAAAAAGCTGTGGCCTGATCTCTAAAGTGGGGCTTTTGAAAATCACCAGTCCACAACTACCTGCCTGGCTAGTTTAACCTAGACTGCTTCAGAAGCAAGGGAGGGGGATAATGGACTGGAGAAAAAGCTGACACAAAACTCAAGACAACCAGTTTCAGTACCTGGGCCCTCAAAGCAATAGTGAGGACTGAGAAAGTAGCAAGGGGCACTGATGTCATCTATTTTCTGGGAAGTGTAATTTTTAATGGTTTCATTAAAAACTTACTAACCTTCTACTGGAAGAATACCTCAAATGAAAAATTTTTTTTTTTTGAGACAGTTTTCGCTCTTGTTGCCCAGGGTGGAGTGCAGTGGCGCGATCTCGGCTCACTGTAACCTCTGCCTCCTGGGTTCAAGTGATTCTCCTGCCTCAGCCTCCCGAGTAAGTGGGATTACAGGCACGCACCACCAGACCTGGCTAACTTTCTTTGTATTTTTAGTAGAGATGGGGTTTCACCATGTTGGCCAGGCTGGTCTCCAACTCCTGACCTCAGGTGATCCGCCCACCTCGGCCTCCCAAAGTGTTGGGATTACAGGCGTGAGCCACTGCGCCCGGCCTCAACTGAAAATTCTTGATGAGATTAGTCCCACTGCATAGGTCTCAGCACTGAGGTTTAGAGATGTGAGACTCAGAGTAGGTTTCAGTTCCCCGGAGTGAAGGGGGCATAGGGAGGGGCAGGGCTTCCCAGTGTTAACTGCCTCTGCCCAAATCATGACTCAGTCCTGGTACCACGTCAAGATCCCTTTGAAAGGAAACATACTTTGCATCAAGTAATCCTTTGAAACTGCCACATTGAAAAGTTAGTTTTTAACCCAAATATAAATCTGGGAGCTAAACACTAGTCACGAAGCCATCTTTACTTAATGAAGAACCACCTTGAGGGAGACCAGCCCTGCTTGCCACTTACATGGCTGCCCCTGAGACGGTCTGTTCTGTTCATGCCCCAGCAGCCTTTTGCCTTAGGTTTCAGGACCTTCTGAACCACCCTTGAGGGTGTGTGCCAGCAAATACCTCAAGTGGACTTCTACTTAGGACCACTTGAGGGCACAACTTCAGCTTCTAGAAGGCCAAGTGTGGCTGCAATTCAGGATCTGCCCCAAACTCATCAGCCCTTCCCAAGTTTCCCAGGTGAGAACAGTATGAGCTGTGAATTTCTGTGTTGGTGTGACAGGAATGCCACAGTGGTGGTGCCAGTGATCACTTTCTGACCTTCCTTCCTTCTCAGATAAAATGTTGCACAGTTATGGCCTTGGAGGCCTAAGTAGACAGCAATTAACCAGCCAGTGAGAAAACGAATCAGCATCTAGAACAGGAGGGGAGGGAACCGTAACAGATAAGGGAGCCCACGATTAGAAGCAGGCTCCCTGCACAGCCTCTGCCTCCAGCGCAAGTAACAGACGTTTCACATTTAAAGGCTGCCAAGGTATTGCTGGCGACTCTCCTGTCTGTGAACATGCGCAACGGGCACAGGTACAGAGAACCAATGAGATGTAGGCAGCACCATCTGCCACAAAAGGTTCTCCATCGCAGCCCCAGGAGCAAAATCAAACACCTCTGATGGGAGCAAGGACCCTGAACAGAAGCCAACGGCTGGAGCCAACGGGCCATGCCCTTAAAACGAGGACTTGGACAAGGAGGGAACCACTGGAGTGACGTGATGCAAGCCCTCTTCGGTCACTCTTGGCTTCCACCAGGGGTCTCTGCCTCCTTGATGAGAAGAGAAGCTGGCTGGCTCCATGATGACCTCGATGGCGTACTACAGGCCGATGGGCAGGCCGGGCCTCAGCAGCAGGCGCCAACAGAAGCACACCCAGGGCTGATTCAGGTCCATTTCAGCATAATTTTTGTGGAACAAATTAAAGAAGCAGTAATACCAGAGCTGTCCCCACTTAGGGAATAAAATTTTCAAGGCTGCAAGAAACTCTCTGTCTACAAACCAGTGGCCATTGCCTAAGGAGGCTCGGGGAGGCCAGGGGATCACTATCAGTGGGATAGGTGCTGGCGGAACCAGGGGGTGTCTCCTTCCCAGTTTCAAACTTGTCCTCAGAAGGGGGACTCAACTGGGGACGGCCGTGAGCTGTGGTGACTGAGGTGCACACAGCCTCCCAGAGGCAGAACCTGAAGAGCGCCACGTGGTAGCTCATCCAGGAAATCCGTGCTATTTGAGTTCTCATCGGCTGGGCCAACCACCTGCACCAGCTGACTAAACAGAACCGTTGCTGTCCCAAGCCCACGAGACCCAGTGAGAGGTAGTGAAGTGGTTGCAAAGGTTTATGTGGGTGGGAGCTGGAGTGTGGCCTCTGCCATGTTCACACGGGTCTGCAGACCTTCCCCACGAGGAAGGTCAGTGCTCATGCGCTCTGGCCGGCAGGAGCCAGTGGGCCACCCAGGAGAGCTGCTGGCTGCTCCTCCCTTGCATGGTGGTGATGGCCTCATGGCGCCTCAGCCCTGCTCTGCCTGCTGTGCTCTCCAGCCCCCAAGGTGGTCCTCACCATTGGCTTTGGTCACTTGTGCCCGCTTCACACTAGGACTAGTGAACACTCTGCTCGTTCCTGGTGAAAGAGTATGGGGAGTGAGTCCCAAGGCCCGCTCACAGGCACTTCTCTCCCAGGTAAAGGTGGCGAGGACAGCGGACAGGGTGCTGCTCACGCTCTGTGGCCCTGAGGCCAAGGTCGCATGTTTCCCACGACCCAGAGGGTGGCAGCCTTTCTCACCCCCACTGGCTGGTCCAGGGCCTCCCCTAGGACAGTGGGCTCCAGGAAGCAAATAAAGGGCTGCATCTGGGTCTGAAGGAGGCGATGGGTGTTCTGCCCTCCTGTTTTCCACCAAACCACAACAGTTACCTGGCTGTCACCCTCGTTCATTTTGCCACTCAAGTGTCCGGCAATGCTGAATACAGCCAGTGTGCTCCTCCCATCAGGCTTTGGCCTTCCTGCCCTCACCCTGCCCCACCAAGGGACTGGTGGCTTCCCTTCTGCCCTGGCTGCCAGTCCTCAGAAAACCAAGGCCCCCTCCATATCCAGGGGCCACTCTTCACCAGGGAGCCAAATGTAGCTGTCACCATCCCTCCAGACGCCTTTAGAGGGAGCCAGGCTCCACTTCTGCCCATGTCCAACTTAAAAACTACTAGGAGCCACGTGGGAACCATGCTGCCAGACACCAGAAACTTAAACAGTCCAGCTCAGGCAACTGTTTGGTCATGCCAACCCCTCCCCTCCCCATACCCTGAGTCACAGGTCTTGGTCACAGTGTCTGGGACCGACCTCAGATTTTATACAAAAAGCTGGGGACATAGTCAAACCTGAGCATGGGGTGGCTGGTCCCTGGAGATTCCTGCATGTAGTGCAGCTTCAGCAGCTCAGCCAGGTACTGGACCACCCTAACATCCTCATTCACCAGACCCAGGGTCAGCTTTAGGAAGCTCATCTGGCGGCTGGCTACCAGCTCCTCTGTCTCCTTGTCGTGGGTAGGCAGGTGCAGGTGGTGGCAGAAGGTGTAGAGGAAGGCCTTGGAGCAGAGCTGGGTGAGCATGCTCTGGACATGCAGGTAGTAGGTGCTGCCCCGCTTGATCTGTGTGCGGTGGTCTGCCAGGCGGGGCACCAGGGTGCCTCTGTAAAGGGGGCAGCGCAGGGTTTTGTTGTCAAGGTCCAGGATGCTCGTGTAGCGGCTGTAGCGGCTCAGGGCATGGAGGGTACCGGCACCGGCAGGGGAGGCCACTCTGAAACAGACAGGCCAAGGTCAGGAGGAAGGGCAAGGGCCGGGAAAGTGGAGGCAGAAGCTTGGGAGGTGAGGCCTCCTGTCCCCAGGCCAGCATCCACCTAGCCAGCATGCACTGGCTCTTCCTGGAAGACAAATCTGATCATTGTAATCTTCAAAGGGCTCCTCACCACTCTTATGACCAAGGTCAAAAACACGCTGGGTGGCCCACAAAGCCCTTTGTGGTCCGATTCCTGCTGAATGGACTCTTTTTTGGAGCCATGGCAAGCTTTCAGTGGGGCCTTAGAATTACAAACCTCTTTGTTCAGGCCAGGTGCAATGGCTCACACCTGTAATCCCAGCACTTTGGGAGGCCGAGGCAGGCGCATCGTGAGGTCAGGAGATCGAGACCATCCTGGCTAACACGGTGAAACCCTGTCTCTACTAAAAATACAAAAAATTAGCCGGGTGTGGTGGCAGGTGCCTGTAGTCCCAGCTACTTGGGCGGCTGAGGCAGGAGAATGCTGTGAACCCAGGAGGCAGAGCTTGCAGTGAGCCAAAATCGTGCCACTGCACTCTAGCCTGGGCAACAGAGCGAGACTCTGTCTTAAAAAACAAAACAAACAAAAAAACCTCTTCTTTCTGCCTGAAATAACCTCTCTCTCTTGTACTTAGCTTAATTTAAAGCATATTCAGCCTTCCCTGATCCTCTCCTGCTTTCCTGCTGTGACCTTGGCCAAATTCATTAACCTCTCTGAGCCTCACCTATAAGATGGAGATAACATTCCTACTGTTTTTATTTATTTAGAGACAGGGTCTTGCTCTGTTGCGCAGGCTGGAGTGCAGTAGCACGATCATGACTCACTGCAGCCTTCATCTCCTGGGCTCAAGGAATCCTCCCACCTTGGCCTCCCAAGTATTTGGTACTATAGGCGTATGCCACCACACCCAGATAATTTTTTGTAGAGATGGAAGTTTGCTATGTTTCCCAGGCTGGTCTTGAACTGCTGAGCTCAAGTGATCCTCCTGCCTTGGCCTCCCAAAGATTTGGGATTACAGGCATGAGCCACTGTACAGGCCAGTTACTACTATTACATCCCTCATGGGGTCGCTGTGGAGACAAAATGAGTTGTGCTTAGGACAATGCTGGCCCTCGGTAGGCGCTGCTGTCATCGCCATCACTACTTTTAGCCTAGCACTGACCAGTGGGGTGACTGCTGTTTGTTCATTGGCTTCTCCCCACTGGACAAGCAGCTCCAAGATTCTAGGGTCCCAGAACTGCACCTGATCTGGTCTCATGCCCCCAATGCCTGGCACATCAGAGCCAGGAAAAGCCAGTGTTCACTCAGTGAGGGGAGCGGTTCCTTAAACACCCTCCTGAAGCAGCTTCCCCAGAGCAGCAGGGACTGCCCTGTAGGGCCCAGACATTTAGGGTTTACGTCAGACAGGTATGGTGTAAGAAGGACTGACGGTGACTTGGGACCAAGGTACTCTCACAGTACTTTTTCCTTCCTGGGTTTTATCTTCTTGTATATTTAACAATCATTTACAGAGCATCTATAACATCCCAACATTGACCTGGGAGCTAACACTGTAATGAAGAATGACCTAGAACTCTTGTCCTGCATGAGCTCAGTCTGATTGAGAAAAAAAGAAATGTGCACAAGTACAGTGAAGTGAAGGGAGACAAGGTCTCATTCTCCCTGGGAGAGGCTGTAGTTGGGAAGACCTGGGGGATTCGTGGAGTTGCCTCAGAGCTGGCCCTCAGAAGCAGCGTGGGCTCTAGGGACTGAGGAGGGTGTGGCAGACCACGGCAAAAGCAAGGTCACAGAGATGGGACAGCTGAGACAGGCCATGCATACTGCATGCATCCTGACCATAGGGACAGCACTGGGCTATGGACCACATGCATCCCACAGGCATGGAGGAACTGGGGCCTGCAGGTGGCTGACAGCTAAGAAAGCTCATGAGGGCAGTGAGACGCTCTCCTCAACCCATGCTGCATGGCCCCTGTGTTCCGGGACCTTCTCAGCTCTCTAACGCCTTCACCCTCACCTCCCTAAAGTGGGGCTGGCCAGAGTCAAACACCTCCCAAGCTCCGCACATCCAGCTCCACAGGTGCTGCCGCCACAGGGCACCCAGGCCTCACCTCCCACCTTTTTGCCCCTCCGTCTCTGCTGGGATACCTGTTCCCAGGCCCAGCATCCCCTGATGCAGCTGACACCTGCCCCAATGGTGGCACTTCTTTTGGAAGAAGCTGGCTATTCTAACTGTTCCTCCACTTCTGTTTCCATAAAGCTCCTCCTCAGGAGGCCAGATGACACGGGAAGGGACAAGCCTCAGCTCTCCAGCCCCCAAGCGCACGGCACCCCAACTGCAGCCTCACATTGCACTTACCATGCCCGCCGCAGGAGGACACCTCTCCACCAATGAGGACACAGAGGACTGGGTAAAGCGGCAGCTTGTGCAAGGTCACCTAGCTAGCAAGTGGTCAAGCCAGGACTCAACCCAGGGCCTCTGACACACGCTAGGCTAGCACTTTCTCCAGGCAGAACTGTGCTCTGCTTTTCGGTCTGGGCTTGTGACTGCTGCTTAGTAAGCAATAGGATGACCCCTGGTGTTCACTTAAAATGACAGCAGGGCCGGGCTCACGCCTATAATCCCAGTACTTCGGAAGGCTGAGGTGGGCCGATCATTTGAGACCAGCCTGGCCAACATGGTGAAACCCTGTCTCTACTAAAGATACAAAAATTAGCCTGGCATGATGGCGCACGCCTATAATCCCAGCTACTGGAGAGGCTGAGGCACGAGAATAACCTGAGCCTAGGAAGCAGAGGCTGCAGTGGGCTGAGATCACATCACTGCACTCCAGCCTGGGCAACAGAGCAAGACTCTGTCTCCAACAACAACAACAACAAAAAACACACAAAACAAAAAAACCCGCAAATGACAGGATACCAGCTTGGTTGTTTAGCCATCTCTTATCCCCACAGATGGCTGACCCAACTACAAGCATTTCCAGGCAGAGTGAAAAAAATCAAGGGCCAGCAAGACTGGTGTTCGGAGGTGAGAGTCCTGAAAGAGAGTCCATCATGTGAGCAGTGGGCCTGAGTGAGGAGGCACACTTCTGGGCCGTGGTGCTCAGAGTGCAGAGCCTCTGCAGCGCAACACCTCCGAGGATAGGAAGGTCACAACCACCGAAGACATCTCTCCTGCTCGTGATTTTTAAAGCTGGGCCTCAGGTAGGCCCCAGTCTGCCTGCCTGTGTCGGTGCCGGTTCCACCCTCTGAGTGCTTCTCAGGGCCAAGCACTGCACTGTGCTGTGTTTTTTTGGACATGCACTAAACGTGGACCCTTCCGATGGCTCTCAGGTGGGCCCCGGGAGCCCTTCAGAGGTGTTCAACATGATTGGGTGACTGAATGAG
The DNA here is from genome assembly GCF_000001405.40 of Homo sapiens. Taxonomy (NCBI): domain Eukaryota; kingdom Metazoa; phylum Chordata; class Mammalia; order Primates; family Hominidae; genus Homo; species Homo sapiens. The sequence continues at coordinate 18,319,213 of NC_000017.11, read as the reverse complement.
ATGGTTGGTCCGAATCCAGACAGCGAGTGGTGGCACACCAGGACTTGACCCAGACCACCCACTGCTCCCGCTAACTGCCACAGCCCACAACAGTTTCATCTTATCATACCCTCAGGTGGCGTCTACTGCTCACCTCCCCCAGGAATTCTTTGGGTGAGCTGTAGCCCATCCCATTCCCGTTTGGCCCCGCAGGGGACCCTCCAGGGTGCAGGGCTCCCCACACCTGCCCGCTGCACCTCATGCCTGTGTAGGATGCTGGAGGCAGATGCTCCCAGCACCCAACATCTGCACGTGCTCTGAAGGTTGAAAGAGCACTTACAGGGACAGCAGCCTAACCCTTTCCCCCGGAGTCATCTGTCCCTTCTGATGGGCCTTTTGCTTTTATAGAGAGATGCTCCCTGCAGTCGGGCTGGCAATGGCGACAGATAAATTCCATGTCTTACCTCACACCAACCGAATCAGAACCTCGAGGGCTTGTGACTCAGGAATCCATGATTTTAAAAACTTTCCGGCCAGGCACGGTGGCTCACACCTGTAATCCCAGCACTTTGGGAGGCTGAGGTGGGCAGACCACCTAAGGTCAGGAGTTCCAGACCAGCCTGGCCAACATGGTGAAACCCTGTCTCTACTAAAAATAGAAAAGTTAGCCGGGTGTGGTGGCAGGCGCCTGTAATCCCAGCTACTCAGGACAGTGAGGCAAGAGAATTGCTTGAACCCGGGAGGCGGAGATTGCAGTGAGCCAAGATCGCGCCATTGCACTCCAGCCTGGGGTACAAGAGCGAGACTTCGTTGCAAAAAAATAAAAATAAAAATAAAAACTTTCCCTAATAATGCTGACACAGCTCGGGGACAGATGGGGATTGGCAACCACCTAGGAACTGCAACCCCCTCACATGACAGACAAGGAAATAGAAACCAGAGAGGGGGATGACTTGCCAAAAGTAACACAGTGGTAGGAACTGGGCCCTGTCTAGAAGCCAGGCTTCCTGATTCTGGCTCCACCACACCAATATACCTCATCCCTATCTGGCCAAGGCCCTTCCCCACCACCTGGAACCAGTTACCTCTGCAAGCCAATAAGCTTCCACTTCTGAAAATCCATAATGTGCAAAGGGGAGGAGGCCCAATGTTTCACGGGCTTAGCGTAGCAGCCATAGCTGGGGACAAAGATAGCCAGTGCAGTCACGAGTTTCCTGACTATGGCCTCATCTTCCCCCAGGACCACAAGTGTCCTCCCACTGAGCAGGGAGTAGATGGCTGGGTGGGCAAAGGGGTACTGGCGGATGAATTTTAAGGCGTTCTGGCCAGCCCTCTTTTTATGCCTATCGGAAGACAGGCCAGCAGGATAAGCAGAGGGGATCCTGTCTGAGCTGGTGGACGCTACACTGCTCACGTAGCTGGTGGTGTCTGAGTAGTTGTCCAGGCTGGTCTTACTGATGTCCCGGCTAGCCAGCAGGTGGCTCGGGTCCAGCTCATAAGCGGGAAACCCTTCACAACTGTTGTCTCGGGAAGAAGGGTTGGCATTTTCCACTGAAAAGTCTACACGGAACCCCTGGTCCTTCTGCCTGTGGCGCTGTGGGGGGCTGCTCACCACCCCATCCTCGTCAGAGTGTGTGTGGGCTGGAGTGGAGGGCAGCACCAACTGACCATCGCTCTCCTTCCCAATACAGCAGGAGGAGTCTATTTGTGATGGGGTGTTTTCTATGCTGCCTTCCTCTGTCTCACCCAGTTCTGGAGGACTGATGCTTGCCTGGAAGCGGATGGCTCCTTCATTGCCATCTGGATATGATTCTTCTTCATTAATGGCACTTGGGTAGCTGGCCTTAAAGTCATCAGGGATGAGGGCCTCAGAGGGGCAGGTACTGAGGACTTCAATACTGTCCTCGCTGATGGTCCTGTGGCTGACTGCTTTGCTCCGGACCACCTGGGGGCTCAATGGTACTGTGAGGCTTGCCTGGCTGTCAGATTTAGAAAGCACGGAGGTGGATTTCTCCGTGCCCAAAACTTCAATACTTTCACCACTGCTGATACTCCCTTTCATATCCATATCCAGGTAGTCCAAGTTTTCCTGGGGGTCGAAACTGCTCAACTCAGTCACTTCCACTTCCTTGTACTCCTCATCTCCCAGTTCCTGCTCCATCTTGATCAACACAGACTCCACACTGGACTTGTAAGAACCAACACTAATTAACACTTTAGGAATTGGGCATTCTTCTAGAGAACTGGAAGGCGGCCTGTCTTGACTGGGCTTAGAGGGTATGCTTTCTTGTTTCTCCACCATCCTGTCATCGACCTCCACAAAGTCTTCAAAGAGAAAGTTTGTTATATGCTGTTGTTTTAGAAGTGCTCTATCAATCTGACTGGTCAGGAGGTAACACAGGTCTCCTCTGAACATGTGTTCAATGTGGCTGAGCTGAGCCAGGGTCTGGGTGAAATATTCAGTGTCACAGAGCTCCTCCAAGGTCTTCAACTTCTTGTCAAAACACTTGGTGGACTTTGCTTTGATAAGTTTTGGGGTGTAGGCTGGTCTGCAGGTGTAAAGGTCTGTGTCGGCAGACTCATCAGGGTTAGAGGTAGTGGATGCCTGGCTGGCCTGATCCTGGATGTGCTCCATCTCACCAGGACACAAATCATGCCCCTTCAACTTCCGATGAGGGTATGAGCGGATCTGCTTCAGCAGGTCTTGATGTTCAATGATGGACTTCTCCACACTGGCCAGTTCATTGGCTTTCTCAATTGCCTGAGATGAGTAAAAGCCTTTGTCGTTGGCTTTCTTCTGGATCTCCGTTTCTGTGTGTAGCACTGTCCTGGTGTAATCCAAGTCTTTCAGCTTTTTTTCAAGTTCCCCAGCAAATGCCTTCCTGTTGCCAGTCTTCAAGCACTCAGAAGCTCTGGAAAATTCGGCTGAAAGCTCCTGGAACTGCTGCATGATTTTATGCTGGTCTGCAGAGATATAAGCCATGCAAAACGGCCTCACGAAGCCACGGGCCTCCAGGTCGTATAGGGTAAGGTGGTGCACGTATGCAAAGGCGCCCTCCTTAGAATCTCCCAGCACCACCTTGGAGTCCTCCACGAAGTTCAGCTTGGGGTAGGCAGATCCAGGAGGATGGCCCACGAAGGAAGCCTGGTAATCCACAGACATGATACGCAGGGAGAAGTAATTGAGATCAAAAGTGCCAAAAACTTTGGTGTCATTGGGGATGGTCAGTAAGGGTTGGGGTCCCACCTGCTCAGAGAACTCGGAAATAAGAATGAAGTCCCTCGAAAACTTGGCCCCGGACAGTTTTGACCAGGGGTTAGCACCCTGACTGGCGAAGGGGAAGAGCGGCACCGAGTACTCCTCAGGCAGGGCCGGCTCATTGTAAGGCTCTTCTTCATACTCTTCCTCTTTGGTGAAGGCCACTACGTCAGGGGCGCTGATCATATTTCCAGATATATGAAGAAAACATTGAGAGGAAGTGGGAAAGAATGCGGTGTTAATCGACGCGCAGAAGGCAGGCCTCCGGAGAAGGAAGTGAAGCCCTTACGGCCTTCTTTGCGACTCCCCGAACCCGGGGTCCTAGGCTGCTTCTCACACACCCGAGGAGAAGAACTCTAGCAGCCCCCTCACAGTTGTAGCTCCTCCGGAGCTCTCTGAGGCCTCATGAACGCCAAGGCCGCAGGCCCAACTGCCCTTCTCTTCTTCGTCCGGCGAGCGCGGCCAGCACAAGAAACCTGCTGCGAAATCACCTGCACTCTCCGGAACCCACTGCGACAGCAAAAGCCCCCGCTCTGAACAAGGCTTAACGCGAGGCTACGGGACGCCGCAGGGGTCAGCCAAGCGCTGCTGCCCCTCACTGCCCGAGGGCAGAAACCGTCGCGGCTCCTAGGACGCCACAACCCGGATCCTGCTACCGCGGCGCCGCCATCTTGACATCACATGACTCCTGGTGTCCGCGCCGCGTGACCCGGAAGCGTCCTCGTAGACTTCCGAGCAGGAGATTAAAAAGTCATGAGAAAGAGGCCTTGGATGGGAGTGTCTGGCGGCTCCCCGCAAGAAGGAGTCCGATTAACCAACCACTGCCGGGAAGGAGGGGAAAGAGGGGCGGAGTGAGACGGGGGCGGCGGGAAGGTGGCAGAGGGGAACGTGCTTGGACGAGGGGCGCGGGACAGTCTGGGAGTTGTAGTTCCAGGTCGCTGTGGGGCGCGCGCCTGGCGGAAGTAGCTGGAGAAGGCGGGCGGAAGTTCCACGCCAAGATACTGGATTCGGTGCTGAGGCGGCGGCTGCGGCACGGGAAAGGCTCAGTGACTGAAGCTCCAAAGGCCAGCAGGCTGGTGGGGACGTGACCGAAGCGAGGCTCTGGTTCCCTTTCGGTGGGCGCCATTTGAGCCTCATCTCTGGCTTCCCCAGGATGCGCCGGCAGCCGGGGAGCGGCTCCGGGCGCGAGGTCTGAGGATGATCTTTCCTGTCGCCCGCTACGCGCTCCGGTGGCTGCGACGGCCCGAAGACCGTGCCTTTTCCCGCGCCGCCATGGAGATGGCCCTCCGAGGCGTGCGGAAAGTCCTCTGTGTGGCCGAAAAAAACGACGCGGCCAAGGGGATCGCCGACCTGCTGTCAAACGGTCGCATGAGGCGGGTAAGAAAGCGCGTTCCGATCAGCTGCGTGCCTTAAGGGAGGCCCACCGAGCGGGACAGCGTGGTGGGCGCCAAGAATCGAGATGAAGGCGATTATCTCCCATTTCTCAGGCCTCACTGCCCCTCGTCTGGATTATTGCAGTGGCCTCCTGTCTGCTCTCGGACTGGAGTGCATTTTAAAACGTAGTTGATACATCTCACTCATTTGCGTGGAAACCTTTTGTTTTGCTTGCGCTTAGCAGGTTCCCAAACTTGTCTGATTCTCGGAATCGCCTCGGGCGCTGGCTGCCCTTCGGGTCTTGTGTGAGGCTGGGGAAGTGTGTATTTTACTGTTTTTCCCTAGAGATTCAGAAATTCATTTGGGAACTACTGACCAGATTCCCTTAACTTGGCATTCAAGCCCTGCCCGATCGTTCCCCAGCCAACCTAGCCCTCCCCATCCTGTGCCACAGCCACTGCATTCTACAGCCCTTGTGACTTTCCAGCCTCACAGTGCACACTTACAGCAACACGGTAAGGTTTGGGGATTAGATTTGAAGTCAGCCCTGTTCCTACCCGAATGAACTGATTCTGAGAGAGGTAAGTGGTAAGAATGTGTTCTACACACACGGGAGGCACAAACGCAAGGGAGGATAAGAAAAAGTTTCATAAAGGAGGTGCCACGGGAGACATAAAGAGCTGTCCAGGAAAATATCTCAGATAACAAAAGTAGATCCTGAAATGGTTTTCTGGAGAACTTTTCTAAGAGCATGGGTGGAAGTTCCCTGCTCATTTTTCTTTAGTTCCCAGGGTCCTAAGACCTGTTTCCAGATCAAGGATAGTGGGAGTGGAGCCAGGGTTGTGTGAATGCTGGCTGACAGCTTTACCTGTTTCCAGTGCTAGAAGTCCTGGTGACCAGCCCCAAGGTTTGTCTACTTCTAGACAATGAAGTAGACATTGAAAAATGGTTCTCCTACGCCTAACTTCTTATCCTTCAAGGCTCTGCTGAATTCATTCTCTCTCTCTCCCTTTTTTTTTTTTTTTTTTAAGCAATCCAGAGGTCTTGTATTTATCTATTTTTACCCTATCATACCATGAATCCATAGGGAATAGGTTCCAGCGGCTCAGGCTCTTTTCCATTGGTTCTCACAAAGTGTACTTCCCTCAATGGAACAGGCTGGCACTTCAGGTGAACCCTTTCTCTTTGACTTGCTTCTTTTTTGATCATTTTCCTTCACACATTTCAGGAAAGATCTTGGTTCTTAGAGTGCTTAATATGCTCAATAGAAACATTAATTCTTTGGGCAAGAATCTAGCCCTTGTTCGCAGCAGTGCCAACAGCATGCTGGGTAACATAGACTTTTCCAGTTCTGCCATGTAACATTTGTGGGTCATTCCCTTTTGAACAGTATGCATTCTCACGAAGTCCTCAATATCACCTTCATTGTAGATTCTGGTGTCTGTGGCCAGAGAAACTCCATATTTTTGTTTTGTTTTGTTTGTTTGTTTTGAGATGGAGCTTTGCTCTTGTTGCCCAGCCTGGAGTGCAATGGTGTGATCTCAGCTCACTGCAACCTCCGCCTCCCGGGTTCAAGCGATTCTCCTGCCTCAGCCTCCCTAGTAGCTGGGATTACAGGTGCCTGTCACCATGCCCAGCTAATTTTTTGTATTTTTAGTAGTTTCACTGTGTTGGCCAGGATGGTCTTGAACTCCTGACTTCAGGTGAGCCACCCGCCTTAGCCTCCCAAAGTGTTAGGGTTACAGGCGTGAGCCACCGTGCCCAGCTCGAACTCCATGTTTTCTATAAGGCCAGGAGAACATACATCAGATGCCTCGTCCTCTTTTCCTTTGTGTTCGTCATTTTGGCAAATTACTCCAAGATGGCAGTTCCAGCCAAAAGGAAAGACTTTTCTTGGAAAGAGAATTTTTATTTTTATGTACAGAAAACACAACAGTGTGTACTTAACCCAGTTTAGTGGCAAATTCTTTAGCCTTTGCCTTTTCTAGGTTGGTAATGCAAGCTACAGATTTTGGACCCAGGGCATTGCCTCCCCAGTGACAGCAGATCTCATATGTCGTTGTAATTTGTCCCACCAGCTTAGCCAGAGCTCCTTTGTCTACCAGAAAGTTAACCTTTGTGAAGGTGACAGTGGTGCAGGTCTTCCTGTGGAATTTGACACCACAGTCTTGACGGTGCAGTAGAGAATCCCCATCTTAGGACACAGCACAGGCAGGAAGACAACCAGCTCAATGGGATCCACCACCAGCTGACCCTTCATGCTCTCTACCAAGTTGGTGACGGTGTCAACCCCTGCTCGAAGTGTAGGTGGTCTCTTAGTAGCGACATCCCCTTTGCTGGAAGCTTTCTTCTCAGCCTGGGCCAACGGTTTCGATCTCATCCCTTGCTCTGTCTCTTGTCTGTACTGTGGGCCAGCTTAAGCAATTGAGTAGCTTAAGTTTGGTAGTCTGAGGCCTGGGTGAACTGGTCAATCCCAGGTGGCACATCAGCCACTTATAGAGTACAGCGGCTCTGCCGCAGCAGCCATTTATAGCGGGACTATTTGACAAAGTGGGTGAGGCCCTTAGGCTAGATATCCAATGCCAAAATTATTAGGGCTTTTCTCAAATGGGATTTACCACCTTTTTGGCCTACTGCTGCTCCATGACAACAGGGGCCAGGGCCACTTCTTCCCCTTGGCCATCTTTCCTTTTGGCATCTGGGGCGGCTAGAGGAGAGAGGCTGCTGAAATGTCTCATCTTCAAGGAATCCTTCCCTCACCACCTGTTCCCCCACACTAGGTCAGAGACCCTTACTGACATGCTGTCATAGCACTCTATTCTACTTGAAAGGCATCTACTAGTTACAGTTAAATAATGGGATGTGCGATCATTTATTTGATTTTTGTCACTGCCTCTCCTTGGACTCTAAACTCCAAAGGACAGTGATTATATTTTGTTAATTGCTATGTCCTAACGCCTAATATGGTGTCTGGAATGCAGGAAACTTTCAATAAATATTAATACTTGGGCTGAGCGCAGCGGCTCATGCCTGTAATCCCAGCAGTTGGGGAGGCTCAAGCGGGCAGACCACCTGAGGTCGTGAGTTCAAGACCAGCCTGGCCAACATGGCAAAACCCCATCTCTACTAAAAATACAAAAATTAGCCAGGTGTGGTGGCGGGGTCCTGTAATCCCAGCTACTCACGAGGCTGAGGCAGGAGAATCGCTTCAACCCGGGAAGTGGAGCTTGCAGTGAGCCTAGATTGCGCCATTACATTACAGCCTGGGCGACAGAGTGAGACTCCATCTCAAAAAAAAATTAGGCCAGGCATGGTGGCTCATACCTGTAATCCCAGCACTCTGGGAGGCTGAGGTGGGCGGATCATGAGGTCAAGAGATTGAGACCATCCTGGCTAACACGGTGAAACCCTGTCTCTACTAAAAATACAAAAAATTAGCCGGGCATGCTGGCAGACGCCTGTAGTCCCAGCTACTCGGGAGGCTGAGGCAGCAGAATGGCATGAACCCGGGAGGTGGAGCTTGCAGTGAGCCGAGATTGTGCCACTGCACTCCAGCCTGGGCAACAGAGTGAGACTCTGTCTCAAAAAAAAAAAAAAAAATTCATAGTTGTTGAATGCATGTTTGAGCTGAGCCTGAAAGTTTTACCAGGCAGTAGAAACTGTAAAGAACAACCTAGTGGCTTGAAACTGCTTGGCATATTCAGAAACAGTGAGAAGTTAGGGGTGTGGTGTGGTGGGAAGAGACACCGATGAGTTAAGCAAGAGCAGCAGTTGAGTGCAGATCATAAGAATCTTAGAGAGCCATGTAGGTTGAGTGGTAAAATGCACAGAAAATTGACCATTTTAATCATTTTGAAGTATATAGTTCAGTGGAATTTTGTCCACTAAATGTGCCACCATCATCATTATCTAGTTCCAGAAGGTTTTTTTTCACCCCAAGAGGAAGCCTCATATCCATTAAGCAGTCACTCCCCTTACCCTCTCCTCAGCCCCTCACAACCACGAATCTGCCTTCTTTCCCCATGGATTTGCCTGTTCTGGGCATTTCCTATAAGTGGACCCATATCTTACATGCTCTTTTGTGTCAGGTTTCTTTCACTTAACATAATCTTGAAGTCCATCCATGTTGTACCATGTATTAATATCAGTTCTTCATTCCTTTTTTTTGGTTTTTGAGAAGGAGTCTCTCTCACTGTCGCTCAGGCTGGAGTGCAGTGATGAGATCTCGGCTCATTGTAACCACCGCCTCCCAGGTTCAAGCGATTCTCCTGCCTCAGCCTCCCAAGTAGCTGGGATTACAGGCACCCACCACCACGCCCAGCTAATTTTTTGTATTTTTAGTAGAGACAGGGTTTCACTATGTTGGCCAGGCTGGTCTCAAACTCCTGACCTCATGATCCGCCCACCTCAGCCTCCCAAAGTGCTGGAATTACAGGCATGAGCCATTGCACCTGGCCTCTTCATTCCTTTTTATGGCTGAATAATATTCTATCATATGGATAGATCATATTTCATTTTACCATACATCAGTTGATGGACATTTGGGTTGTTTTCATCTTTTGACTATTGTGAATAGAACTTCTATAGACATTCGCTGGGCGTGGTGGCTCACACCTGTAATCCCAGCACTTTGGGAGGCCGAGGCAGGTGGATCACGAGGTCAGGAGATTGAGAACATTCTGGCTAACACGGTGAAACCCCATCTCTACTAAAAATACAAAAAAATTAGCCGGGCGTGGTGGCAGGTGCCTGTAGTCCCAGCTACTCGGGAGGCTGAGGCAGGAGAATGGTGTGAACCCGGGAGGTGGAGCTTGCAGTGAGCCGAGATCACGCCACTGGACTCCAGCCTGGGCGACAGAGCCAGACTCCATCTCAAAAAAAAAAAAAAAAAAGAACTTCTATAGACTTTCATGTACAAGTTTTTGTTTGAATGTGTTTTTTTGTTTGTTTTTTGTTTTTTGAGACAGTCTCGCTCTGTCACCCAGGCTAGAGTGCAGTGGCGCCATCTCCACTCACTGCAACGTCCACCTCCTGGGCTCAAGTGATTCTCCTGCCTCAGCCTCCCCAAGTAACTGGGATTACAGGCACACACCACCACACCTGGCCAATTGTTGTATTTTTAGTAGAGATGGGGTTTCACCATGTTGGCCAGGCTGGTCTCGGACTCCTGACCTAAAGTGATCCAACTGTCTCAGCCTCCCAAAGTGTATTTGAATGCGTTTTTAATTCTTTTGGGTAAATTTGTAGGAGTGGAATTGCTGTGACATGTGATAACTCTGTAACTTTTTGAGGAAACACCAACATTTTCCAGAGTGGCCAAAGCATTTTACATTTCCACTGACAATGTCCAATTTCTCCACATCCTCAACAACACTTGTTATTTTACTTGTTTTTTTTATTATTCTATTTAATTATTATCCTAATGGGTATGGAGTGGTACCTCATCATGGTTTTGATTTGTGTTTTCCTAATGATTAATAACATTGAGCATCTTTTCATATGCTTGTTGGCCATTTCTTATCTTCTTTGGAGCAATGTTGGTTATATTTTTGGTATCATAACCAAGAAATCATTGCCAAATTCAGGATCAGAAAGAATTATACAAAGGAATCCATTGTTTTAAACGTAATTTATATTTTTTACTTATTTTTGTTTTATAGAGAGAAGGACTTTCAAAATTCAACAAGATCTATGAATTTGATTATCATCTGTATGGCCAGGTAGGTGCTAAAATATTTCTAAAATATTTCAATCATAAGCAAGAGAAAGTAGTCAGCCTCGTCATATGTAGAATATGTCGCTGTCTTAAGAATAACAACTGTTAACAACCTAAAGGTTCCTGGATATGGGGTGATCACTTTATAATTTATGAGGAGTTCTCTTTTTAATAAAATATGGTCCCATCTCAGCTCTTCATTACAAAAAAAAAAAGCTAATATACAATAGTTTGAGGAAAATTTAACTGATGCAAGAGGCGTCAGTTATACACCATATCATTAGAATGGTGATTGTATTCCTGTGACTTTTGGCTTTGAAGAGCTTATATTTATGTTTATTTCTTCCCAATCAGGTTTTTAAAAATGTCTTTAATAGAAGCTCCTCCCTCTCATTTTAATGATTTGGCAGAATAATAACTGCAAAAAGACTAACTGAATTTTGAATTTTGTCATCATTCAGAATGTTACCATGGTAATGACTTCAGTTTCTGGACATTTACTGGCTCATGATTTCCAGATGCAGTTTCGAAAATGGTCAGTACAATTCTCAAGGGAAGGACTTTCAGATTATAGTAAGTTGTGAAATTTCACAGGAATTTTGAGGCATGTTGATCTTACTGGGTAATTTTTTTTTTTTTTTTTTTTTTTTTTTTTTTTTTTTGTTGGAGACAAAGTTTCAGAGTGAGACTCTGTCTCCCAGGCTGGAGTGCAGTGGTGTGATCTCGGCTCACAGCAACCTCTGCCTCCTGGGTTCGAGTGATTCTCCTGCCTCACCCTCCCGAGTAGCTGGGACTATAGGCACGTGCCACCACACCTGGCTAGTTTTTGTATTTTTAGTAGAGACAGGGTTTCACCATGTTGACCAGGCTGGTCTCGAACTCCTGACCTCAGGTGGTCTGCCCACCTCAGCCTCCTGAAGTGCTGGGATTACAGACCGTGAGCCACCATGCCCGGTTTTTTTTTTTTTTTTTTTTTGAGTCAGGGTCTCGCTGCGTTACCCAGGCTGGAGTGCAGTGGCGCAATCTCGTCTCACTGCAACCTCCGCCTCCTGGGTTCAAGCGATTCTCATGCCTCAGTTTCCCAAGTAACTGGCCTTACAGCCATGTGCCACTACACCCAGCTAATTTTTTCTATTTTAGTAGAGATGGAGTTTCACCCTGTTGCCCAGGCTGGTCTTAAACAAAGCAGGGTTTGCCTTCTTTTGCCTCCCAAAGTGCTAGGATTACAGGCGTGAGCCACTGTGCCTTGGTAATTTATTTATTTATTTATTTATTTTATTTATTTTTTGAGACGGAGTTTTATTCTGTCGCCTAGGCTGGAGTGCAGTGGCACAATCTTGACTCATTGTAACCTCCACCTCCCGGGTTCAAGCGATTCTCCTGCCTCAGACTCCCGAGTAGCTGGGACTACAGGTGCCTGCCACCACGCTTGGCTAATTTTTCGTATTTTTAGTAGAGACGGGGTTTCACCGTGTTAGCCAGGCTAGTCTCGATCTCCTGACCTCGTGATCCACCCACCTTGGCCTCCCAACGTGCTGGGATTACAGGCGTGAGCTACCACGCCCAGCAGTAATTTATAATACTAAGATGACCTAGGATTATCTGATCCATTGTGAATTTTTATTAAATCTTTAAACAGTCACTTTTGGTGTTCCTCAAAATTGCCAGACCTTTTTCATGCAGCCATTGGATTGCATTTACCTGTGAAAGGGCTCCAGAATGCCATCTTATCAGTCCTGTTCACACTCTTGGAGAAGTGGACAGTGTGTCATGCAGAGGGTCATAGCCTTACTTTCAATTCACCGGGACCTTTTCTTTTGGGGATACACCATGAACCCATTGGAACAGTTTGCTGTCATTAGATTGGAGGGCTCTCTGTCATGTACTGAGTTGGGACTCTGTTTTCATTTCTTTTCTAGGCAGAGCTGCAACCCTCTTGTCCTCTTTGAAGCAGAAATTGAAAAGTACTGCCCAGAGAATTTTGTAGACATCAAGGTAGGGTCTTTTGGAAGACATATGGCACTGAGTCAAACCACAGAGTCAAACAGAGTGATTTCTTTGTTTTTAATGCATTGGCATTTGGAGATAAGGTTTTCCACCAAAGTCACTACCATGATTTAAAAAGCTGGTTCCCACCCATTGTATAAATGTGGCTAAGTGGCCAAGGGACTGAAGTAAACTTTTTTTATGAATGGTAGTTGTTTAAATCCTAGGAATAAAGGCTGGACATGGTGGTTTATGCCTGTAATCCCAGCAATTTGTGGGGCCAAGGCAGGATCACATGAACTCCAGGAATTTGAGACCAGCCTGGGCAACATAGTGAGACCCTATCTCTCAAAAAAAAAAAAAAATTTAACCAGGCATGGTGATGTATGCCTATAGTCCCAGCTACTAGTAAGGCTGAGGAAGGAGGATTACTTGATCCCAGGAGGCAGGAGGTTGAGGCTGCAGTGAGCCGTAATCACACCACCACACTCCAGCCTGGTGAGAAAGTGAGACCCTATCAAAAAATAATCCTAAGTATTGTAAATTATTAGCGCGTAGCCCCCATCTCACCCCTTGTTAGATGAAAGAGGCTACAAAGTATAAATGCCTGTTTGACAGTAAATTGCCAGTTGTCAAGCAGTCAGGGCATGTATAGTTAATTTATTTTTAATTTTTATTTATTTATTTATTTATTTTTTGAGACGAAGTCTCGCTCTTGTCCCCCAGGCTGGAGTATGATGGTGCAATCTCAGCTCACTGCAACCTCTGCCTCCAGGTTCAAGCGATTCTCTTGCCTTAGCCTCTCAAGTAGCTGAGATTACAGGCGCCTGCCACCACACCCGGCTAATTTGTGCATTTTTAACAGAGATGGGGTTTCACCATGTTGGCCAGGCTGGTCTCGAACTCCTGACCTCACGTGATCCACCCGCCTCAGCCTCCTAAAGTTTTGGGATTACAGGTGTGAGCCACCGAGCCTGGCCAGTTAATTTATTGAGAACTGATAAAACTTTGGATGAAATTCAATTGGGATTCATTTTGTTTTGTTTTGTTTTGTTTTGTTTTGAGATGGAGTCTTGCTCTGTCACCCAGGCTGGACTGCAGTGGTGCGATCTCGACTCACTGCAAGCTGCGCCTCCCGGGTTCATGCCATTCTCCTGCCTCAGCTTCCCGAGTAGCTGGGACTACAGGTGCCTGCCACCATGCCCGGCTAATTTTTTGTATTTTTAGTAGAGACAGGGTTTCACCGTGTTAACCAGGATGGTCTCGATCTCCTGACCTCGTGATCCACCCACCTCGGCCTCCCAAAGTGCTGGGATTACAGGCGTGAGCCACCACGCCCAGCCGGCTTCGTTTTTTTTAACTAGGTCATAATCAGAACCTCTCGAAGTGTGCGTGCGCGCGCGCGCGCGCGCGTGTGTGTGTGTTAGAGCTGAATTTCAGGTTTTGTCATATTGGGGAAGTTATATTAAACCCTCTATTCTAGAAACTCGTTTATGGTTCTAAGGGGTTGTATCATGATTAGCACCAATGAGAGCAGTTTTCTCTGTTCTCTTTCCCTTGCCAAGTTGTCACACTCCAAGAGCAGCATTAACCTTCAGTCAGATCCCCTTAGCTTAGAGATGTCAAGTCACTGTTGTGCAATTCTGTTCTCACCACTCTTATTCCACTGCGAACTTAAGAAAACTTTGGAACGAGAGACTCGCCAGTGCCAGGCTCTGGTGATCTGGACTGACTGTGATAGAGAAGGCGAAAACATCGGGTTTGAGATTATCCACGTGTGTAAGGCTGGTAAGTGCTGCTGCTGCTGCTGACTTTCTCTACTTTGGAACTCCATAAATAGAGTGTTCTTGTTTATATGTGCACATGGGCCACGGATGAGGTCCTCTGCAGGTACTCTCCCTCCCAGTCTGTGAGTCCCACCAGCCATGTGTCCTGGAGCAAATCACTGAGCCATTGGGAGCCTCAACTTCCTTGTCTCTAACATCAGGCCAATCTGACATGTTTCCTGGGACTGCCACAGAGATTAGATGAGTTAATGAGTGGTGTAAACCATTTAGCCCAGGACTCATTTCTTGTTAGGTACAAGCATACAAGCAGATACCCGGCTCCTTGAGAACAGGGACTTTATATTCTTTTTGTTGTTGTTGTTGTTGTTATATATTGAATTCTTTTAGTATTTGGTTAATGGAAGCAAAAATAGAAAAATAAAATTACATATTGAATATGTATAAAAGAATGAATATACCACAAGTAAAGTACAAAAAATAATTATAAAATGTTCTGTTTTCTTTTTTAATCTCTCATATTATACAATGCTCGACTATTAATAAATAATTGTTGCAGTGGATTTAAAGGCTCTAACAGTGTTAATGGTTTTGGGTAACTTAGAGGGAGTGATGAACAGGCCATTCTCTGGCTCAGAGGGTGGGGTTGCTACTTTCCTTTAGTGGTTTTGTGTTCAAAGCTGTAATGACTCCTGGAAATTTAAGTGCATTAACTTTCAAGGACAGTGTGTATATGTCCTATATTCTTTGCTGAAGGGACATGAAATTCCCCTACAGAACCCTTTAATTGACAATATTTTTCTTTTCTCAAAAGGCCTGAGAGAGCAAGTAAGATTAAAGTTGCAAAAGGCAGCCAGGCACGGTGGCTCATGCCTGTAATCCCAGCACTTTGGGAGGCTGAGGCAGGTGGATCTCCTGAGGTCAGGTGTTCAAGACCAGCCTGGTCAACATGGTGAAACCCTGTCTCTACTAAAAATACAAAAATTAGCCAGGTGTGGTGGCGGGCGCCTGTAGTCCCAGCTACTCAGGAGACCAAGGCAGGAGAATTGCTTGAACCCAGGAAGCAGAGGTTGCAGTGAGCCGAGATTGCACCACTGCACTCCAGCCTGGGTGACAGAGTGAGACTGTCTCCAAAAAAAAAATGTTCACCAAGAGCATTTTAGTATTTTAGTTATTGGAGGGGGCCTGCCCCTCCACACCTGTGGGTATTTCTCACAAGGTGGAGACGAGAGACTGAGAAAAGAAAGAAGACACACACAAAGTAAAGGGGAAGAAAAGTGGGCCCAGGGGACCGGCGCTCAGCAAGTGAAGACCTACACCAGTGCTGGTCTCAGTTCCTCAGTATTTATCAATCACTATCTTTACTATCTCAGGGAGGGGAATGCAGTGTGACTATAGGGTGTTGGTGGGGAGAGGGTCAGCAGGAAAACAAACAAAAGACTGTGTCATAAATAAGTTTAAGGGAAGGTGCTGTGCCTGGATGTGCACGTAGGCTAGATTTATGTTTACCTTTACATAAACATCTCAGTGCAGTAAAGAGTAACAGAGCAGTATTGCCGCCGTGATGTCTCGCCTCCAGCCATAAGGTGGTTTTCTCCTATCTCAGAATAGAATATATGGTCGGTTGTACACCGAGTCATTCCATTCCCAGAGACGTGCAGGAGACAGATGCCTTCTTATCTCAACCGCATAGAGGCCTTACTCTTTCACTAATCCTCCTCAGCACTGACCCTTTACGAGTGTCGGGCTGGGGGGCTGTAAGTCTTTCCCTTCCCACGAGGCCATATCTCAGGCTGTCTCAGTCGGGGGAAACCTTGACAATACCCAGGCTTTCTTGGGCAGGGGTCCCTGCGGCCTTCCACAGTGCATTGTGTCTCTGGTTAATAGAGAGTGGAGAATGGCGATGACTTTCACAAAGCGTACTGCCTGCAAACACATTTTTAACAAAGCACATCCTGCACAGGCCTAAATCCTTTAAACCTTGAGTCAATACAGCACATGTTTTTGTGAGCACAGGGTTGGGACAAGTCACAGATTATTAACAGCATCTCAAAGCAGAACAATTTTTCTTAGTACAGATCAAAATGGAGTTTCTTTATGTCTTCCTTTTTCTACTAGACACAGTAACGATCTGATCTCTCTTTTCCCCACAGTTACTAGCTAAAATTAACTCCATCACTATTTCTGACAGTACACTCAGTTTAAAGGTTATGGTGATGTTTCCTCTTTAGACACTGTACACCATTGATTTAACCTAATAGGTAAATTGGTCATCTCACAGCTTCTTGAACTGGTTTGCCTTTATTTCAAGGGGCTTTAAGAAAAGTGAGTCCTTTATGATGGAGGGCAGTGTGATTTGACTTTGACCTTGGTAACACCTTGTGTTCTGCAGTAAAGCCCAATCTGCAGGTGTTGCGAGCCCGATTCTCTGAGATCACACCCCATGCCGTCAGGACAGCTTGTGAAAACCTGACCGAGCCTGATCAGAGGGTGAGCGATGCTGTGGATGTGAGGCAGGAGCTGGACCTGAGGATTGGTGAGGAGCTAGGCAGACCTCTCCCATGGCCACATTAATGTTGTGTTATGGGACCAAAAATGGGCTCTGTGTCGATATGTGCAGCCAGCCCTGGACTCTCATTATCCATCATTTTCACCTTCCTTCACTCTCCTTCACTCTCCAGGAGCTGCCTTTACTAGGTTCCAGACCCTGCGGCTTCAGAGGATTTTTCCTGAGGTGCTGGCAGAGCAGCTCATCAGTTACGGCAGCTGCCAGTTCCCCACACTGGGCTTTGTGGTGGAGCGGTTCAAAGCCATTCAGGCTTTTGTACCAGAAATCTTCCACAGAATTAAAGGTAGGGCCTGGAGTGGGTGTTATGGCCTGGGACCTATGGGCTCAAGGTTAAGGAGGGGGACTGTGAGCATTAATAGCACTAATAAAGATGTGATTTATTTTAGTCTTGCTGTCATCCTCCCTGGCCCATTACAATCCACTTAAAGTTCCCTTTGTTATCCAGAAACTCCTCCCTATTTGATATTCGTTTGACTTTCACCACAATAAACCTTTTTCTATCTGTCATATCATGACATGTCTCTGAGACACAGCCTTTCTGTTTGTCTCTCCTTAATATAGTAACTCATGACCACAAAGATGGTATCGTAGAATTCAACTGGAAAAGGCATCGACTCTTTAACCACACGGCTTGCCTAGTTCTCTATCAGTTGTGTGTGGAGGTAAGAACCCCTAATGATCTAGGAAACATTCTGCACACCTCCCAAACCACTCCCACTGTCGGCAGAGGTGATCTGTCTCATTCTCCCATTGGACTTTAGCTTTAAGTTTGCATCTCAGGGGATCACTTTTTGGGAACCAATAAGACGAACCCCATGAGAACAGCACTAAAAGGAAAAGGGAAGTATCTACATTATTTTTAGATAAAATCAGAAATTTTGGGAAACGTATAGTTGAAATCCCCTCTTGGGGCATATACTATCACCAGAAATTAGCAAGGATTATCTAGACCAGTCCAGGTCATTGACTTATAGAGCTAGGAGAGAATGAACAGCATTTGGCTCAGCCCCCTCTTTATTGGTCACATGAGGACATCTAGAGAAGTGAAAGTCACAAATTAGTGGGCTAATTTTATATAGTGATAAAAGCTAGGAAGAAAATAAAGCAAGGTAAAGGGATAGAGAAAGGCCGGAGGGACAGTGAGGGGAGGGGTAACACTTGAGCAGAGGCTGGAGAGATTAGGGAAAGGGCTGGCGGGGTGGGTGGGACACGCATGTGTCATAGAAGGGAGCAAGACTGGCCCGGGTCATAGGCCAGTTGGTGGCAGAGTTGGGACCCACCCTAATGTTTCCTGGCCCTTGGGCTGATTGTTTACTTTCTGATGCCACTTCCTATTAGCACATAACAGCCTGGTTTAACCCAGGGGCTGCACAGAGTCATGCTTAAGTAAAATTCCGAGCTCTCTAGGCTTAATTCATGGTGTGCTTCTTGGCTGTAGCCCACTGGCAGATTTGTTACTAATTAGGCAAAGGGATGTGATAACTGTGCAGCACCCGCTATGGACCAGGTACACTTCGTTATGTGTTGTTTTGTTTAATCCTAATAATGCCTCTGAAGGCAGTGATAGCATCCACATTTTCCAGATGAGGAAGCTAAAGAAAGTGAAGAGACTTAACCCACAGACACGTGAGAGCTGTACATGGCAGAGTCCTAGTGTGTCCCTGCCCCTTCTGCAGACCATGCTGCCTTCTCCATCTCTCTCTCACTCCACCCTTTGACCCTGGACCACTGGGAGTCTCTGTGACACTGTACAATTATTTGTTAAATAAAAAGACCACCAGCCTGGGTTTCATAGTGAAACCCCATCTTTCTAAAAAAGAAAAATTAGCTGGGCGTGGTGGTACCTGCATATAGTTCCATCTACTTGGGAGGCTGAGGTGGGAGAATCGCTTGAGCCCAGCAGATTGAGGCTGCAGTGAGCCATGATTATGCCACTGCACTTCAGCCTGAGTGACAGAACGAGATACTGCCTCAAAAAAAAAATCAAATAATAATAAAATATAAAAGTAAGTAATAAAAAGACCTGCCCTGTTTCTCCTTCACTCGGATGTGGTGCGGGACTACGTGGTGGGTGATGTAAACTATGAAGCTGGTTTTAAGATTAAAGGTCTCCAACTTGTACAATTTCTCCTATTTCTTTTTTTTTTCTCCCCCGAGACAAAGTCTAGCTCATTTGCCAGGCTGGAGTGCAATGGCACGATCTCAGCTCACTGCAACCTCTACCTCCCGGGTTCAAGCGATTCTCCTGCCTCAGCCTCCCCAGTAGCTGGAACTACAGGCGTGCACCACCACGCCCAGCTAATTTTTGTATTTTTAGTAGAGATGGATTTTCACCATGTTGGCCAGGATGGTCTAGCTCTCGACCTTGTAATCCGCCCGCCTCGGCCTCCCAAAGTGGTGGGATTACAGGCGTGAGCCACTGTGCCCAGCAATTTCTCCTATTTCTAACTGTATTATCCTGAATTTTTTTTTTAAAGGAGCACTGGGCCAAGCATGGTGGCTTATGGGAGTATTGCTTGAGCCCAGGACTTCTGGGCCAGCCTGGGCAACATAGCAAGACCCCATCTCTGTATTTTAAAGAAAACAACAACAGAAAGAGCACTGTGCACGTGTACATAGAAAACTGTACTCAGGTGATGCATAGGCTGTTGGATTTCATAGGCTCTGGTGGAAGCACCTTAAGGCTTGTGAAATTGCCCTTCACAATCTTGGTTTGAGTGGGAAAGTAGTGATGGTGTCTACCATACTGTCAGCTACAAGCGACATTAAGTGGGGCACTCTTCTAGGCTGTCACTGCGGGCTTAGCTGGCGGTGGTCAGTGTGATCTAGAAGGATTGGCATGGGCTATCCATAGGAAGGATGGAGATGATGCACTAACAGGTTAACATGGTCTTTTCTTTCCTGGCTTTCTAGGATCCCATGGCAACTGTGGTAGAGGTCAGATCTAAGCCCAAGAGCAAGTGGCGGCCTCAAGCCTTGGACACTGTGGTATGTTCCAGACAGGCTGTTTCAGGCACTCGGGGAACACTTACTGTTTTGAGGCTGTGGTTCTACCGCCTAGACTGTGGCTTGGTGGAAGAAAATATCACCCATCACCAGGCCACACAAGAAAACACTGGAGAAAGACACGGTCCTGCTTAGCCTCACTGTTTGTTTTTTTGTTTATTTTGTTTTTGTAGACTCAAACTTCTGGGCTCAAGAGATCTTCCCACCTCAGCCTCCCAAGTAGCTGGGACTATAGTCATGTACCACTATGACCAGCTAATTATTTTTAAAATTTTTTGGTAGAGATGGAATCTCACTATGTTGACTAGGCTAGTCTCAAGCTTCTGGCCTCAAGTGATTCTCCAGCCCCAGCCTCCCAAAGTACTGGGATTACAGGCATAAGCCACCACACCCAACCACTGCTTGGCCTGTTATTTTTTATTTTTTATTTTTTGAGATGGAGTTTTGCTCTTTTTTTTTTTTAATTTTAATTTTATTTTTATTTTTTTTAATTGATCATTCTTGGGTGTTTCTCACAGAGGGGGATTTGGCAGGGTCACAGGACAATAGTGGAGGGAAGGTCAGCAGATAAACAAGTGAACAAAGGTCTCTGGTTTTCCTAGGCAGAGGACCCTGCGGCCTTCCGCAGTGTTTGTGTCCCTGGGTACTTGAGATTAGGGAGTGGTGATGACTCTTAAGGAGCATGCTGCCTTCAAGCATCTGTTTAACAAAGCACATCTTGCACTGCCCTTAATTCATTCAACCCTGAGTGGATACAGCACATGTTTCAGATAGCACAGGGTTGGGGGTAAGGTCACAGATCAACAGGATCCCAAGGCAGAAGAATTTTTCTTAGTACAGAACAAAATGAAAAGTCTCCCACGTCTACCTCTTTCTACACAGACACGGCAACCATCCGATTTCTCAATCTTTTCCCCACCCTTCCCCCCTTTCTATTCCACAAAACCTCCATTGTCATCATGGCCCGTTCTCAATGAGCTGTTGGGTACACCTCCCAGACAGGGTGGTGGCCGGGCAGAGGGGATCCTCACTTCCCAGTAGGGGCAGCCGGGCAGAGGCGCCCCTCACCTCCCGGACGGGGCGGCTGGCCGGGCGGGGGGCTGACCCCCCCACCTCCCTCCCGGACGGGGAGGCTGGCCGGGTGGGGGGCTGACCCCCCCACCTCCCTCCCGGATGGGGCGGCTGGCCGGGCGGGGGGCTGACCCTCCCACCTCCCTGCCGGACGAGGTGGCTGCTGGGCAGAGACGCTCCTCACTTCCCAGACGGGGTGGCTGCTGGGCGGAGGGGCTTCTCACTTCTCAGACGGCGCGGCTGCTGGGCGGAGGGGCTCCTCACTTCTCAGACGGGGCGGTTGCCGGGCGGAGGGGCTCCTCACTTCTCAGACGGGGTGGTTGCCAGGCAGAGGGTCTCCTCACCTCTCAGACGGGGCGGCCGGGCAGAGACGCTCCTCACATCCCAGACGGGGCGGCAGGGCAGAGGTGCTCCCCACATCTCAGACGATGGGCGGCCGGGCAGAGACGCTCCTCACTTCCCAGATGGGATGGCGGCCGGGAAGAGGCGCTCCTCACTTCCTAGATGGGATGGCGGCCGGGCAGAGACGCTCCTCACTTTCCAGACTGGGCAGCCAGGCAGAGGGGCTCCTCACATCCCAGACGATGGGCGGCTGGGCAGAGACGCTCCTCACTTCCCAGATGGGGTGGCGGCCGGGCAGAGGCTGCAATCTCGGCACTTTGGGAGGCCAAGGCAGGCTGCTGGGAGGTGAAGGTTGTAGCGAGCCGAGATCACGCCACTGCACTCCAGCCTGGGCACCATTGAGCACGGAGTGAACGAGACTCCGTCTGCAATCCCGGCACCTCAGGATGCCGAGGCTGGCGGATCACTAGCGGTTAGGAGCTGGAGACCAGCCCAGCCAACACAGCGAAACCCCGTCTCCACCAAAAAAATACGAAAACCAGTCAGGTGTGGCGGCGCGCGCCTGCAATCGCAGGCAGTCCGCAGGCTGAGGCAGGAGAATCAGGCAGCAGTACCGTCCAGCTTCAGCTCGGCATCAGAGGGAGACCGTGGAGAGAGGGAGACGGAGACCGTGGGGAGAGGGAGAGGGACAGGGACAGGGACAGGGCGCAGTTTCGCTCTTGTTGCCTAGGCTGGAGTGCAATGGTGCGGTCTCAGCTCACCACAACTTCTGCCTCCCGGGTTCAAGTGATTCTCCTGCCTCAGCCTCCCAAGTAGCTGGGATTATAGGCATGCACCACCATGCCTGGCTAATTTTGTGTTTGTAGTAGAGACAGGGTTTCTCCATGTTGGTCAGGCTGGTCTCGAACTTCTGACCTCAGGTGATCTGCCCACCTCAGCCTCCCAAAGTGCTGGGATTAGAGGCGTGAGCCACCGCGCCTGGCCTTTTTTTTGTTGTTTTTGTTAACAAATGCAATATAACTGCATTGTATGAGGTTTGGGAAACAAAAAGAGGAAGACAACCTATGGCTTCACCATCCTTACATAATTACTAGTATCTCTTCCTGTTTTTTAATATGCATATTTTTACAGCATTATAATTAGAGTAGCTTTTCCACCCAAGCATTTTTTTCATGTTGCTGTATAATCTGTATAAATATTGCTTTAAATAATCTGCTATATGAACCTACTTTAGAACAGGGCTTCTCAAATTATTTGACCCCAGAAAGAGCCACCCTGACAGAACATAAGTCTGAGTAAATCACATTAGGAGTATGCCTTCTCAGTCACCACTTAGCAGGAAAATTTGGGATAGAATTACTATTAGAATTCACTCTGGAGGTTGGACATACAGAACACTCAGGCTAACAAGCATGGAGGCTAAGAAGCACACAGGGACTGGTGGTCAGTGCGTTCTTTTGTCTTGGTCAAGCCACAATAAATGTGTATATGTGTGGAGGGATTGCATGGGGGAAGTTATGCATTTTGTTTGTTTGTTTGTTTGTTTTTTGAGACAGAGTCTTGCTCTGTCGCCAGGCTGGAGTGCAGTGGCGTGATCTTGGTTCACTGCAACCTCCGTCTCCCGGGCTCAAGCGAGTCTCCTGCCTCAGCCTCCTGAGTAGCTGGGACTATAGGTGCGCGCCACCACACCCAGCTAATTTTTGTATTTTTAGTAGAGATGGGGTTTCACCATGTTGGCCAGGGTAGTCTCAATCTATTGAACTTGTGATCCGCCCGCCTCGGCCTCCCAAAGTGCTGGGATTAGAGGCATGACCCACCGTGCCCAGCTGCATTGATTTTATATAGTAGGCATATGTGTTTTAGTCCTCCCTGGTTAAGTGTGCTGTAGTGTGACGTATAGTCATCAGCATTGTTAGCTTGTCACCTAGGGAAAAGAACAGCTCATTATTTTCACCCTCCAGGAGAATTTACTGGGGCTTGGGTGGTATTCCCAAAGTGTGGTTCTCAGACTGTCTGTGTTAAAGCAGTGTATTAGACTGCTTGTTAAAAAATGTAGATTTCGGGCCGGGCGCAGTGGCTCACGCCTGTAATCTCAGCACTTTGGGAGGCTGAGGCGGGCAGATCACGAGGTAGGAGATCGAGACCATCCTGGCTAACATGGTGAAACCCTGTCTCTACTAAAAATAGAAAAAATCAGCCAGGCGTGGTGGCAGGTGCCTGTAGTCCCAGCTACTCGGGAGGCTGAGGCAGGAGAATTGGCGTGAACCCAGGAGGCAGAGCTTACAGTGAGCCGAGATCACGCCACTGCACTCCAGCCTGGATGACAGAGCAAGACTCCATGTGAAAAAAAAAAAAAATGTAGATTTCTGGGCCAGACGCGGTGGCTCACGCCTGTAATCACAGCACTTTGGGAGGCCAAGGCAGGCAGATCACCTGAGGTCAGGAATTTGAGACCAGCCTGGCCAACATGGCAAAACCCCGTCTCTACTGAAAACACAAGAATTAGCCAGCCATGGTGAGCACCTGTAGTCCCAGCTACTCAGGAGGCTGAGGCAGGAGAATCGCATGAACCCAGGAGGCAGAGGTTGCAGTGAGCCGAGATCGTGCCACTGCCCTGCAGTCTGGGCAACAAGAGCGAGACTGTCTCGAAAATAAAAAAATTTTTAAAATGCAGAGTTTTGGCCAGACGTGGTGGCTCACTTCTGTAATCCCAGCACTTTGGGAGGCCGAGGCGGGCAGATCACCTGAGGTCAGGTGTTCGAGACCAGCCAGGCCAGCATGGCAAAACCCCATCTCTACTAAAAATACAAAAATTTGCCAAGCATGGTGGTGATGTAATCTCAGCTACTTGGGAGGCTGAAGCAGGAGAATCACTTGAACCCAGGAAGTGGAGGTTGCAGTGGGCCGAGATCATGCTACTGCACTCCAGCCTAGGCGACAGGGCGAGACTCCGTCTCAAAAAAAAAAATGTGGAGTTTGGGCTGGATATGGTAGCTCACGCTTGTGATCCTAGCATTTTGGGAGGCCAAGGCGGGAGGATTGCTTGAGGCCAGGAGTTCAAGATCAGCCTGCGCAACATAGCACCTTCCCCAGTGGTCAGGGCCCCAAATCTGCTGGCTTCCCAGTTGAGTCCTGCACACATTAAAGTCTGAGAACCACTAGGCTAGGATCTGACTCTGCTTGGCAGGCCCAGAAATCGTTGTTGGGCAGCCTTTTCAGCTCTGTTTGACAGAAGCACCTGGAGTGACACGGGCCAGATTTGACTGAAGATGAGTTGTGTATTTGAGTTGTGCTGCCTGACCCATGCAGTACACCTAACATGCCTGTTGACCCATTTCACAGGAGCTTGAGAAGCTGGCTTCTCGAAAGTTGAGAATAAATGCTAAAGAAACCATGAGGATTGCTGAGAAGCTCTACACTCAAGGGTAAGTATTTTGGGTTTGGGAGTAGAATTTGAACCGTCTTTATCAGGATGAAATATTTGAGAAATAGAGTTTATGGGTTGGGCACGGTGGCTCACACCTGTAATCCCATCACTTTGGGTGGCTGAGGCGGGCAGATCACGAGGTCAAGAGATCAAGACCATCCTGGCCAACATGGTGAAATCCCATCTGTATTAAAAATACAAAAATTAGCTGGACGTGGTGGCGTGCGCCTGTAGTCCCAGCTACTGGGGAGGCTGAGGCAGGAGAACCGTTTGAACCCAGGAGGCGGAGGTTGCAGTGAGGTGAGATCACACCGCTGCACTCCAGCCTGGTGAGTGAGTGAGACTCCATCTCAAAAAAAAAAGGAAAAAGAAAGAAATAAAGAAATAAGAGTTTATGGGGAAAAACTGATTGTCTAGATAGCACCCAAGCTCTGAGGTAGGATTTTGACTTTGACTTCTCTTTTCTGATACAGAAAAGGTGTTTCTATGTAAAAACCCATAGAGTAGATTCAGATCTTACTTTTGACTCCTCAGCCATCTCCCTGTGGCCCTGGCAAGTGGCAGACAGTGGGTGGCACCTTTAAAAGTTGTTTGCCTGTGAAACTCCTCCCCGCCCCAGTCATATACACCCCAGCACTGAGGTCCTCTAACTGTGCTGTCCAGCCTGCAGCTATTGAGCAGTTGAAATTCAAGTTGTCCAAATTGGGATGCGCTATAGATGTAAAATATACATTGGGTTTTGAAGACTTCTATGAAATAGAATGTAATCTCAGTAACTTAAGTGACTAATTGAAAATTTTAAATTATGCTGGGCGTGGTGGCTCACGCCTGTAATCCTAGCACTTTGGGAGGCCGAGGTGGGTGGATCATGAGGTCAGGAGTTCGAGACCAGCCTGGCCAACATGGTGAAACCCCATCTCTACTAAAAATACAAAAATTAGCCAGGTGTGGTGGCAGGCACCTGTAATCCCAGCTACTTAGGAGGCTGAGGCAAGAGAATTGCTTGAACCCGGGAGGCAGAGGTTGTACTGAGCTGAGATCACGCCACTGCACTCCAGCCTGGGTGACACAGCAAGACTCCGTCTCTTGGGGGGAAACAAAAATTACAAATAGAGACTGGGTATGTTGGGTCACACCTGAAATCTGAGCACTTTGGGAGGCCTAGGCAGGAGGATCACTTGAGCTCAGGAGTTCAAGACCGACCTGAGCAACATGACAAAACCCTGTCTCTACAAAAAAAAAAAAAAATTAGCCAGGCATGGTGCCACACACTTGTAGTCCCAGCTATTCAGGAGGCTGAGGCAGGAGGATCACTTTAGCTTGGGAGACGGAGGCCACAGTGAGCCAAGCTTGCGCTGCTACACTCCAGCCTGGGTGCCACAGCAAGACTATCTCAAAAATGAAAAAGAAAAAACAAATAGAGTCCACATTACAGTTTATCGGACAGCATTGTTCTTTGTGTACTCTAAGAAAAGTCTTGAAGCACACGCTGGTGGAACTTGTCAGGGTCAGTGAGTCTCATGTGCTGCATCAGGGCTGGTCTGTCAGACTGACCCTCAGAGTGGCCAGTGACAAGCCCCAGGCTATGAGGCTGCTGGCCTTTTTCCTGTGCTGTGCTGCCCCTTTTGGCTTCTTTGAGTGTGCTAGCAGGAGAGCCAGCTGCTTTTCATCCCATGAGGGGGTGCATCTCATCTCAGAACTTTTCTGAAGCAGGTAATGTAGGCTGCCTTCAGTTGAGTTGGCTACATCAGATGAGTGTTTGCAGGTGTTAGTGTGTGCTTTCAGTTGTTTATAGACCAATCAGAGAGCCTAGCAATTTCTTTTTCTGTTTGTTTGCCTTGGTTTTAGGTACATCAGCTATCCCCGAACAGAAACAAACATTTTTCCCAGAGACTTAAACCTGACGGTGTTGGTGGAACAGCAGACCCCCGATCCACGCTGGGGGGCCTTTGCCCAGAGCATTCTAGAGCGGGGTGGTCCCACCCCACGCAATGGGAACAAGTCTGACCAAGCTCACCCTCCCATTCACCCCACCAAATACACCAACAACTTACAGGTTGGTTTCCCTGAATGTACTGCCTGCTGGAACCCATAGGGAAGTGCTGGGGGTCAGTAGTAAGGTTTGAATTTACTCTGTGGGCTGTGATTGTAAAAACAAGTGATTTTGAGATCTCTCTCATTTCACAATCCTCTGCCTGGCTTTGATAAAGACCGCCTCATCCCTCCCCGTGGTGGGCCCCCGTCTTAATCCAGCTCCACATCCCACTCTCCATCAGCTCCTGCTGCTTCCCTGCTAGTCCTTCATAGGCAACCCCTGTGCAGACCCCCACCTCCACTGTGAGCCTTGTGGCCTTCCCAGTCCCTGGAACTAGAGAATTCTATCCATCCTCCCAAGGCTGGCTCAGTTTTGGTTGCCTCCTGAAACTTTGCTGCCACCCCAGTCGTGCCACCCCCTGTCACTGCAGTTTCCCACACAGCTCTGCTTGTCTGTCTCAGTCATTTCCTCAGCCAGGGGCAGGCTCTGCAGGCACAGGAGCCATTAGGCTTGTTTACATCTGTAGGCTTCTCACAAAGTTGGGGAAATGCTTGTTTACATCTGTAGGCTTCTCACAAAGCTGGGGAAATCTTAGTCTTTTGTTCTTCTCCTCCTTCTTTTAATAAAATACATTCTTTCTGATTTTAAAAATATGGCCGGACGCGGTGGCTTATGCTTGTAATCCCAACACTGTGGGAGGACAAGGCGGGTAGATCACGAGGTCAGGAAATTGAGACCATCTTGGCCAACATGGTGAAACCCCATCTCTACTAGAAATAGAAAAATTAGTTGGACGGGGTGGCATGTGCCTGTAGTCCCAACTCTCAGGAGGCTGAGGCAGGAGAATCGCTTGAACCCAGGAGGCGGAGGTTGCAATAAGCCGAGATTGCACCACTGCACTCCAGCCTGGCGACAGAGTGAGACTCTGTCTCGGAAAAAAAAAAATTACATGTTCATTTTAGACAAATTAAGAAATACAAAAGTTTATAAGGGGGTAAAATTGCCTATTAAGCATGATATTTAACAATTACAAAGATGTGCCATAATTTATTTTGCCAAATCTGTTTTTTGTGTGTTTTTGATACTATAGTTAACATTTGTAGACATAAATATTTTTGTGGTTCTCCAGTTATTTCCTTTGAAGAAATCCTTAGAAGGGGAATTATTGGATATGTGTATAAATGTCTCATGGGCTTTTGATAGACTGAGGCTCACTAAATCATTGATTACCTAATTGAAAATTACCCTGAAAATTACTGCTTAAATGTGTGCATGAAGTTGGGCTAAGGCCACCAGGTGCAATGTTGCTGTCTCTTGTATTTGAGGAGTGTCTTGCTAACTTCTTACGCTTTCATCTTGTTTTCTGCTTAGATTGCGTTTACATCAAAGAACCACTTCCCAGTCTGGAAGGGAAGATGACTCCTTTGCTTATCTTTGCCAGATTTGAGTTGTGAGATGTGTCAACCTAAACCCATCCTCTCCCCAGGACTTGTTTGCCTGGCACTCCATGTTAGTGCAGGGCCTGAGGAGCAGTGTGGCCTCTTCTGTGCAGGACATTAGGCTAAGGCTACCAGTGATGCTCCTGTCCTTGAGAGGTGATATTCTAGGGGGAGTTTCGTACTCCTCTTTTCTTCCTAGGGAGATGAACAGCGACTGTACGAGTTTATTGTTCGCCATTTCCTGGCTTGCTGCTCCCAGGATGCTCAGGGGCAGGAGACCACAGTGGAGATCGACATCGCTCAGGAACGCTTTGTGGCCCATGGCCTCATGATTCTGGCCCGAAACTATCTGGATGTGTATCCATATGATCACTGGAGTGACAAGGTAATAAAGAGTGGTCCCCAGTGAGAGGGAGGACAGTTGTGTTGTGAGCCCTGAGTTCTCTAGTGGAGCAGGATCATGTTCCTTGAAATGAGGTTATTTTTTGCCTGAGTGTGCTGATGGAATCATCTGACTGTTGCACCTGCCGCTCCCTGTAGATCCTCCCTGTCTATGAGCAAGGATCCCACTTTCAGCCCAGCACCGTGGAGATGGTGGACGGGGAGACCAGCCCACCCAAGCTGCTCACCGAGGCCGACCTCATTGCCCTCATGGAGAAGCATGGCATTGGTCAGTGGCTCCTCTGGGTAACTCGCATCTCTTGAGCTAAGGCTTACAGTGTACCAGGTACAGGTTTCCTCTAGTCTTCAAACCATTCTCTAATGCAGCTGCTATATCTTTATCCCATTTTATAGTTGAAATAAGGCTCAGAGAGGTTAAGAACTTACCTAAGTTCACAAAGTGTGTATTATTAAAACCTGGTCTGAATAACTCCACAGTCAGTGCTCTTAAACCATGCACTGTGCTGTCCACATAGTAACAGAGACTTTTCCCATGGCTTTGAGGGCCCAACTGGGAGCACCCATTGGCCACATGAGGATTTGTTGTTCTTTCGAATAAGAACAGCATGTAAGGAACCAACAATTAAAACTTGGGACAGTTATCATAAAATCTATCTTCATTTTGAAGTGTCAGATAGAGCCCTGAGCCTCCTTCCCATGTGGAGCATTGGGTGAGGGTGGCAGCTGTCTCTGCAGGTCTGAACCCACACTGCTCACTCAGGCTGCTCACGCTGGCCTCATGTATGTGCCAGGACCCTGCTGATAAGTCCCATGGCTCAAGCTTTGCAGGTAGGGCCTTGTAACTAATCTGCTGTCCCCTCCATTCGTTTTTGTCAAGGCTCTCAAGGGCTTTCTCTGGCAAACCTAGTCCAGGAATACCTGCAGCACAGTGGAGGGGAAGCAGAGCTCCCTGGGCATGTGTTACATAAGCAGCTGCGTCATCCACAAAGGGAGTTTCTTAGGCCTATGACTTGGGAAGCAGTGCTTCAACGTGAAGTCCTTGACCATCACTAGGACATCCAGAAACCCTGCAGGTTTAGGTAAAATTAGTAGAGGTTCACCCGTCATGATTTATTTGATAAAAATGTATGAAGGCTGGGTGTGGTGGCTCACACCTGTAATCCCAGCATTTTGGGAGGCCAAGATGGGTGAATCACTTGAGCCCAGGAATTCAAGACCAGCTTGGGCAACACGGTAAAACCCCATCTTGCTGGGCGCAGTGGCTCACGCCTGTAATCCCAACACTTCAGGAGGCTGAGCTGGGTGGATCACCTGAGGTAGGGAGTTTAAGACCACCAACCTGACCAACATGGTGAAACTCTGTCTCTACTAAAAATACAAAAATTAGCCAGGCATGGCGGTGGGCACCTGTAGCTGAGATTGTGCCATTGTACTCCAGCCTGGGCAACAACAGCAAAACTCTGTCTTAAAACAAACAAACAAACAACAACAACAACAACAAAACAGATCTGGCTGGGCACGGTGACTCATGCCTGTAATCTTAGTACTTTGGGAGGCCAAGGCGGGTGGATCACCTAAGGTCAGGAGTTCGAGACCAGCCTGGCCAACATGGCAAAACCCCATCACTACTAAAAAAATACAAAAATTAGCTAGGCGTGGTGGCACATGCCTGTAATCCCAGCTACTTGGGAGGCTGAGGCAGGAGAATTGCATGAACCCGGGAGGTGGAGGATGCAGTGAGCCAGGATCGCAGCACTGCACTCCAGCCTGGGTGACAGAGTGAGACTCCATCTCAAAAAAAACATTTCTACAAAAAATTAGGTGCATGCCTATAGGTAGGGAGGCTGAGGTGGGAGGATCACTTGAGCCCGGAAGGCAGAGACTGAGGTACAAAGTGTGAGGCCCACAAGAGTGAGAGCTTGGACTAAGCACCAGGGACACAAGGAGGAATAAGACCTCATTTTTTAAGTTCTCAATCTAACAGAAGAACCAAACCAACACATTGAATACAATGTAATAGTTCTGCAGGGAGTAGGCAGGGAAGAAAATGTGATGGGTGGACTGGCATTTGAGCTGGACCAAAACCTCATAGTAAGACTTCTGGATCAGCGAAGGGCAGCCCAGTGCAGGGTAGGCCTGAGGAAGGGCACAGGAGCAGGAAAGCAGAAGCCTGCTGTAGCTGGATTGGAGGGGGGTGGCCATAGAAGGTGAGCCTGGAAAGATGATCCAAGCCTGACTTTGCAGGGCCTTGGCTTGCCCAGTTGAAGGGCTTAGATGGTGGTACATGGTCAGCAGGGAGTCTTCCAGGATTTCTAAGTAAAGGAACCACATAGAGGTACACTTACAAAAAAATAATAATAATATTTTTAAAAGATTATTAACAGGCTGGGCATTGTGTCTCACACCTATAATCCCAGCACTTTGGGAGACCAAGGTAGGGGGTCAGGAGTTCAAGACCAGCCTGGACAACATGGTGAAACTCCATCTCTACTAAAAATACAAAAAATTGCTAGGTGTTATGGCTGACGCCTGTAATCCCAGCTACTTAGGAGGCTGAGGCAGGAGAATTGCTTGAACCCGGGAGGTGGAGGTTGCAGTGAGCCAAGATTGTGCCACTGCACTTCAGCCTTGGTGACAGAGAGAGACTCCATCTAAAAAAAAAAAAAAAAAAAATTTATATATATATATATATAATTATTAACAGCTTTATTTATATACCATACAGTTTATCTCCTTCAAATGTATAATGTACATTTTTTAGCATATTCACAAAGTTGTGCAGCTATCACCACAGTCAGTTTTTTTGTTTTTTTTGTTGTTTGTTTGAGATGGAGTTTTGCTCTTGTTGCTGCAGGCTGGAGTGGAGTGGCACAATCTCTGCTCACTGCAACTTCCGCCACCCAGGTTCAAGCGATTCTCCTGTCTCAGCCTCCCGAGTAGCTAGGCTTACAGGCACGCACCACCACACCCAGCTAATTTTTGTTATTTTTAGTAGAGACAGGGTTTCACCATGTTGGCCAGGTTGGCTGGTCTCAAACTCCTGACCTCATGATCCGCCCACCTAGGCCTCCCAAAGTGTTAGGATTACAGGTGTTAGCCACCATGCCCGGCCCCTAAAAAAATTTGTTTTGGAGAGATAGCATCTTACTCTGTCACCCAGGCTAGGTCACAGCCATGAACCCTGGGTTTCAAGGGATCCTTCCACCTCAGCTTCCCAAGTAGCTGGGACTACAGGCATGTGTTGCCATACCCAGCTAATTTTTTTGTTGGGTTTTTTGTTTGTTTGTTTTGTTTTGTTTGAGACAGAGTCTTACTCTGTCACCCAGGCTGGAGTGTAGTGGCACGATTTCAGCTCACTGCAACCTCCGCCTCCCAGGTTCAAGAGATTCTCCTGCCTCAGCCTCCTGAGTAGCTGGGACTACAGGTGCGCATCACTGGCTAATTTTTGTATTTTTAGTAGAGATGGGGTTTCACTGTTAGCTAAGCTGGTCTCGAATTCCTGACCTCAAATGATCCACCCGCCTCGGTCTCCCAAAGTGCTGGGATTATAGGCCTGAGCCACCATGCCCAGCCAGACTTTTTTGTTTTATGTAGGGACAGGGTCTTGCTATGTTGCCTAGTCTGGTCTTGAACTTGCACCCTCAAACTGTCCTCCTACCTCAACCTCCCAAAGTGTTGGGATTACAGGAGTGAGCCACTGCACCTGGCCAGATTTGCCTACTTTAGTTATTTCCTATAAAGAGCCAGGCACAGTGGCTCACACCTGTAATCCCAGCACTTTGGGAGGCCAAGGTGGGCCAATCACTTGAGGTCAGGAGTTCGAGACCAGCTTCACCAACATGGTGAAACACTTTCTCTACTAAAAATGAAAAAATTAGCTGGGCTTGGTGGCAGGCGCCTGTAATCCCAGCTACTCGGGAGGCTGAGGCAAGAGAATCACTTGAACCCGGAAGGCAGAGGTTGCAGTTGATGGACACTTGAGTTGTTTCTACTCTTTGGCTATTATAAATAATCCTGCTGTGAACAGTTTTGTACAAGGTTTTGTGTGGATATGTGTTTTCATTTCTCTTGGGTAGACTTAGGAGTGGGATTGCTGGTTTACTTGGTAACTCTACATTTAACATTTTTAGGAACCACCAAACTTTTCTGAAGTGGCTGTACCGTTTTTCATTTCCACCAGCAAGGCACTAGGATTCCAGTTTATCCACATCCTTACTAACACTTAGTATTATCTCTCTTTTTGATTTTGCCAGTAGGTCTGAACTGCTATTTCACTGGTTTTTTTGGTTGTTTTTTTGTTGTTATTGTTGAGGTGGAGTCTCGCTCTGTTGCCCAGGCTGGAATGCAGTGGCTCGATCTCCGCTCACTGCAGGCTCCGCCTCCCAGGTTCATGCCATTCTTCTGTGTCAGCCTCCTGAGTAGCTGGGACTACAGGTGCCCGCCACCACACCCGGCTAATTTTTTTTTTTTTTTTTTTGTATTTTTAGTAGAGACGGGGTTTCACCGTGTTAGCCAGGATGGTCTTGATCTCCTGACCTCGTGATCTGCCCGCTTCGGCTTCCCAAATTGCTGGGATTACAGGCGTGAGCCACCACGCCCAGCCCTTTTTTTTTTCTTTTTTTTTTTAAAGAGAGTCTCACTCCATCACCCAGGCTGGAGTGCAACGGTGCCATCTCAGCTCGTTGCAGCCTCTGTCTCCTGGGTTCAAGTGATTCTCCTGCCTCAGCCTCCTGAGCAGCTGGGACTACAGGTGCGTGCCGCCACACCCTGCTAATTTTTGTATTTTTGATAGAGACAGGGTTTCAGCATGTTGGCCAGGCTGGTCTCGAACTCCTGACCTCAGATGATCTGCCCACCTTGGCCTCCCAAAATGCTGGGATTACAGGCATAAGCCACTGCTCCCAGCCTTCACTGCAGTTTTAATTTGCATTTCCTTCATGGCAGAGCTACATTTTGAAAGGTCCCTTTGGCCACAGCTTAAAGAATGGTTAGGGTAGAGGAAGAGACTAGAAATAGGGACACAAGCTGCAAGTATGGCTTGGACACATGGGGAAGAGAATTTTTAAAAAGAGCTTTGAAGCTGGAATTGACAGCTTTCCTGAGTAATGGGATGTGAGGGAACAAGAGAGTTGAGGTTGCCATTGTGATTTCTTGAATGAGCTATATGGGAATGAAATGAAGGCATCTTACCTGCATAGGCTGTCCAGGCAAAGGAGGGATTCCGGGGTGAGCAAGGTGCCCATGCGCCACCCGGGTGGAGCTGTTGTCTGTATTACCTCAGAGTAACCAGCAAGTGGCTTCCAGGTACGGATGCCACTCATGCGGAGCACATCGAGACCATCAAAGCCCGGATGTACGTGGGCCTCACCCCAGACAAGCGGTTCCTCCCTGGGCACCTGGGCATGGGACTTGTGGAAGGTAAGGGAGGACAGAGCTTGCAGTGGGTAGTGGGTGGTGTCGCCCAAGTCCCTGAGGGTCTCAGGTGGGCCCTCACTGAGCTCGACTCTCTCCCTGCAGGTTATGATTCCATGGGCTATGAAATGTCTAAGCCTGACCTCCGGGCTGAACTGGAAGCTGATCTGAAGCTGATCTGTGATGGCAAAAAGGACAAATTTGTGGTTCTAAGGCAGCAAGTGCAGAAATACAAGCAGGTTTTCATTGAAGCGGTGGCTAAAGCAAAGAAGTAAGTCCTTAAAAGAAATACAGAGGGGTCTCACTATGTTGCCCAGGCTGGTCTTGAACTCCTGGCCTCAAGAGATCTTCCCACCTCAGCCTCCCAAAGTGTGGGGATTACAGGCGTGAGCCACCGCATCTGGGCCAGTCAGAGTTTATAACCCTGCCAGATTCATCCTCACCAGTGGCCTCCTGGCCTGGAGGTTTTCCACATACCCCTTTTCTTTGGACTTTCTTCTCTGGGTTCTTTTACAACTCTCCATAGAGCTTTGTCAGTATAGAAACAGTAATCGGAACAGTCTCCTTCAGTTATTCTGAACTATTGGCTTTAGAAATACCATTCTCTTGATTTTAATTATCTTTTTTTTTTCTGCTTTAATTACATGACACATTAATTATCTTGAGTTAGGCAACAAAGTCTTTTAAATCAGTAAACCCAAGTGCTGGAGTGTGATCCATTTGTTTTCTGGAGCATTTAGAGGTGGATATTTAGCAAGCAGCATGTGTGTATTTTGTTAGAAATGATGTGTTTTCTACCTGTGATATTATGATTTATAATAAGATATATATATTTGGACTTCATTTTCTGATACCCTTGGAATTTTTTAAGTGCTGTGTCTGTTGTATACAAATGAGATGACTAGTGGCCAAGGGCTCCTGGGTAGCCTTGGGATCGGTCTGGTTGTCAGGGAACCAACCCTGTGATTAGAAGGTTGGGACTTTGAGTCCCACCCCTACCTCAGGAAGAGCAGAGGGGCTGGAGGTTGAGTTGATCACACGTGGCCAGTGATTTGTCAATCATGCCTAAGTAATAAATCCTCCATAAAATCCCCAAACAAGGGTCAGGCACGGTGGCTCACGCCTGTAATCCCAGCACTTTGGGAGGCCGAGGCGGGTAGATCACAAGGTCAGGAGTTCAAGACCAGCCTGGCCAACACAGTGAAACCCCTTTCTCTGCTAAAAAAAAAAAAAAAAAATACAAAAATTAGCCAGGCATGGTGGTGCGTACCTGTAGTCCCAGCTACCTGGGAGGCTGAGGCAGGAGAACTGCTTGAACCCGGAAGGTGGAGGTTGCAATGAGCCGAGATTGCCCCACTGCAGTCCAGCTTGGGCAACAGAGTGAGACTTCTTCAACAACAACAAAAACAAATCAAACAATTGGGTTTGGGGCACATCCAAATAGCTAAACAGGTAAAGACTCCTGGAGGGTGGGTGTTTGGGAGAGGGCATGGAAGCTACCCCTTCCCCACATCCCTTGCCCTGTGCATTGCTTCCATCTGGGTATTCACCTGGATCCTTTGTAATTAACGGGTAAGCATAAGTAAAGTGTTTCCCTGAGCTCTGTGAGCCACTCTATTGAGAATCAAACCAAGGAGGGGGTCTGAGGAACCCCAGTTTATAGCCAGTCAGTCAGAAGCACAGGTCACAGCCTGGGATTTGTGACTGACATCTGAGGGAATTTGGGGCAGCAGTCTTCTGGGACTGAGCCCTTAACCGTTAGATGGATCTCCAGGTGCATAGTGTCAGAATTGAATTGAATTAGAGGATGTCCAACTGGTGTGTGGCGGGAGAGTTGCTTGGTGTATGGGGAAAACTCCCATACATCTGGTGTCTGATGTGTGTTGTGAGACTGTAATAGAAGATAACAGTTTGTTATTTTCTGTTCTTTAGAGTACCCCATGCCAGTTGTGAAAAGGCAGGCATGAGCTAGTTTAGACTTAATACAGACAGACACTCCTGGAGTTTGTACATGGACCCTGTGCAGTTTTACTTTTTTTTTTTGAGATGGAGTTTCGCTCTTGTTGCCCAGGCTAGGGTGCAATGGCGTGATCTTGGCTCACCACAACCTCTGCCTCCTGGGTTCAAGCGATTCTCCTGCCTCAGCCTCCTGAGTAGCTTGGATTACAGGCATGCGCCACCATGCCTGGCTAATTTTGTATTTTTAGTAGAGACGGGGTTTCACCATGTTGGTCAGGCTGGTCTCGAAATTACAACCTCAGGTGATCCGCCCGCCTCGGCCTGGGATTACAGGCGTGAGCCACCACATTTGGCCCAGTTTTACTTTTTAATGTGGGCTGGTGACAAGCAGAAGCATCTGCCTGTATCTGGACTCTCCTCCCAAGAGTTGGTTCGGCACCAGGGCCCATGGTGAGCTCAGTCTTCTGTCTGCCGTCTGTTCTCTGCAGGAGGCCTGCGGCTCACTGACCAGCTGGTTCTCAAGGTCACGCCTGTTGTGTGCATGTAAGAGTGTTGTAGGTGCCTTTGCAGCGATTGCTGGCTGATGGGTGTCTGTCTTTGCCTTTTCTTCAGATTGGACGAGGCCTTGGCCCAGTACTTTGGGAATGGGACAGAGTTGGCCCAGCAAGAAGATATCTACCCAGCCATGCCAGAGCCCATCAGGAAGTGCCCACAGTGCAACAAGGACATGGTCCTTAAGACCAAGAAGAATGGCGGGTGAGTGCGCTGCCTTCTGCCCCCACCTCTGCTCCCCAGCACCTGCGGTGTCAGCCGTAGCTCGAAAGACCCTGCCATTTCACTCCATGGAATCTTTCAAGACAGGCCTGTTGTTGCCAACCTGCAGGCAAGGTGTTGGCCTAAAAGCATAGCAGGGTGGGATCAGGCCTTTGAGGTGTAAAGCACTATGGGAATTCAGAGCAGGTGAGAAACTGAATGATAGTGGGGTTTTTTTGTCCCCTGTGGATAGGACATCATATACCCAATGTGTAACACATGGAGGAGCATGAGCTTCAGATCTAGGTGGGTCTGGGTTCAAATGCCACTTATGCCGCATATAAGTGGTGTGGCCTGAAGCAAGTTACTTACCTGCTCTGAACCCCAATTTCTTCTTTTATAAAATGTCAGTACTTACAAGGCTGTGTTAAGGGTGAGGATTTGGTGAAAATGGTCAGGACTATATAGCACATTGCCTGATGTGTTGTAGATACTCAGCAGATACTACTTTTGTTCTCTCCTAGTTTTAGTTCTGAATGGGGCCTGAAAATCTCAACTCCCTTTTCGCTTTAAATATAGTAGATCTGAGTGGGCAATTTAGCTTCACATCAGGTTGTTGGAGCCAGTGGCTGGCCACTGGAGGAAGTTCACGGGGAAAGACGAGGTGGAGGGGTGGCAGCCATCATTCATCAGGTGCCGTCCCTCACTGGTGTAATGCAGGGTGGTGCTCTGTAAGCATTACCTCATCCCATTCTCCTAACTACCCTGCAAGGCAGGGATTTTTATGCAGCTTAGAGGGCTGAGGTGCTTGCTTGGAGTCAAGCAGCCGTGGTGGGCAGCAGAGTTTGAAACCGGGTTTTCACTGCCTTTTTCCATCCTGCCTGGCCCACCTGGGACTGCTGTGCTCCTTGCTGCTGAATAAGAAAGGAGGT
The DNA here is from genome assembly GCF_000001405.40 of Homo sapiens. NCBI lineage: Eukaryota > Metazoa > Chordata > Mammalia > Primates > Hominidae > Homo > Homo sapiens. Next base: position 18,281,768 of record NC_000017.11, on the reverse strand, counting down.
TTCTCAACTCCTCACCTCCAGCCATCATTAACCTGGCTGGCCCAAGTGAAGAGAAGGCCACCCAGGCTCTCAGAAACAAGAGGTCTATGGGCCAGACCTGGAAGCAGGTGTCAGGGCTCGCGTCACTCACAGACAGAAGCCAGTGCCACTCTAGGCTTAGCCCAATGACTGGGCGTATATTTCAGCACTTAATAAATGCTGTCGATGGGTTTTCCTTGCTATCGGTAGGTTATTGGATTAGTACTCATTGGAATATAAGGAGAGAGAATAACTACTTTTGTTTTAGCTCTGAATTCTCCAATTCTCTGAATTGGAGAATTATTATTATTCTTTAGTTATTCGTTTGTTCTTCTGTTATTCTTTTGTAATGCTTCTCTGAGTTACTCCAGAAGGTCAGGAGATTATCTTGTGGGATTTGCCACTCCATGATTTATCTGTTAATTTCCATTTCTGAGATTGTAAATTTCTTATTTAAATGATTGGAGTTCGGGGCTTTTTTTTCCTTCATAGTGTACCCAGGCACACTCATGAGGAATTTGTAAATCACATGCATATTAGCTAGTCAAACCCTAACGTTTCATGACTGCAAGGTGTTGAAAAACATTGGCCAGGAGAGACCGGGATGGGATGGATGGGCAGTGGGTGGGGTGTAGATGTTGCAGGTGAGGCTTTGTCACAAACAGATGGGTTTCCATTCCTGGCTCCCATCCACACATGCATGCATGTCTCTGGGCAGGTTTCCAGGCCACACCAAGCCACTGTTTACTCACATGCAAACTGAGGGGGCCCCTGACACTGCCCAGACTTGGCACGAGGCAGAAAGGCAAGAATGTGTGAGTGCACAGCACAGAGCCCCTGGCGTCAGCTTGGTTGGTTGTTGGTTTTCTAAATAGAAAGCAGGGCCAGCAATAGCTGCTTTGTGCTTTTGGGATGTGAGAAGGCTCATTTTTCCCAATCAATTCAATATGAGTGCTTGTGTATCCAGTTAAGTGTCATCCAGAAAAGGGAATGTTGTCCTCGGGCAGCTGAGGAAAGGCTGCCTTAGCTGATGGCCAACAGCGGAGAGCATCTCCTGCACTCCTATCATCTGACATGGCACTTTGTCCCCAGGTTCTACCTCAGCTGCATGGGTTTCCCAGAGTGTCGCTCAGCTGTGTGGCTTCCTGACTCGGTGCTGGAGGCCAGCAGGGACAGCAGTGTGTGTCCAGTTTGTCAGCCACACCCTGTGTACAGGTGAGCTGGGCACCTGAGTCAGGTGCCTCCTCTGGAGTGTGTACACCATCTTTCCCTTGCTCCTGCCAGAACCCAGAGAGGAGTGTCGGGGATTCCACTCAGGCCCTGCAGGGGCGTAGCTGTGTTCTGCAGCAGCCAGTTCAGCAGGGCTGGTCCAGTTCTGTTGTGTTCCATGCTGTCACTGCTTTGGCAGGTATGACCCTGTTTGGAGTGGGCCATGGGCAAAGAACCATGAAGGGCTCTTTCCCTGCCCTCTCCAGATAGATGATTGCTACACCAGGCTTAGGAAATTATTCACATATTAAATACAACATCCAAGCTTGGGCTACGTAGCAAGACCCCATCTCTTTAAAAAAAAAAATTTTTATTTAAAAAAAAATTTTTTTTAAGACAGTCTCGCTGGGTTGCCCAGGCTGAAGTGCAGTGGCGCAGTCTTGACTCACTGCAACCTCCGCCTTCTGGGTTGAAGTGATTCTTCTGCCTCAGCGTCCTGAGTAGCTGGGATTACAGGCATGCACCACTATGCCTGACCACTTTTTGTATTTTTAGTAGAGACAGGGTTTCACCATGTTGGCCAGGCTGGTCTCGAACTCCTGGCCCCAAGTGATCCACCCACCTTGGCCTCCCAAAGTGCTGGGATTATAGATGTGAGCCACTGCACCTGGCCAAAAAAAATTTTAAATTAGCCAGATGTGGTGACATATGCCTATAGGCCAAGCTGGTCAGGAGGCTGAGGCAGGAGGATCGCTTGATCCTAGAGGTCTAGGCTGTAGTGAGCCATGATTTCACCACTGCTCTCCAGCCTGGAATGACAGAGCCAGACCCTGTCTCTAGAAATAAATGAATAGGCCGAGCCTGGTGGCTCAGGCCTGTAATCCCAGCATTTTGGGAGGCCGAGACAGGCGGATCACGAGGACAGGAGATCGAGACCATCCTGGCTAACATGGTGAGACACTGTCTCTACTAAAAATACAAAAAATGGCCAGGCGTGGTGGCTCACGCCTGTAATCCCAACACTTTGGGAGGCCGAGGTGGGTGGATCACGAGGTCAGGAGATCGAGACCATCCTGGCTAACATGGTGAAACCCCGTCTCTACTAAAAATACAAAAAATCAGCCAGGCGTACTGGTGGGCGCCTGTAGTCCCAGCTACTCGGCAGGCTGAGGCAGGAGAATGGCGTGAACCCAGGAGGCAGAACTTTCAGTGAGCCGAGATTGCACCACTGCACACCAGCCTGGGCGACAGAATGATACTCTGTCTCAAAAAAAAAAATTTTAATAATTTATTTCTAGTAAATGCATTGCATACTACTGTAAATAACTTGTTTTTTAGGGTAATAAAATACCTATTTTCAAAAGCAAAATAATAATGACATTAATGACATTGTTTTACATTTTGCAATTTGTATGTCTGGCTTAATAGAAGAGAGCTGGATTCCCGTATCTGCTTCTGCAGTCAGCCTGCTGAGTCATTGCATGTGCTGGAACCTCCAGGAAACTCCGTTGTATACACATGGAAGAATAAGAGCAAAATAGACATAACCTCTTAGAATTTTTTTTGAGACAGAGTCTTGCTCTGTCACCAGGCTGGAGTGCAGTGGCACAATCTTGGCTCACTGCAACCTCTGACTCCCAGGTTCAAGAGGTTCTCCTGCCTCAGCCTCCCGAGTAGCTGGGACTACAGGCGCGTGCCACCATGCCCAGCTAATTTTTGTATTTTTGGTAGAGATGGGGTTTCACCATGTTGGTCAGGATGGTCTCAATCTCTTGATTTTGTGATCCGCCCGCCTCAGCCTCCCAAAGTGCTGGGATTACAGGTTTGAGCCACCACACCTGGCCTATAAAAGAGTTTTGCACTCTCCTTGAAAGGGCTCAGGCACCCTGGAACCACACTTGGAGAACTGCTGATACAGAGACATGGGACTTCTCAGAGGTGTTTTTATTTTAGTGAATTACTGGGATCTTAGATTTCATCTGCACTGTTTCCCACTGTCCACTCCTGTGATGACTGGTGGGGGCTTGTGGTGGGCTGATAGAGGGCCTCACAGGGGACTTGTGTGGGCTTCCTGATGCATAAGGAATGGTGGAGAGAGGCCTAGGGCTAAAGCAGCCCTCACTGGACTAAGGAGAAGCTGGCATCTGGTTGTTAATGTTTTTTCTCATCTTCTGGCCTCACTAGGTTAAAGTTAAAGTTTAAGCGCGGTAGCCTTCCCCCGACCATGCCTCTGGAGTTTGTTTGCTGCATCGGCGGATGCGACGACACCCTGAGGGAGATCCTGGACCTGAGATTTTCAGGGGGCCCCCCCAGGGCTAGCCAGCCCTCTGGCCGCCTGCAGGCTAACCAGTCCCTGAACAGGATGGACAACAGCCAGCACCCCCAGCCTGCTGACAGCAGACAGACTGGGTCCTCAAAGGCTCTGGCCCAGACCCTCCCACCACCCACGGCTGCTGGTGAAAGCAATTCTGTGACCTGCAACTGTGGCCAGGAGGCTGTGCTGCTCACTGTCCGTAAGGAGGGCCCCAACCGGGGCCGGCAGTTCTTTAAGTGCAACGGAGGTAGCTGCAACTTCTTCCTGTGGGCAGACAGCCCCAATCCGGGAGCAGGAGGGCCTCCTGCCTTGGCATATAGACCCCTGGGCGCCTCCCTGGGATGCCCACCAGGCCCAGGGATCCACCTAGGTGGGTTTGGCAACCCTGGTGATGGCAGTGGTAGTGGCACATCCTGCCTTTGCAGCCAGCCCTCCGTCACACGGACTGTGCAGAAGGATGGACCCAACAAGGGGCGCCAGTTCCACACATGTGCCAAGCCGAGAGAGCAGCAGTGTGGCTTTTTCCAGTGGGTCGATGAGAACACCGCTCCAGGTGAGGCAGGGAGGGGCATGGGAATCCCTGCCTTCAGTTTTCAGGTGTTTACCTCAGAGACTGGGGACAGCAGAAAGAAGGCAAGGCAGGGTCATGGTGGGATTGGGAGGGGCACCTGGGCTGCCTTGCACCTCACTTTTCCTCACTTGATCACTTTCAGCAAGGTGATAATTGTACAGTCCTCATTCCAAATTAAAGGGTAGCTACCAGTAATGGTGTCACTTGCCCTATGCCTGGCACTATGCTAAGTATACTTCCTGTGCATCTTCCATCCTCATTGGGTAAGCATTATGATCACAATTTTACTTATAAGTGAGAAAGGTGAGACCCAGACACATGAAGTGGGTATTGCTCAGGGTCCCATAGCAACAGACACCAGGATGAGTACATAGGCCTTCCCAGTCCCATGGCCATGTGCCCTTGCAGCTGTCGTGACCCTTGGCAGACCATAAGCATCAGCCTCATTTCTTTTTTTTTTTTTTTTTTTTTGGAGACTGAGTTTTGCTCTTGTTGCCCAGACTGGAGTGCAATGGTGCAATCTTGGTTCACTGCAACTTCCACCTCCCAGGTTCAAATGATTCTCCTGCCTCAGCCTCCCAGGTAGCTGGGATTACAGGCATGCACCACCACGCACAGCTAATTTTGTATTTTTAGTAGAGACGGGGGTTTCACCCTGTTGGTTAGGCTGGTCTCGAACTCCACCTCAGGTGATCCACCTGCCTTGGCCTCTCAAAGTGCTGGGATTACAGGCGTGAGCCACCGTGCCTGGCCCAGCCTCATTTCTTCAGATGAAGATGCCAACCCCGATGATATTTAGGAACCTGCCCAGGGTGACACAGCTTGGGCCAATGTCCGGGAACTGGGTGTCATGAGAAGTGGCACCTGGACATTGCATCAAGTTGAATGGTGTACGTGGAGGCACTTTGAATGGTTCCTCCTGCTCCAGTGCACAACAGAGCTTAAGTAGCTGAGAATGACCCAAAGGCCTAGTGGGAGCTTTGGAGTTGAGCAAATCTGGTTCCAAAGCTCAGCAGTATAACCTTGAACAAATGACTTAGCCTCTCTGCCTCAAGTTTGCTCAACAAGATGGTCCCTGCCTACATTCATAGGGTTCCTGTTTTAGAAAGGAGTTTAGTCTCAGACTATGATTCTTACACATGTGTCACTAGCCCGGCATGCACAGAAAGAAACCAGAGGTTTGGTAAAAACTGTGGGACTTGGAACTGGCTACCAGTGCTAATGGGGCCCAGAGATGGCCATTGCAGTGAGAGACCCACATTTGAAGTGAGATGCAGTCTGGCCTCTTGTCTCCCCACTTGGAAGGACATGGTATCTGACCTCCAGGCTGGCTGACTGACTGTCCTGGGTAAATGAGCAGCTGGTCTGGAAAGGCCTGTTGAGGGGACAGGAAGGGATCCAGAGCTGGACTTTCCTGCATGGAGGTGGGCCGCAGGTTGCCGGTCATAGGCTGCTTGTCTTTCCCACCCTACCACACAGGCCAGCTTGCTTGGGTTTCTGCCTCTGTAAAAAGGGCCGGCATGAAAGTCCACTTACCAAGTGAGTGTGGGACAATGTCTCCAAAGCTTAGGATTCTTGAGGGAGAGGTGTCAGGTAACATAAGGCAGCAGGCACATCGCACCTCAACCTTACAGAGTTGGACACAGTGTGAAGGGAGGCTGGCTGGTGGGGTGTACATGGCTGTATAAAAACTGATTCAGCCGGTCGGGCGCGGTGGCTCATGCCTGTAATCCCAGCACTTTGGGAGGCCGAGGCGGGTGGATCACGAGGTCAGGAGATCGAGACCATCCTGGCTAACACAGTGAAACCCCGTCTCTACTAAAAATACAAACAATTAGCCGGGCATGGTGGTCGGTCCCTGTAGTCCCAGCTACTCTCGGGAGGCTGAGACAGGACAATGGCGTGAACCCGGGAGGCGGAGCTTGCAGTGAGCCAAGATTGCACCACTGCATTCCAGCCTAGGCGACAGAGCCAGACTCCACCTCAAAAAAAAAAGGCCGGGCACGGTGGCTCACGCCTGTAATCCCAGCACTTCGGGAGGCCAAGGCGGGCGGATCACAAGGTTAGGAGATCGAGACCATCCTGGCTAACATGATGAAACCCGTCTCTACTAAAAATACAAAAAATAAAGTAGCCGGGCGTGGTGGCGGGTGCCTGTAGTCCCAGCTACTCGGGAGGCTGAGGCAGGAGAATGGCGTGAACCCGGGAGGTGGAGCTTGCAGTGAGTGGAGATCACGCCACTGCACTCCACACTCCAGCCTGGGTGACAGAGCGAAGACTCCATCTCAAAAAAAAAAAAAAAAAAAAAAAAAGTTGGTTCAGCCTTATCGTCTGCTGCTCTTTTTTTTTTTTTTTTTTTTTTTGAGACAGGGTCTTGCTCTGTTGCCCAGGCTGGAGTGCAGTGGTGTGATCACAGCTCACTGTAGCCTCCCAGGCTCAGGCATCCTCCCGAGTAGCTGTGACCACAGGCATACACCACACCTGGCTAATTTTTGCATTTTTTAAAGACAAGGTTTCACCATGTTGCCCAGGCTGATCTTGAACTCCTGGGCTCAAGCAATCCTCCTCCCTCAGCTTCCTAAAGTGCTGGGATTACAGGCATGAGCCACCGTGTTCAGGACTTGCCACTTCTGCATGTCAGTTCTAACCTCACCCCTCCCCTGACTCTCCCGACAGGGACTTCTGGAGCCCCGTCCTGGACAGGAGACAGAGGAAGAACCCTGGAGTCGGAAGCCAGAAGCAAAAGGCCCCGGGCCAGTTCCTCAGACATGGGGTCCACAGCAAAGAAACCCCGGAAATGCAGCCTTTGCCACCAGCCTGGACACACCCGTCCCTTTTGTCCTCAGAACAGATGAGCTCAGGGTAGGGTAGAGAACGCCACTTTCTCAGACCTGTCCCCTTTGTGTTTAGAAATGAGTTAACCAGGACCAAGTGGCCATTTAGTGTCCTGGAAACTTAGAGGACAGTGTTGGCCTTTGGAGTCGGGCCTTCTTGTGTTAAGGGGCACAAGGTCCAGATCACTCTGGAGCAGGCCAGCTCTGCTGGACAGTGACCCTCTTCCCAGGCCTCAGGAGTGACCATAGCCACTGCTGAAAAGTCACGCAGCTGCTCCCTCGGACCCCCCAAGGATGGTTGCTGTTAGCAGAGGATTGGTGCAGTCCCAGCTGAAGCCCACTGTGTGCCAAAGGAAGAAGCTCCCAGGGCTGCTTCCTTCACCTGCAGAAAGCCCCAAGTGAGCCACCAGCACTCATGGGGCAGTCCCTGTCCAGGCTGCCCAGGGCTTCTCATAGACGTCCTGAGAAGGACGGTGTAATGCAAGGAAATGGCTGTGGTAACACTGATCCTTCAGAAGAAGCTTCATTCCCTCTTAATCTAGTTAAGCCAGGACATCCAGAATTCATTGCTTTAATAAAGAACCCAGGCCGGGTGCAGTGGCTCATGCCTGTAATCCCAGCACTTTGGGAGGCTGTGGGGGGCGGATTGCCTGAGCTCAGGAGTTCGAGACCAGCCAGGGCAACATGGTGAAACCCTGTCTCTACTAAAATACAAAAAATTAGCCAGGTGTGGCGGTGTGCGCCTGTAGACCCGGCTACTCAGGAGGCTGAGGCAGGAGAATTGCTTGAACCCGGGAGGCGGAGGTTGCAGTTAGCTGAGATTGCGCCACTGGACGACAGAGCGAGACTCAGTCTCAAAAAAAATTTAAAAATTTAAAAAAATAAAAAGAATCCAACCCCGGCAGGGCGTGGAGGCTCACACCTGTAATCCAGCACTTAGGGAGGCCAAGGCTGGAGGATTGCTTGAGATCAGGAGTTCAAGACCAGCCTGGGCAACATAGTTAGACCTTGTCTCTATTTTTAAAAATATAACAAGCACAGTTGTACACGTCTTTAGTTCAGCTGCTCAGGAGGCTGAAGTGGGAGGATCCTTTGAACCCAAGAGTTTGAGGCTGCAGCAAGCCATGATCACACCACTGCACTCCAGCCTGGGTGACAGAGTAAGACCCTGTCTCAAACTTTTTTTAAAATGAAAGAATCCAACCTTTTTTTACTCTGACCTGCGAGAGTGCAGAGGGTCTGGGGAACATTTGCAGAAGCAACAGGTACCAGCCAGTGCTGGAAGGAGCTCACCCTGGGAGGTCTCGTCAGCCTCTGTCCTTCATGGCTGTCCCTTGTGTCCCATGTGGAGAGCCCTTCCTCCCTTTCCACATGGTAAGCACTGAGCCCAATTTCTTCTCACCCCACAGATGGTCCCTCAGAGCAGAGATGTCTAATGAAAGGTTCAGATTCAGATCACTAACTTTCCATCTTCCACTTTTTCCAGTGGTGGCCATGTTCCCCCGTTTGCCTTCACAAAAACCTTGTGAATAATACAAGCCATATGGACTCTGATTTACAGTTTAGAAGATGAGCAGAGGTGGGTGTGAGTTGCCCAGTCATGTTGCTAGTTGTTGAAGAAACTAGGATTGTTCTCAGGTCTTGGGCTCCTGGCCCATAGACCAGTGGCTCTGTGTTCTGATGGGGTATTGGGGAGGATTTTTACAAATGCAGGTTCCTGAGATTGTTCCTGGAACATCTCCGAGTGGGTGTGGGTTGTGGCCCTGCGTGTGTGATTTTGCCTATCCCAGCTCCGGGGTACCACCAACCACTTTTTGTCTCTGTGGGTTTACCTACTCTGGATATTTTGTTTAAATGGAATCATACCAGGCTGGGCACAGTGGCTCACGCCTGTAATCCTAGCACTTTGGGAGGCCAAGGTGGGCAGATCACCTGAGGTCAGGAGTTCGAGACCAGCCTGACCAATATGATGAAACCCCGTCTCTAAAAAAATACAAAAATTAGCCGGGCGTGGTGTCAGGCACCTGTAATCCCAGCTACTCAGGAAGCAGAGGTTGCAGTGAGCTGAGATCGGGCCATTGCACTCCAGCCTGGGCAAAAAGAGTGAAACTCTGTCTCAAGAAAAAAAAAAAAATGAAATCCTACCATACATGACATCCTGTGTCTGGTTTCTTTGACTTGGCTGATGTTTGTCAGGCTCATCCACATTGTAGCATGTCAGTCCTCGATGTTTATGATAAGCTGATAGCCCACTGTATGAATATACCACACGATTATCCATTTGTCAGTTGATGGACATTGGGTTGTTTCCACTTTTTGGCTATTGTGAATAGCACTGTTGTGAACATTGGTGTATGAGTGTCTGATGACTTGTTTTCAGTTATTTTGGGCATATGCCGAGGAATGGAATTGTAGTTTTATACCATAACTCCATGTTTTGACTTTTTGAGGAACCTACAAATTTTCCACAGTGGATGCACCACTTTACACCCACCAGCAGCACACCAGGGTTACTGCTTCTCCATATCCTTGTGAACACTTGTTCCTTTCCTTTTCTTGTATTATAGCCATCCTAGTGTTTTGTCATCCTAGTGGGTATGAAGTGGCGTGTCATTGTGGTTTTGTTTTGCATTTTCCTAGTCATTAATGACATTGACCATCTTTCCACAGGCTTACTGGCCATTGGTATACATTCTTTGGAGAATGTCGATTTAAGTTCTTCACCCATTTTTTATTTTTTATTTTTTATTTTTTTTTGAGATGGAGTTTCGCTCTTGTGCCCAGGCTGGAGTGCAGTGGTGCGATCTTGGCTCACTGCAACCTCTGCCTCCTGGGTTCAAGCAGTTCTCCTGCCTCAGCCTCCCAAGTAGCTGGAATTACAGGCATCTGCCTCCACACCCAGCTAATTTGTTTAGTATTTTTAGTAAAGACGGGGTTTCACCATGTTGGCCAGGCTGGTCTCAAACTCGTGACCTCAGGTGATCTACCAGCCTCGGCCTCCCAAAGTGCTAGGATTAACAGGCAGGAGCCATCACACCTGGTCTCTTCCCCCATTTTTAAATTGTGTTGTCTGTCTTTGTTGTTGAGTTGTAGGAGTTCTTAATAGTTTCTGGATATCAGATGCCTTTGTGGTTTTCACATCTCTGCAGGCAACTGTGTGTCTCAAAAGCAAACTGCAGGATTGGGCTGCACCATGGACTGGGCCAGGCATCTGAGATCAGACAGACCCAGGCTCAGCTCCCACTTCCTGGCCTCTTCTGCCACCCTGGGTGTGCAGCCTCATCCTTGGAGCCCCAGTTGCCTCATCCGTAATGGGGTGTCCTTGTTCATATTGAGGCTCTCTAGTGAAGGCTTACGGTCAGGCACGACTGCAAATTAAAGCTTCACAAATCAAACCTGTTGGAATTTCTAAGTCTCTCTCGATGGCCCACTCAGGTTAGCAGCATGCAGCTCATCCTACCCCGTCAACGTTGACTGGAAGGGTTTTTAGTCCCTGTGTTGAGCCACATCTGCAGCTTGTGCAATGCAAAACCAAGGAAAAGAAAATGGACCCCCCCCGCCCCCCCCTTGATGGATCTAGCTGAGACTAGGCACTGGCCAGGCTGTCACCTACAGTGGTTTCAACCTCCTGCTGCCAGCAAGACAGCATCTCCTGTCCTTTTTGTGCAGGAACCATAGCTCTGTTGGGTTAAGTGTTTTCCTCTACCAAGCAGCTAACCTGGCCTTGAAACCTAATCTCTGATGCCATGTCCCCCCAAGCCCCATCAGAGTTTTGTAAAAAGCCCCTCCCTGCTCTCCACACCAATGCTGAGAGCCCATGGGGTAACTGGAGGCTTCCCTGCCATCTTGGCAAAGAAGCCTGGCTGACGTCCTGCACATGCTTCCCCAGGTGATTGCTTGCACTTAACAGCAGAGGAAACGAGACCACCCCACACAACTTGTAGCAGTTGAGGAGTCTCTGCCTGATCCCACCCCGGATACTTAGAGCATCCAGAATTAAAAATAAGCCTTGTCACCAACATCCGGCTCCCCCACTCCCCAGAGCCAGGCTCAATGTGCCCAACAGCGCTGGGGCCCGCACCTGGAGGCACTGGCTTTTGAGACACTGGGCAGAGACCCCACTGCCCTTTGGGATGAATTCACCACCTGCCTCTTATAGAATCCGGCCGAAGACCTGGGATGTTCACATTCAGCTGGATCTCCAGGTTTCTTGGACTGGAACACAGGTGGCCCCAGCTCAATATGCTCACCAGGGTGTTGCCACTCACCTGTTGACCGTCCCTACCAGGGACAGATCTGTGCACCCCATCCCCACCTTAGACCACCAGCTCACACACAGGTGGTGTTGGTGCAGTGGTTAATGTTAGGTGTCAACTTCACTAGATTAAGGGATGCCGAGATGGCTGGTATTTTTTCTGGGTGTCTGTAAGGGTGTTGCCAGAGGAGAGTGACATGACTCGGTGGACTGAGAAAGGAAGACCTACCCTCAATGTGGGTGGGTACCATCCAATCAGCTGCCAGCACGGCCAGAACAACAGGTGGAAGAAGGGGGATGAGCACCTTGCTGAGTCTTCTCCAGCCCTCTCCCTCTTCCGTGCCAGATGCTTGCTTCCTCTTCTCTGCTGTTGGACATCAGACTCCAGGTTCTTCGGCATTTGGACTCTGGGACTTGCACCAGCAGCTTCCTGGAGCCTTCTGCCACAGACTGAAGGCTGCACTGTGGGCTTTCTGGTTTTGAGGCTTTTGGACTTGGACTCAGCTATGCTACCGGCTTCTTTCCACAGCTTGTAGATGGCCTATTCTGGGACTTCACCTTGTAATCCTGTGAGCCACTTCTCCCTAATTAACTCGCTTTCTATATATTACATACAGCCTATTGGTTCTGTCCCTCTGGAAAACACTAATATAGAGTCAGGGTCTGGCCTGCAGTCTGAACCTGAAAGGTTCCTTCTGAAACCCACGCAAGCGAGCCCCAGTGGCCTCCCTGCCTGCCAGAGGCCGCAGCCCACTGAACTGATTGGTCTTATCGTCTCAGGAATTCGGCAAGCAATGCAGAGATGACCCAGTGCAGGTCACCAGAGTCACCGGTGTTTGTCTTTGGAACACACCTGGGTTTTCTCCACTACAACCTTAGCTTTCTCAAGGAATTAAGATTATATATATATCCTGATTACAAAAGAAAAGTGTCATTAAAAACGCAAATGTTGGCCGGGCACAAGTGGCTGACACCTGTAATCCCAACACTTCGGGAGGCTGAGGCAGGCAGATCATTTGAGGTCAGGAGTTCGAGACCAGCCCAGGCAACATGGCGAAACCGTCTCTACTAAAAATGCAAAAATCAGCCGAGTGTGGTGGTGCATGCCTGCAAACCCGGCTACCCAAGAGGCTGAGAGGCAGGAGAATTGCTTGAACCAGGGAGGTGGAGATTATAGTGAACAGAGATTGGGCCACTGTACTCCAGTCTGAGTGACAGAGCAAGACTCCGTTTCAAAAAAAAAAAAAAAGCAAATGTTGGCTACACACAGTGGCTCACGCCTATAATCCCAGTACTTAGGGTGGCCGAGCTGGGAGGACTGCTTGAAGCCAGGAGTTTGAGACCAGCTTGTAATCCCAGGGGTAATCATGGCTCACTGCAGCCTCGCCCTGCTAGACTCAAGCCATCCTCCCACCTCAGCCTCCTGAATAGCTGGGCCCATAGGTATATACCACACCTGGCTAATTATTTTTTGTAGAGATGAGGTCTATGTTGCCCCTGCTGGTCTCGAACCCCTGGCCTCAGGCAGTCCTCCCGCTTCAACCTCCAAAACGCTGGGATTACAAGCATAAGCCACTGTACCTGGCCTGTTTTTTTGTTTGCTTTTTTAAATATTAGCAGATACGGAAACGAGCTGAACAGGTCAGCTCTACGGGAATAAATGGTCCCCCTTTGAGGACAATCCCACAGCTAAGTATTCCTGAAGAGAAGTGCGTACAAGTGGATTTACAAAAAGGAAATGCTATTTGGTCAAATTTATTACAGTTAGTGGTAGAGGATCTATGGGTGACATTTTCAAAGGACTACATTTAGATTCTCCATTTTTGGAGTCCTTTTTTTTTTTCTAAAATCTTCCCTAGCGACCCTTGCATTCTGAGCAGGGGTAGTCACTGCCTTACCAGAGTCATCAAGGATCCTGGCTCTGGGTTACTTGGTGAAGGTAAAACAAGGAATTTGAGTCACCACAGTGTTAAGACACTGAGGCCTAGGCAAGCCCATACCGTGCTCCCAGGCAGGCAGGGCAGAGGCTGTCCTTGCCTCGCGGGGAGGGGAGTGGGTGGGATTTCACAGCCCATCAGGACAGCCCAGGACCCGGCAGCCCTGGGAGTGGGTGGGATTTCACAGCCCATCAGGACAGCCCAGGACCCGGCAGCCTAGGGCGTGAGGTCATGCAAAGCTCCTAGCAAAACAGTGATTTGTTTCCAGTTCTCTGGCTAGAAACGGAAGACCCAGACATTAACCTTGGCTAGGTGATGAAACCACGAACACTTTTAACTCATCCTGGATTTTTTTTTTTTAAGCCATGGTATGAGACAGTACATTTAGAGCTACCTGAAGCAAGTGGCTTCTACATCAGGCTTGTGTTGGGGTCTGGTCGTCGAAGGAGTGGCACTCTAGACTGAGCTTGCTTCCTGGACAGCTGCGCTCTGACCAGGGGCTGGAGTGGCATCTGGGAGCACCTTGCTGTGCTGGGGCTTGGATGTGGCTGGAGGGTGGGGCACAGCTAGGCCCACCAGTCCTCGTTCCCAGGCATTATGTTAAGCACTGCCCACCCCAGTTAATCGTCACAAGCACCTGGGGTTGGGTATTACATGACCCTCCCCAGTTAAGAGATGAGAAGACTGAGGCACAGGCTCTGCCCCAGACTGTTCCCTTGCTGCCCCAACACCGCCAAGGAAACTGCTCAAAGCTCTCCAGCATCAAGGCATCAAGTGATTGGAATGGACCTCAGCCAAGTGATTGGAATGGACCTCAGCCAAGTGTCTCCCACCTTGGACCCTTATAATATCCTCTACAAGGAGCCCTCGTGCCCGCCTCTTGCCCTACACCCAACACCTAGAGGCCTACACCACTATTCCATTTGCTTGGCACAGTCCTGCTTCCCTTGGGTCCTGCAGTCACAGCTGGAAGGGGTAGGGGAGTCCCCTCAGGACGTAAGTCGGGGAAGGACCAGCAGGGTGCGAGTGGCACAGCTAGGCTGGAAGCAGCCCTGCACGCAGACCAGAGCCCTCCCCAGCCCACATGTGTCATCTGGTGATAGGAAGTGAGCCCTGGCTTTGGCTCTTGCGGGTGAGAGGGTTAAGATGCCCTGGCCTCTCACCTGCACAAGGCGGGGCAAGTTTCCTCCCCACTTGTGCAGCCACAAAGAGGTGCAAGGGAGGTAGAGAACACACATTTCTGGCCGGGTGCGGTGGCCCATGCCTGTAATCCCAGCACTTTGGGAGGCCAAGGCAGGCAGATCACAAGGTCAAGAGATCAAGACCATCCTGGCCAACATGGTGAAAATCCATCTCTACTAAAAATACAAAAATTAGCCGAGCGTGGTAGCGCGCACTTGTAGTCCCAGCTACTCGGGAGGCTGAGGCAGAAGAATTGCTTTAACCCGGGAGGCAGAGGTTGCAGTGAGCCGAGATCGCACCACTGCACTCCAGCCTGGGCGACAGAGTGATACTCACTCTCAAAAGAAAAAAAACACAGGTTTCTAAAAAATGATGAGCATGGCTGAAGGGCTGTCAACAGCCCACTAATTACAGAAAGTATGGTGCAGGGCTCAGCAGTTCAGCCTTGCGGGAAGAAACATCCCAAACTGGCTGGTTCCCATTACTAAAGCAACACCAAGCTTTTCATCTTTTCCTTCCACTTACCTTACTTGTCACGGACAGAAAGTCTGTGTCCCCTTCAACTTGTATGCTGAAATCCTAACCCCCAAGGCACTGCTAACAGGAGATGGGGTCTTTGGGAAGTGATTCGATCATGAATGTGGGCCCCCACCCCATGGGTGGGCTTAGTTTCCTTATAAGAGACCCTAGGAGAGCATTTCCCCCCTTCCTCCACATGAGGACAGCTAGATGGGGACACCTATGAACCAGGATGTGGGCTCTCAACCAAACATGGAATCTGTGACTCACTCTTGGATTTCTAGCCTCCAAAATGGTAAGACATAAATTTCTGATGTTTATAAGCCACCTAGTCTATGGCATTTTGTTATCACAGCCCAAACAGACTGAGATGCTAATTTATTATTACTATTATTATTTTATTTTATTTTATTTTGAGACAGAGTTTCACTCTTGTTGCCTAGGCTGGAGTGCACTGGCACGATCTCAGCTCACCACAACCTCCGCCTCCCGGGTTCAAGCAATTCTCCTGCCTCAGCCTCCCAAGTAGCTGGGATTACAGGCATGTGCCACCATGCCCAGCTAATTTTTTTGAATTTTTACCAGAGATGGAGTTTCTCCACGTTGGTCAGCCTGGTCTTGAATTCCCAACCTCAGGTGATCTACCGGCCTCGGCTTCCCAAAGTGCTGGGATTATAGGCGTGAGCCACAGCGCGGGGCCAAGATGCTTATTTATTTATTTTTTTGAGACAGAGTCTTGCTCTGTCGCCAGTCTGGAGTGCAGTGGTGCAATTTCAGCTCATTGCAACCTCTACCTCCCGGGTTCAAGCAATTCTCCTGCCTCGGCCTCCCGAGTAGCTGGGACTATAGGTGCGTGCCACCACGCCCAGCTAATTTTTGTCTTTTTAGTAGAGTTGGGGTTTCATCATGTTGGTCAGGATGGTCTCGATCTCTTGACCTCGTGATCCGCCCGCCTCGGCCTCCCGATGTGCTGGGATTACAGATGCGAGCCACCACACCCGGCCAAGATGCTACTTTTTAAAGTAAACTCTACCACCTCCAATTGACCTCAAGCACTCTTGCCAAAGTGCCAGGACAAGCCACAGGACTTACAGAAAACCCTCAACAGCTGCGTATGAAAGCACCAAGACTCCCTTATCCAGCCTGAGTTATATATACATTAGAATTTTTTCCTTTTATTCTTGTTCACATCTTCGAAGCTGAGCTTCGTTTCAAAAGGAAGGATACCAGAGGCAGGAGGAGGGTCACTTGGGAGGGGAGGTGGAATCTCCCTCCTCTAGCCCCCTTGCTACCTCTTAACAGGCTTCAAAGTCAGAATACAGCCATCAGCTGAGAGCAGTTCATTTTGGCACACTGGGAGGCCGGCTGTGCACACCGGACCTCTCTAGTGGGGGATCAGGTCCTCTGCTCTCCAGTGGGGCCTGGAACAGCTCCAGTGAGATGCCCCAGCTGTGGGCTGGGGGTGCAGCACAGAGCCTCAGCTCCCCCAGGACCCTCAGCTGCCTGAAGAAAACACTCACCTGGCTGGAGGGAAAAAGGGCCTTGCCCTGAGGTATCAGGTGGGTGGCAAGTCATACTGAGCTCCCGCTCAGCAAGAAAACTAAACGCACAGAAGACAGCAGGAAAATGCCATCCTTTAACAGCCAAAAATCTGTCCTTCAGGGGCACCAGGTGACTCCAGCCCCTGGGGGACAGAACAAACACACCATACCTACCATCAGGCACCAGACGCCTCAAAACGCCTGGAGCTAGGGCCGGAAAAGGCGTTAAGTCACCTTCTCTCAGCAGAAATGTGAAGCTGGCCTTCAGCTTCTGCCCAGGATGGCAGAAACCACATTCTGTTGGTGGATTGGTTGCTGGTGATGGACAGAGCCAAAGGTCCTGGGGTTGGCCCCAAGAGCTGAAACGGTGCTTGCAGGAATGGCTGGCACTCCAAGCTGCCTGAGGCAGCCCAGCTGCACTCAGGTGACAGTGACCCAAGCTCTCTGGGCTCAGGGTTTATGGCCACCATAGCCCAAGCACATCCTGATGCCCTGGGTTTAAGTAATGTACCCTCCTTTGTTCTGGCAAAAAGCTAGAGAAAAACCACTATTCAAATCCCTGGAAGGGAGGTGGGTGCAGCTCCCCAGCATTAGAAAACATGGCAACCACCCGTTTCCACCCACCTAGAGCAGCCCCTCGGGCTCCTGTAGGCCACTGTATAGCGCATAGCCAATGTCGTCAATCTCCTCCTCACGCAAGCTGCTGAAGAGGTTCACGCTGGGGTTGAAGTGGCAGGGCAGGCTGGCCTGCTCCAGGCTGCCGATGAGCAGCTCCAGGGCTTGCAGGAAGCGCTCACCCAAGGCCTCCTCCGTCCAATCCACGTTGTCCTCCCCCAGACGCAGGACCACCTGGGTCAGGTGACCCCGGCCTAGCTGCCCCAGAGCCGAGCAACCACGGCAGACAGCACACAGCAGCAGCAGCAGCCGCCGGCGAGTCCCAGCGTCATGGTCGTCCAGGGCTCGCAGCCTAGCAGCCTCCACTGGATACAGGTCCTGCAGCCAGAGGTTCCCCGCCAGCCCCTCCAGGGGCCAGGCCAAGAGGAGGCGGTCGTCAGCATCGACCCCAGGGACTGCCACAAGCACAGCCACAGTGAGCTCCAGGCGTTCGTGCTGCACCTCGAGCAGCAGCTCCTCCGAGGCCATGCTGGGCCGGATCAGGCACCCGAGAAGGCTGCCAATGGCCGGCCAGTTGACAGAAGCAGCCAGCGCCTTGCGGAGTAGCTCCAGCAGGACGCGGGAGGAGAGGTAGCCCCCGACCAGGAAGCGGTCCCAGGGGCTGCTCCCACGGGGGCAGAACTCAAGCTGCGTCCTGCGCACGGCCCAGCAGCGAGGGTCCCTCGCCACAGTGTCCACGCCCGGCACCAGGCTCCACAGGCCCGGCTCCAGCACCAGTGGCACCAGGAGACGCACATGGTCCGCAGCCCCCGCCTGCAGCCCGTCGTAGAGCGGCCCCCCAGGCACGAATGCCCCAAAGGGCAGTTCCGGGAACTTGCTCCGAAAGTAGGCCTGCAGCTCCAGGGCGATGTCGCCAGCCAGCTGTTTGGCCAAAGCCACCTGGGCTGCTGGGATGGTCACACGGTCCCGCTCGAAGGCCAGCAGCCTCTCCTGCAGTGTCAGACACAGCGGTGCTGGGGAGCTGAGCTGTGGTGTCACCTCAGGATCAGTTTCTGCAGGCCCTTCTGCAGAGTGAAGGGGCGGGGAACATGTCGGAACAGCCTGTGATTAGTTAAGAAAACGCCACCGAGAACTAGCTGTGTGATGTCCCAGGGCCTCACTTTTCTCACCTGCAGTGGCACCTGAGAAGGCACTCAGTTCAGATCCTCACATATAGTGAGCTCTTGGTGACGAGTTCTCATTGCCCCAGAGTCCAACACCCTGGCGACAACAGCTTCATGCAGAGTAGGTAGGTATGTCACGCCCCTCTGGACCTCAGTTTCCCCATCTAAAGCTCCCCACCATCACAACGCTACCACCTTGCTCCAGGAACAGGGCAAAGAAACACCACCCCCATTAAATATCTGAGGAGCCCACAACCGAGAGAGAAGCAGGGACTCGCGCAGGGTCACACAGTCAGTCAGGGCAAAGCCTGGGCTGCGTCTCTTGAATGTGACACCAAAAGAGGGGAAGGAGTGCCACTCACCTGGGGCAGACGACGAGGGGGCCAAGGGCAACACTGGCTGGCTAAGGGCAGCAGGTGGAGGCCGGGGCTGCAGGTGTGGTGTGGCCTTGAGCAGGCTCAGTTCCTTCCAGCTGTCTGCCTTGGTGTCATCCTCATCCCGCGGGCTAGTGGCCCTGTCAATGAACTGCAAGCACAGTCACACAGATCAGTGTATATGAAATCTGGGCAGTCATAGCAAAGCCCAGGGCAAAGCAGACCAGCGTGCTGGGTGGAGAAGCAGGTGCCCTGGGCTCCCATGAAGGCCTTGGGCAGTCCCCACCCCTCCCCAGGGCCCCTCTGAAAAGCCCAACCCTGTTGTCCTCCTCTAGGAGCTTCAGGCATGACCCGCCCACTTGGCCTTACCCGCTTCACGGCCAGGGTGGCAATGCCCAGCACAGCAGCCCCGCCCACGCCCAGCACCAGGCGGGCATTGGCCAGGAGGAAGTCCACCATGCTGCCCAGCCCTTCGTCGCTACGCCGCTTCCCCCGTTTCTGGGAGAACTCTGCCATGGTCTGCCTGTAAGAGAGCCAGGGGTGAAGGGGCAGCTCAGGTGCAGGTGGCCAGGCTGGGAGAGGGGCTGCTGTGGACAGGTGCTCTAGCTGTCCTTATGCTGGGTAACAGAGCTGAGCCCATGAGGGGGGCTTTCTGAGAATTTCTCAGAGAAAGGGGCCACCCATCCACAGGGGAGGACACCGAGGCCCTGGGAAATCACGTAAAGTACCTGAGAAAGGGCAGGGATGGGATATGAGCTTGGGTTTTGGGGTCCCAAGCCCCCATCTCTCATGAGGAGATGAGGGAGCTGCCAAGCCCCTTCTCCCAAAGCTGCCTGGAAAGAAGCTCACAAAGGCCCTGAGGCTTGTGCAGGTATAGGAAGGGGCCTCTCTCCCTGGAGCCCACCCTCCAGGACCTCTGACATCACCAGGGTGTCATCATCACTACCCCTATGTTACAGAGCTACAGGCTGCCAGCTCACAAGTGAGTGGTAAGGTCTCCAACCCATGACTGCAAGGCCTCCAGACTCTCATCCGCCCACAGAGTCTGACGGATTCTCCCTGTGCCAGGTGCCCAGGTCCTCAGCAGCAGCCTCATCTGAAGGTTCCTACCCAGAGGGCACAGCAGCCCTCTATGATAACCTCTTCAGAAGAGCCCAAAGTCCAGAGAAGACCAACAATTTGGGGCCCCAGCCAGTCTGGGGGACCACTGGGACCAGTTACCCCCAAATCTTGACAGGGTAGCCCAAGAGGCAGAGCTACCAAGTCAGAGCACGGGCAGAGTAAGACGGCCCAAGCTGCCCAGGCAGGCCAATGCAGATGTGCTTGTCAGGGTTGAAGCCCCTTTGGCAGGGCAGAAAGGGCTGCCCAGTGCCTCTGTACAGGGGGCTCTCTGGGCCTCTCAGTCTTGGGACAATGTGTAGGTAGTGGTGGGTGATGCTTCTCAACTGCCGGAAGGCCAAGCAACACAGAAAGTAAGGTGAAGGCCTGGGCCCCAGCCTGTTTGCTCACCTGTAAGATGGCATAGGCAGCAGTGAGGGGCAGATGTGGGCAGCCTTGAAGTGTGTGGCTGGGTGGGGGCCAGCACTTGGGAAGTGGAGGCAAAGATCTCCTAGGGCCCAGTCCACATTCCTCACGTTCTGCGAGGGGGACACTGCCCTCAGGCCCTGGGAGCTGAGAAGGGCTGGGACCTTAGGACATCAGTTAGACACCAAGCAGAACTCTCCCGGGGAGGCCTGAGCAGATGACCATGAGGTCACAGCCTGCCCGGGCACCAAGGACTTCTACCTGCCCTGCCAGAGTGTGGGTGCCAGGGGCCCAGTTGCCAGGTGACCAGATGCCTGGAGTAGCTGAAGCCTGAAGCGCTGTGTGACTCAGCCCCGTACACCCGCCCATTCGCCCCAGACTAAAAATAAGACGGTCTCTGGGGCGATCCCAGGCCAACCGGGTGACCCGCCACGGCCCCAGGGCCGGTTTCAATCTCCTCATCGGTGACTCGGGGATCAATACTGCCACCCGCCCCCAGAGAGACCAGGAATCTACTTTGCAAACTGTAAAGCGCTTTAAATACTCCCAACCTGTCTAAATTGGGACTCAGCCCCATCTCTGGCGGGGTCGCGCAGGCCTCAGTCCACAGCCTTCCAGCTCCGAGAAGCAGGAAAGGGCACGGGTGGCTGAAAATAACCCAAGTTTGCGCAGCGGGGCCCTGGAGGCCGTTTGGCCTTCCCTCCTCCGCCAAACCTGCCTGCCCTGGGCCCGGGCGGAGCAGGCCGCGCAGCAGCCCTAGGTGGGCGGGTGACGCCCCGTTCGCAGGATAAACCAAGAGACCGAGAGGGGAAGGGGGCTGGGCTAGGATTCGAACGCTGCCCTTGGTCCCCCAAAGGTCCCCTCCCCGCCTTCCCCAGCGGTGATCGCGGGCCACGCCCCCGATCTGCGTTCCGTCGCGCGCCAAGCCCCGAGCCCGGTGACCCTGGGGGCCGCCCCGCCGCGCTCCAGCTGTACCTGCGTCGCAGCTTCCGCACGACGACCGGAGGAGGCAGCGGGACCACGGCCCCGGAGCTCAGACCAGCCTGGGAATGGAACGTGAAGGACCCTGGAACCCAACGACTAGGGCCCCGGGGGCAGCCGCGGACTTCGCAGCACGCAGACAAGCAGGCCCTAACTCCAATCGGAGCGCTCGAGTCCAGCGCACAGGTGCCAAAATACTGCGCGGTTCAGCCAATGAAGGGCAGGTCCCGCCCCCCAGCCGACAGCCGCACTCCCTCTGGGGCGGGACTCCCTGACGCAGTCTGGATTTAAAGGTGCAGGGCTGCATTCCGAGACCGCGAACAGGTGACGTGACAGGCGACCCTCCAGGACGTCTGTGCGTTGTAATGTGAGCCTCCGGTGTGGAGGAAGCTGTCTGGGCCCCGTTCCTTCTGGGGACCAGGTAGAGAGGCTGCACATGGCTAGAGGCCCGGCACATCCAACCTCTTAGGTCACCTCTGCGAGAGAGTGTCTTGGTGGCCTCATTCTTACCTGTGGGCCTGAGGGGCACAGCGCCTACCCCTGCCACCTGCTCTGTGCGAGCTTGTGTGGGCCATTCTCCACCTGGGCATCAGTTTTTCTCCTGTAAAATGGGGACACTAGACCCCCTCCTCCCCTGCGAAGGATGGTTGGGCATATAACAGCTGTGGCTCATTTATTGGGGTCCTGCTATGTGTCAGCCAGGGCGAGCCCCCTTGAACAGCAAGGACCAAGACGGATGCTTCTCTTCTGGAGCCTCCCTTTGTAGGGGGGTACGAGCACAGGGGTGCTGACACTAAGTGGGAATAATAACCTGGCGCACAAAACAAAACAAAACGGAATAATAACCTGCCACTCACTGAGCGCCTGCTGTATGCTGCGAGCTACACGTGCATTCTTTGTTAATTTGCTCATGGTGACAACCTTAGAAAGTATTTTACAAATGAGGAAACTGGGTAGGGCGCGGTGGCTCACGCCTGTCATCCCAACACTCTGAGAAGCTGATACCAGAGGATCACTTGAGGCCAGGAGATCAAGACCAGCCTGGGCAACATAGCAAGCACCCCGTGTCTACAAAAAGTATAAATAAGGCCGGGCGCGGTGGCTCACGCCTGTAATCCCAGCACTTTGGGAGGCCGAGGCGGTTGGATCACGAGGTCAGAAGATCGAGACCATCCTGGCTAACACGGTGAAACCCCGTCTCTACTAAAAATACAAAAAAAAAAAAAAAAAAAATTAGCCGGGCGTAGTGGCGGGTGCCTGTAGTCCCAGCTACCCGGGAGGCTGAGGCAGGAGAATGGCGTGAACCCGGGAGGCGGAGGTTGCAGTGAGCCGAGACTGCGCCACTGCACTCCAGCCTGGGCGACAGAGCGAGACTCTGTCTCAAAAAAAATAAAAAATAAATAAAATAAATAAATTTAGCCAGGTGTGGTGGCCTGCGCCTATAATCCCAGGTAGTCGGGAGGCTGAGCCCAGGAGTTCGAGGCTGCAGTGAGCTATGATCACACCACTGCACTCCAGCCTGGGCAGCAGAGCAAGAAGACCCTGTCTCAACAAAACAAAAACAACACATGAGGAAACTAAGTCCAGAAGCAGGAGAGCTAGGACCCGAGGATCCAGGTGTCTCACTACCACCGGTCAGCCAAGTACAGGCACTTCCTGGGCCTCTGCGCCCCGGGGCCGAGGTTTAGAATCTCTCTGAGGTCAGGGCCAGCTTCATGTGCTGCAGCAGCGCAGGTGACGGTGCCTCGACCAGCGGCCGTTACGGCCCCTGCCCTGGGGCGCTGGGACTTAAGCCTGGAGATCGTGGAAGCCTCCAACTCCAGCACAGGGGGGGCCCGCACTCCTTGGTGCCTCCGCAGTCTTCGAACAGACGGGGAAACTGAGGCCCTAAGAGGCCTAAAGCCTACACTTCCCCGCGGAATGCGGCGGGCGCGGGCGGGTTAAAGGGGCGGGGCCGGCGCTGGCCCAGCCCGCGGCTCCCCCCAGCGCCCTCGCCCCGGCGCTCCCTAGCCCGGCGCGGCCCGGCAGCGAGAGCGGCGCCATGGAGGCCACCGGGGTGCTGCCGTTCGTGCGTGGCGTGGACCTCAGCGGCAACGACTTCAAGGTGAGCCGGGCCGGGCGCGTGCCGGGCCTCCCTGCAGGCCTTCTCTTCCGCCCGGCCCGCTTGGCCTCCGCTTCCTGTCCCGCTCGGCTCCAGGCCCTGCGTGTCCCAGGGACTGCGGCCGGGGCGGGGTGGGGCTCTCCCCTGGCCAGGAATGGACCTCCGAGGCCTCCGCCCAGTGCCTGTACGGGGAGACCGAGGCTGGGCAGGCCGGGGACGGACGCTTGGGCTCGGAGTCCCGCCGGGGGCCCGGCCGGGAGCCCCCACCCCGCGTCCGTGTTCTCGGTCTAGGCTGGATGGTGGCCTGGGGATCGGGCGAGCCTCCCCGCCCCTCTGAGGTCACACGCCCAAGCCAGGCCCTGACTCAGGGATGGCTGCCCGGCTGCCCAGGGGCGGGTGTGGAGCCGACTCATCACTGCCCTCTCCCCGCCACCGCCACCCGCCATACTGTGTGATCCTGGGCCTCTCAGATCACTTCCCCTCTCAGAGCCTAGGCTTTCTCAGCCGGTGAAGGGGCTTAAAAGTCTCCTCCTTGGACGCAAGGAGTATAGTGAGATTTGTTGGTGTGGAGAGTGTGTCAGGCCGGTGTGCCAGGTGCTGGGTGGCAGTTGTCTGAGCAGCTGCTGGACTGAGAGAAAAGGGACCGGAGCCCAGCCCTCCGCAGCCAGTGGGTGGGGCGGCGGGGTGGTTCCAGGACTCAAGAATGAGACAGGCATTGCCTGACCAAAGGGGAAGCAGAGAAAGAGAGGGAGGGAGAGCTGGCTGGAGGGTCAGCCTCACCTTCAGGGTGGGTGACTGGCAGGGTCGGCCTGGGTTGTTGGTCTGGGGCTGGGGCCGAGGAGGCAGGTTTTTCCTGCGTTTACCTGCCTGTGTACACACCTTTGACCCCAAGTACAAGTGGCTACACCACTTTTCC
Organism: Homo sapiens; assembly: GCF_000001405.40. Taxonomy (NCBI): domain Eukaryota; kingdom Metazoa; phylum Chordata; class Mammalia; order Primates; family Hominidae; genus Homo; species Homo sapiens. The sequence continues at coordinate 18,257,714 of NC_000017.11, read as the reverse complement.
CTGACCCCATCCCCACCACCCTAACCTGGGGTCCCCGTTCCTCTTTGCTGAACTGGGAGAGTCCGAGTCACCAGCTGGGAATGTGGCGCTAGGGGGAAAGGAATATCAGCCGCAGGCACTGAAGGCACCTACTGCCCCAGACTTGGTGCCACAAGGGCTGGAGGTGCCGAGGTGGGCGTTCACACACCAGGGGAGTGCAGTGATGCTGGCCTGCCCTGCAGGGTGGGGAGCCACGGTCTCCGCAAGCAAGGGTTTGACCCTGGCCGTGAGTTGCCAGTGTGCTGATGGCAGGATGAGGGCACAGGTGGCGCCTTTGCAAAGGCTTGGAAGGGGGATCCCCCACCCCAGGCAGCCAGTCAGAGTGTGGAATGCTAGGTGAAGGAATTTGAGCCGAGCTAACCACAGAGCCGGATGCTGGGCTTTCACCTGAAACAAGCCAGTTTTGTCCTGGCCCTCCTGGGGCCCAGAATCCAGTAGGAGAGACAAATCTTAGGCCAACACTTTTGTCACGGGGGGGCTTAAAATTCCCATTCTATGGGTGAAGAAATTGAGGCACAATGATGAAATGACTTGTCTGTGTTCTCACAGATGGTGAGAGTTGGTTCTGTGGCTCCCCAAAGGCTCCCATGGGCTGGAGGAGCCATAGAAGGTGGTGAGCAGGGGCTCTGTGCTTCACCTTGACATCCTTCCCCCAGGGCGGCTACTTCCCTGAGAATGTCAAGGCCATGACCAGCCTGCGGTGGCTGAAGCTGAACCGCACTGGCCTCTGCTACCTGCCCGAGGAGCTGGCCGCCCTGCAGAAGCTGGTAAGGGGGTTTGGGCGGGCAGGGGAGGGTCCCTGTGGATGAGCCAGGTGGGCAGAGCCTGTGGAGAAGGCAGACAACTTCTCCAGAGAGAGGAACACCGACAGCTATGAGCAGAGCTGGAAGAAAGGGAGTGGGCACCCTGTCCAGGGAGGTGTGCAAGAAGAGGCCGGGTGAGTGAGGGAGGGAAGCTGCAGGGGTAGTTGGGCCAGTGTGGCTGAGGCCTTCCTGGATGGTGCAGAGTTGTGGAGGCAGGCAGGGACTCTGGACACCCCACCCACCCTGCTGAGCCTGTGCTCCCCATTCCGGCCCAGGAACACTTGTCTGTGAGCCACAACAACCTGACCACGCTTCATGGGGAGCTGTCCAGCCTGCCATCGCTGCGCGTGAGTGCTGGCCGGGAGGCCACCGAGCTTGGGGTTGGGGCCAAGGTCCGGTCAGGGACGTGAAGCCTGGGCTAGACACCAAGCTGGGCCAGCATTTCTGCCCACCTCCGTGTCAGGCTCAGAGGCTCAGGTGTCACAGAGGGGCCCTCTCATTAGAGGTTACAGCAGTGCCCTGTGTAAAGTAACCCATGTGGATCAGAGAATTCCATCAGGAAAAAGGTAAAGAAATCCAAAATCTTACCAGCCGTTATGGACAATAACTACAGTAATAATAGCCAAGACTGGCTGAGCAATGTTCCCACTATTCTGTTAGGATTTTTTCATATGCTCTAGCCCTCCACTAATGTTGCAGAAGAGAAACTTGGCCACCAAGGCAGATTACTTGCCCCAGGTCACAGAGCCAGGCAGTGGTAGAGCTGGTGTTGAGTGGGGTTTGGCCGGGAGCACCGTGTACCTTCTACCCAAGACTTGAACGTCCCAGAACATCAGGCCCTTGGCCAGACCCTGTAGGCCTCAACGAGGGCCATCCCATCTGAAGTCAGAGCCCTGGAGATGTTTAGGGCACAGCTTCTGACTTGGACTCTCTGAGTTCAAAGCTGGGCTTTGCCACTTCCTGGTGATGTGACTTTGTACAAATCGCTTCTACCTTCTGGGCCTCCTCTGCAAGTGCAGTGGTTGGGAGGGGCAGCAGTGACCCCGTGAAGCAGCAGCAGGGTGCCGCACAGGCATTCAGACTGGAGAAGTGGCGGGGCAGCTCCGGTGACTCCCGTTGTCACTTGGAGTCACGACACCATTCTCTGGCCCTGTTCCCTCATGCTCAAGCTTTCTGCATGTCTGTAAGGTATGAGGAGGTGTCAGTCTTAAGTTAGGGAGAGAAAGCAGACTTCCTCTCCATCCAGATTCTGATTTCTCTGTGGTCCACTTCTCTCCCTCTGTTCTGAAAACCCTGACTCAGACCTTACCCCTATCTCACCTTCTGGAATTAAGAAGAAGAGAAATGGTTTGAACAGAAAAGGTTCCCTGAGGGCCCTGTGCTGGGGCTCCGGGGCACATTTGAGCTGGGCTTTGAGGCATGAATAGGAGCTCACTGGGAGGCTAGGAAGAGCGCTCCAGGAGAGGGAGCTATTTGATCAAAGGCCAGAGGTGAGAGAGTCCTCAGGCCTGGCCTCTGGTGAGCTGCCTGAGGAGGTGTCCCTCTCTAGACTCTGTTCCTTCCTGAGAGTGGAAGCCAGGAATTATAGACTCTTATGGTTTATTCCCAGGCCATCGTGGCCCGAGCCAACAGTCTGAAGAATTCCGGAGTCCCCGATGACATCTTCAAGCTAGATGATCTCTCAGTCCTGGTCAGTGGCTACCCACTCACCTGGCCCCTGTGCTAGCCGGACCATTCAATCCCCACTCACTATAAAAGTCCCTGGGGCCATTGTTATCCCATTTTGCAGATGGGAAAACTGAGTCTTGGAGTGGATAATACCTTGCCTGAGGTCACTTTTGGAGTCAGATCCCTAACACAGGCACTCTTCCTCCCAAGTCCCTGGCTGTCTCCCTTTGGCCCTGAAGCCCCCTCATCTACCCCCACACCCAACTCAGTGCCCTGCCTGATCCCCAAGCTTGGCAGACGCCTGGTGGGGAGGAGACTCCCCTGACCTGGGTCTTGCCCCTTCTACCCAGGACTTGAGCCACAACCAGCTGACAGAGTGCCCGCGGGAGCTGGAGAACGCCAAGAACATGCTGGTGCTGAACCTCAGCCACAACAGGTGCCAGGCCAGTGGGGGGCAGGGGGCAGGTGGGCCCTGTGGGGTGGCTGGTGCTGACTCAGGTGGCTCCTGCTCCCCACCCGTAGCATCGACACCATCCCCAACCAGCTCTTCATCAACCTCACTGACCTACTATACCTGGACCTCAGCGAGAACCGCCTGGAGAGCCTGCCCCCGCAGATGCGCCGCCTGGTGCACCTGCAGACGCTCGTGCTCAATGGAAACCCCCTGCTGCATGCACAGCTCCGGTGGGCGCCCCCTCGGACCGCACTCCTGCAGAAGCCACCCTGAGGAGTCTGGCCGGGCCCCTTCACTTCCCAGGGCCCTAACCCTTCTCCCTTAGGCCCAGCCATCCCTCCGTGCAGGCAGCACCCCTCAGTGTACAACCTCCTAAGTATCATGTCCACCTCTCAGTCCTGTCTTCCCGCTTACACACCCCGCAACCACCCTTGGGCTTGTCCCTTCAACCAGATGTGACCTCACACCTACCCTCTGGGCCCTGTGCTTTTGGTCCTGCCCTGCCAAGCCCCACCCTTAACACTCCCTAGGTGGGCCCTGGCCCTGACCACTCACGTCACCCTGGCAGGCAGCTCCCAGCGATGACGGCCCTGCAGACCCTGCACCTGCGGAGCACCCAGCGCACCCAGAGCAACCTGCCCACCAGCCTGGAGGGTCTGAGCAACCTCGCAGGTCAGGCAGCCCCAGGAGCCCCTCTGAGCTCGGGCCCCCTCTGGGCCCTCTTGCTTCCTTGGGTGGAAGGGGTTGAACCCTGCTCTTCGGACCAATACCCAGAGGGAAAAGGCTGGAGTTATGTTACAGTGACTTTTGCGATTATGATGATGCCTTAACACTGACTTTATGCCTAGAAAACTCCCCCGCAACCCCCATGTGAGGGAGTTTGTCCAAATGGAGAAACTTGGGCGCACAGCAGTTGTCACTTGCCTAAGCCACACAGCTCAGAGGTGGCAGAGCTGGGGTTCACACTAGGGCTGGCTGCCCTGGCACCTGGTGTATGGGCCCCAGCTGATGCACCCCACCCTGCACCCCAGACGTGGATCTGTCCTGCAATGACCTGACACGGGTGCCCGAGTGTCTGTACACCCTCCCCAGCCTGCGCCGCCTCAACCTCAGCAGCAACCAGATCACGGAGCTGTCCCTGTGCATAGACCAGTGGGTGCACGTGGAAACTCTGAACCTGTCCCGAAATCAGCTCACCTCACTGCCCGTGCGTCTGAGGCCCTCAGTAGGGGGATGGGAGGAAGGCCGTGAGCCTGGCCCTGACCTCCCACCCCTGCCCGTTCCCCCTCCAGTCAGCCATTTGCAAGCTGAGCAAGCTGAAGAAGCTGTACCTGAATTCCAACAAGCTGGACTTTGACGGGCTGCCCTCAGGCATTGGCAAGCTCACCAACCTGGAAGAGTTCATGGCTGCCAACAACAACCTGGAGCTGGTCCCTGAAAGTCTCTGCAGGTGCTGGGCAGGGCTGGGGCTAGCAGAGGCACTTGCAGCACAGAGAACCCCGGGATCGTAGTCAGAGCCCACCTTGTGGTCTGTGCAAGTCAGACAAAATGAAGATGGGTTAATTCACCTTTTCTTTTCTTTTCTTTTCTTTTTTGTTTTTGAGACAGAGTCTCGCTCTGTCGCCTGGGCTGGAATGTAGTGGTGCAATCTCGGCTGACTGCAGCCTCTGTCTCCCAGGTTCAAGCGAATCTCCTGCCTCAGCCTCCTGAGTAGCTGGGATTATAGGCGTGCGCTACCACGCCCGGCTCTTTTTGTATTTTTAGTAGAGATGGGGTCTCACCATGTTGGCCAGGCTGGTCTTGAATGCCTGTCCTCAAATGATCAGCCTCCCAAAGTGCTGGGATTACAGGTGTGAGCCACCACGCCCGGCCCAGTTAACTCACCTTTGTGGATGAAGACCACAGTCCCATGCCAGCCATTCCCAACTTGAGCCCCTGAGAGCACCCTTCGGGGGGCACTGTTAGGGACAAGGCCACATGACGTGGGAACGCAGTGTTGCTTCTCTCCCCTTCTGGAGATCACAGTGCCCGTAACATGGTCTCTTGGCTCTGAGAAGTCCTTCAGGCAGAGAATGGAGACCCCCGCCAGTTCCTCTGACCCTACCTGCCTCCCCTCCCCAGGACTAGGGGTTTTCTTGCCCACTTCCCCTTGTCTGTCACCTGCCTGAGGCCCTGGCTGGCCCTGTCTTCACAGGTGCCCAAAGCTGAGGAAACTTGTCCTGAACAAGAACCACCTGGTGACCCTCCCAGAAGCCATCCATTTCCTGACGGAGATCGAGGTCAGGCATGCTGGGTTTGAGAGGGCTCAAGAGAGACAAGCAAGGGGTGTGCCCTGGAGCAAGGGGGACCCAGCAGAGGCCTCCTGAGGGAGGTGGCCAGTGCCAGGGTGCCCGTGGGGAGAAGGTGGGCCCCACCTCCCTGCATCCAGAGTACATTCCACAGTCTCATTTAAGCCCCCAGCCAGCCCCAGAGGTGGGTGGGAGGAGAACCCAGTTCCCTGACCTCTCAGCCCTGGCGGCTGCAGACAAGAGCAAGAAACTGGATTGGTGTGTCTGGGAGGTAGGACCCAGGCTCAGTGCCGGCTCTGCTCACCCTATGGGGCAGGTCCTGGATGTGCGGGAGAACCCCAACCTGGTCATGCCGCCCAAGCCCGCAGACCGTGCCGCTGAGTGGTACAACATCGACTTCTCGCTGCAGAACCAGCTGCGGCTAGCGGGTGCCTCTCCTGCTACCGTGGCTGCAGCTGCAGCTGGTGAGTGGGGAAAGGTCTGGCCTGGGAACGGGGGCTCCTCTCCAGGCCTCAAATGACACATCTGTAAATTGGGTGGCATACAGCTTTCTGGACCCTGGTGGGTGGAGTTGGCCCCTGGTTGGTCGCATGCCCAAGGGGGCAGCAGGCCCAGTGAGGGCTCAGCTGTTTGCCCCTCCCCTAAGCAGGGAGTGGGCCCAAGGACCCTATGGCTCGCAAGATGCGACTGCGGAGGCGCAAGGATTCAGCCCAGGATGACCAGGCCAAGCAGGTGCTGAAGGGCATGTCAGATGTTGCCCAGGAGAAGAACAAAAAGCAGGAGGTGAGCCAGGCCAGGGTTGGGACAAGGCAGGGAGCCTTAGCTTCTGCTGAAGGCCGACCCTGGCCTTGACCCTGGCCAAGAGGGACGGGGGGTGCTGGGCAGAAAGAACAGCTGTGCAAAGGCCCTGAGGTGTGGGTAGCAAGTAAAGACTGGCCTGAGTGGCTTCACAGAGTCAAGCCGTGCTCTGTGACTCTGCCCCCAGGAGAGCGCAGATGCCCGGGCCCCCAGCGGGAAGGTGCGGCGTTGGGACCAGGGCCTGGAGAAGCCCCGCCTTGACTACTCCGAGTTCTTCACGGAGGACGTGGGCCAGCTGCCCGGACTGACCATCTGGCAGATAGAGAACTTCGTGCCTGTGCTGGTGGAGGAAGCCTTCCACGGCAAGTTCTACGAGGCTGACTGCTACATTGTGCTCAAGGTGAGGGCTGGGCATGCTGTTAGGGGCCATGTGGCCCAGTACCTTCCTCTAAGATGGCTCAGTCCCCAACTCCAGAGTTTTGTTCAGGGAGGCCAGGTGGGAGGTGGGCAGGCTGCAGGAGGTGGTCCAGGCACAGGGGCAGTACAAAGCCCCTGGGGCTGGGAAGCCTGTGCTGTTCAGAGTGGCGTCTCCGGGGTGGCCGGAAGACCAGGATGAAAGCTGATGTGGCCGGTGCCTTGGCTTCCAGACCTTTCTGGATGACAGCGGCTCCCTCAACTGGGAGATCTACTACTGGATTGGCGGGGAGGCCACACTCGACAAGAAAGCTTGCTCTGCCATCCACGCTGTCAACTTGCGCAACTACCTGGGTGCTGAGTGCCGCACTGTCCGGGAGGAGATGGGCGATGAGAGCGAGGAGTTCCTGCAGGTGCCAGCCCGTTAAAATTGGGGGTGGGCAGAGTGGGGTTCCCAGGGAACTCTGGTGCAGGGGCAGTGGGCCCAAGGCAGGTAGGCAGAACAGGTGGGCAGGCAGGGAGCTGGGGTTAAAGGGGGTGGATCAACGATACTGTGCGGGACCTAAGGCAGACCGCAGGGTGAGGTCTAAGGTGGCCAAAGCCTGGGTCAGCAAAGGAGAGTTCTGGAACGCGGGGCAGAATTCAGCCGGGCAAGGATAAGGGTACAGGCTGGGCATGGGAGCTAGACCAGTGGGCTGACACAGGGGAGCTGAGAGTAGGGTGGAAGGGGTGTTGCCAAGAGCAGTGAGAAGGCAGGGCCAAAACCTGTTATTAGGAGGCAAGGACACACCTGGATGCCAAGGAGGTGGGGCCAAGGGCGGGACCAGAGTCCAGTCTTGAATAAATTACTGAGCAGTGTTAGCCGCCAGCTGGTTACACCTAGACATATGTTCGCATGTACACACACGTGGAGTTTATGCACACACCCCACCCGCCCCGAGTTTTTTTTACCCACATTCACCCAGGTTTCCACTCTTCCATGAACCCACTTGCTTGTGTACCCTGATATGCGTGCATCTAAACATGCTGCTGGCATCTTTACAAACGTGGGTGAACGTGTCCATATTTTTCATACATCCCAACACCCCGACGTGTGTATGTTTATAGACACAGATGTGTATGTTTTATTTTAGACAGACTCTCGCTTTGTTGCCCAGGCTGGAGTGCAGTGGCACAATCTTGGCTCACTGCAACCTCCGCCCCCAGGGTTCAAGCGATTCTCCTGCCTCAGCCTCCCAAGTAGCTGGGATTACAGGCATGTGCTACCACGCCTAGCTAATTTTTGTATTTTTTTAGTAGTGATGGGGTTTTGCCATGTTGGCCAGGCTGGTCTCGAACTCCTGACCTTAGGTGATCCACCCGCCTTGGCCTCCCAAAGTACTAAGATTACAGGCATGAGCCACCGTGCCCAGCCAGATCTGTTTTTTTTGTTGTTGTTTGTTTGTTTGTTTGTTTGTTTTAAGACAGAGTTTTGCTGTTGTTGCCCAGGCTGGAGTACAATGGCACAATCTCAGCTCACTGCAACCTCCGCCTCCCAGGTTCAAACAATTCTCCTGCCTCAGCCTCCCGAGTAGCTGGGATTACAGGCATGCACCACCACGCCTGGCTAATTTATGTATTTTTAGTAGAGACAGGGTTTCTCCATGTTGGTCAGGCTGGTCTCCAACTCCTGACCTCAGGTGATCCACCCACCTCAGACTCCTGAAGTGCTGGGATTACAGGCATCATAGATTTGTAGCACTCAATTCACCTGTATGCAACTCTGTACCCCCACCTGAGGGGCAGTGGTTGGTGGGGGAGGGGGCAGCTCAGTGATGAAGAACCACACCCTCACACACACAGGTGTTTGACAACGACATCTCCTACATTGAGGGTGGAACAGCCAGTGGCTTCTACACTGTGGAAGACACACACTATGTCACCAGGTGAGGGTGTGTGGGCAGTGGGGGGTATGGACCTGGAGTCTGCTGGCAAGGGGTGGAGGGGAGGGTGTTGGGGCTAAGTTAGGCCCTTGGTGCCTACACTGAGCCACTCTTGCCCTGCGCCCAGGATGTATCGTGTGTATGGGAAAAAGAACATCAAGTTGGAGCCTGTGCCCCTCAAGGGGACCTCTCTGGACCCAAGGTGAGCCCCAACAATGTGAGGTGGGGGTGCTTCATCCTCAGCCTCCTCCCCACCAGTGGGGGCAGGTGTGGGCCTCTTAGAAGAGGAGGCCCTCTAGCAATTCCTGCCCACGAGCTTGGCGGGGGGTCCCTGGGGCTTACCCAGAAACCCCATAGTGAGGGATTTTTTTTGGTGGGGTCAGGAGCATGGGGTGACCATTGCCCCATGCACCATCACAGCTCCTTCCTGCCCCTTCTTGTCCAGGTTTGTTTTCCTGCTGGACCGAGGGCTAGACATCTACGTATGGCGGGGGGCCCAGGCCACACTGAGCAGCACCACCAAGGCCAGGTACAAGGACACCGTGGGGTCTTTTGTGTGAAGGAAAGGGGTGTGAGCCTCGCTGATGACTTTGCATCCTGCTCTCAGGCTCTTTGCAGAGAAAATTAACAAGAATGAGCGGAAAGGGAAGGCTGAGATCACACTGCTGGTGCAGGGCCAGGAGCTCCCAGAGTTCTGGGAGGCACTGGGTGGGGAGCCCTCTGAGATCAAGAAGCACGTGCCTGAAGACTTCTGGCCGCCGCAGCCCAAGCTGTACAAGGTGAGCCCTGCTGCTGAGGCCCACCTTGGCCTCCCAAGTTCACCCACCGACTGGGGGAATGGACTACACACCGATGTAGTTGGCTTTGGGCTCCATCTCGACTTTGGTGGGGAGAGGGTGCCACCTTCTGGACAAGGAACAGTATGAGCAAAGGTCTGGAGGCTGCTTTTGAGAAGTAGCCTCACGGAGTCTTTCCAGGATGGTGGGGCCGTAGGGGAGACAGAAGCACCTAGTGCCAGGGCTGGGAACCTTGGCTCAATTATCTAGATTCTTGTGAACAGGAAAGGGACACGTTAATTAGAAATGGCATGAAGGGCCTGGAGAGGGCAGGCAGGGAAAACTCCATTTAAAAGCCCTTCTGAAAGGATATCCCTAAAAAGACCTTGAAGGGGAGGGGGAAACAGAAGCAGTCAGTGAGCCACGCTGCAGGGCAGGGCTGGTTCCAGAGCAGAGGGCTGTGTGGGTGAGGTTCCTGTCTCCAGATCCCTTCCCTGCCATGCTCATCCTTCCTGCCAGGTGGGCCTGGGCTTGGGCTACCTGGAGCTGCCACAGATCAACTACAAGCTCTCCGTGGAACATAAGCAGCGTCCCAAGGTGGAGCTGATGCCAAGAATGCGGCTGGTAAGAGATGCAGGAGGAGGGCGTGGGGCCAGATCCCTCCCCGTTGGCTGGGCTTTGACCTCCAGACTCCCGGTCCGCAGCTGCAGAGTCTGCTGGACACGCGCTGCGTGTACATTCTGGACTGTTGGTCCGACGTGTTCATCTGGCTCGGCCGCAAGTCCCCGCGCCTGGTGCGCGCTGCCGCCCTCAAGCTGGGTCAGGAGCTGTGCGGGATGCTGCACCGGCCACGCCATGCCACGGTCAGCCGCAGCCTCGAGGGCACCGAGGCGCAGGTGCGCTTGCAGCTTCGGAGGCCCCTCCCCAGGATCCTTCGCACCCTGACATGCCCTGACCCCTGTGGCTTCACTACCTCCCTACAGAGCTGGGCCCAAACCCACCTCCTCTTTGCTGACTCTGCCCAGGCCCCGCCCCCTCTGCAAGCTGCCCCTCCTATTCCTACCTCCGTGTCCGAGGCCCCGCCTCCCAAGCCCCGCCCTAGATCTCCCTTGGGTCCCGCCTCAAGCCTCGGGCTACTTCCTCCAACTCTAATCATGCCGCACCCCTCATGGTTAGTTGATGGCCTCCCTGGCAGGTGTTCAAGGCCAAGTTCAAGAATTGGGACGATGTGTTGACGGTGGACTACACACGCAATGCGGAGGCCGTGCTGCAGAGCCCGGGTCTCTCCGGGAAGGTGAAACGCGACGCCGAGAAGAAAGACCAGATGAAGGCTGACCTCACTGCGCTTTTCCTGCCGCGGCAGCCGCCCATGTCGCTGGCCGAGGTGGGGGCAGGGCCGGGACCGGGGCGCGGGGGGGGGGGTGGGGGGCAGGCCGAGGGCGGGGCCTATGCGCAGAGCGCGCTCAGACCTGCCGCGGGGCGGGTCCCTCTCACCTGCAGGCGGAGCAGCTGATGGAGGAGTGGAACGAAGACCTAGACGGCATGGAGGGTTTCGTGCTGGAGGGCAAGAAGTTTGCGCGGCTGCCGGAAGAGGAGTTTGGCCACTTCTACACGCAGGACTGCTACGTCTTCCTCTGCAGGTACCACCTCAGCACTCCCTTCCCCAAGTCCCTCCCCTGGTGCTGGGGGCTCGAGCCCCTGCTCACAACCTTCCAACCCGGCAGGTACTGGGTGCCTGTGGAGTACGAGGAGGAGGAAAAGAAGGAAGACAAGGAGGAGAAGGCCGAGGGCAAAGAAGGCGAGGAAGCAACCGCTGAGGCAGAGGAGAAGCAGCCAGAGGAGGACTTCCAGTGCATCGTGTACTTCTGGCAGGGCCGTGAAGCCTCCAATATGGGCTGGCTCACCTTCACCTTCAGCCTGCAAAAGAAGTTCGAGAGCCTCTTCCCTGGGAAGCTGGAGGTGTGCCTGGCAGCCCCGCGAGCCCGAGGCCAGGCGGAGGGGTGTGGTGGGGCTCAGACCCAGCGAAGGTTAGGCTCCCGAGGGGCAGGTGGGGGTCCAGGGAGCTGCCCCTAACACTTCCACATCCCCAGGTGGTACGCATGACGCAGCAGCAGGAGAACCCCAAGTTCCTGTCCCATTTCAAGAGGAAGTTCATCATCCACCGGGGCAAGAGGAAGGCGGTCCAGGGCGCCCAACAGCCCAGCCTCTACCAGATCCGCACCAACGGCAGCGCCCTCTGCACCCGGTGCCTGGCTGGGGGAGGACGCAGTGGCGAGCAAGCGTCAGGGAGCCAGGCCTGAATCCTTGCTGATGCCCCATCCCTTCCACAGGTGCATCCAGATCAACACCGACTCCAGCCTCCTCAACTCCGAGTTCTGCTTCATCCTCAAGGTGGGGTTGTGGGTGTGAGCCAGGACTCCGTGGACCAAGGGGTGGGGTGTTTGGGGGCTGAGTCAGCTGCGAACACCCCCACCCCTGCACACTCCCCAGGTTCCCTTTGAGAGTGAGGACAACCAGGGCATCGTGTATGCCTGGGTGGGCCGGGCATCAGACCCTGACGAAGCCAAGTTGGCAGAAGACATCCTGAACACCATGTTTGACACCTCCTACAGCAAGCAGGTCAGGAGGCGGGCGGGCAGGCGGGCACACACAGAGGAGCCAGGGCAGGCAGGGGCCCTGGGCTGGACTGGCCTTTCCCGCAGGTTATCAACGAAGGTGAGGAGCCTGAGAACTTCTTCTGGGTGGGCATTGGGGCACAGAAGCCCTATGATGACGATGCCGAGTACATGAAACACACACGTCTCTTCCGGTGAGGCCAGGGCCCTGACCCTCCCCTCAGTCCTGGCACTGCTGCTTATGACCTCTGGCCTCACCTTGACCCTTGATTCCCAGGTGCTCCAACGAGAAGGGCTACTTTGCAGTGACTGAGAAATGCTCCGACTTTTGCCAAGATGACCTGGCAGATGATGACATCATGTTGCTAGACAATGGCCAAGAGGTGTGATGTTGCCACTAGCCCTGCCCATCCAAGGAGGCGCCCATAGACTTACTTACAAATGGGAATTCTCGGGCCAGGAGCAAGGGGCTGTTCCCAGGCACCCATGCAACCGTATCTCCCCTGCTGCCCCCACAGGTCTACATGTGGGTGGGGACCCAGACTAGCCAGGTGGAGATCAAGCTGAGCCTGAAGGCCTGCCAGGTAATCTGGGTGGAGGGAGGGCCGAGGTGGGCCTGTGGGCAGGGCAGGGTCATCACCCAAGGCTCGCTGTCCCCTTGCCAGGTATATATCCAGCACATGCGGTCCAAGGAACATGAGCGGCCGCGCCGGCTGCGCCTGGTCCGCAAGGGCAATGAGCAGCACGCCTTTACCCGCTGCTTCCACGCCTGGAGCGCCTTCTGCAAGGCCCTGGCCTAAGACAGGCTGGCACAGCCCCAGGCTTGGTGAGGAAGAGGAAGGGGCCTCATCCACTGTCTGCTAGCAAAGAATGTACTCAGGTGACACCACCTGCTCCAGCCACGTCCAGTGCCACAGTCCCCAGTAGCCTCAAGCAGCACCAATGGGGATGACCCTGACAGGTGCCCTCAGGGGTCTGGGAAATCCAACTCTCTCCACAGTGTGAGTGCACGTGTGAAGCCCCCTCACTCTTCCGCTAGGGATAAAGCAGATGTGGATGCCCTTTAAGAGATATTAAATGCTTTTATTTTCAATATTAAAAATCAGTATTTTTAATATTAAAATGGCGCTAATTTTAACAAAACGACAGAAAAAAACCCCAAGGTACAATCTACAGGGAAACTCATCTTGACCCCCCCCCCTGCCCCCCCCCCCCGCCGGACACACACACCTGACTAGGCCCCAGATGTGGGTGCCCAGCAGAGCTCCCAGTCACATCCATGCCCGCACACACACACTCATGACAGGCTGGGGACTGGCCCAGAAGCAGGTACCAAAATAGTTTAGTTTTAGAAACAACTGTCCAGCCCAGGCGCTAGAAAAATACTCTTTGCAGGGCTGGGCATGGTGGCTCACGCCTGTAATCCCAGCACTTTGGGAGGCTGAGGTGGGTGGATCACGAGGTCAGGAGATCGAGACCATCCTGGCTAACATGGTGAAACCCCATCTCTACTAAAAATACAGAAAAAATTAGCTGGGCGTGGTGGTGGGCGCCTGTAGTCCCAGCTACTTGGGAGGCTGAGGCAGAAGAATGGCGGGAACCCAGAAGGCGGGGCTTGCAGTGAGCAGAGATGGGGCCACTGCACTCCAGCCTGGGCGACAGAGCAAGACTCCGTCTTTAAGAAAAAAAAAAAAAAGGAAAAATACTCTGCAAAGTGAGGGGGAAGGATGGTGTGTGGAGGGGGGGAGGTGGCACAGGTGCTGGGCCCCACCTGTCCTCTTCCCTAGGCAGTGGGCCCCCAGGGCAGCCAAATGCCTGCAGGAGGGCTCAGTTCTGGCCCAGGTCCCAGGCCCACACCCTGGGGCTGGTGCTGCTCCAGGGCCCAGGGTCAGGCGGGACAGGACAGCAGGTCCCAGTGGAGCCTACAGGTTAGCAGGCGTGGTTCTATGTTAAGGGGCCAGGCAGGTGCCAGGGATCCAGCACTCCAGCTCCGAGCAGGGCAGGTGGAGGTCGGGATAGTTCTGGCCTTCCTGGAAGAGGGAGAGAAGAGGTATCAGCAGAAGGTGAGGGAGGGCAAAAGGGCAGATGGATTGCCACAGCGGCCAGACCACACAGGTGCTGCCACTGTCTCCTCTGCAGGGCAGGCATGGCCCTTCAGTGACCACCTGAGATGGGCTTGCTGAGTCTCCAGATGGGTATCCAAGCGCCAGGCCACATATGCCCCACTGAGGCCAGGGAGAGGCACCAGACAAAGAGCTGGGAGGTGTCCATGTCCTGTGCAGGGTGAGGCTATGGCCTACAGTCAGGTGCCTGGGAACATGAGGCAGCAAATGCGCTGGGCAGATCTATGGGCCCCACATCTAGGTGAGGATCCACAGACTCAGGCAGGGGTAAGTCAGCCACTTGCTGGGCCCAACCGATGAGACCTGACCTCGTGCACCTCAGTGATCTCATCTATGAAACAGGCTGGCCAAACCAGCTCCCAAGCCCCAAACTACTGCCACCTCTAAGTGGTTTAATCTGGTCTTGTTGGCCGGGTGCGGTGGCTCACGCCTGTAATCCCAGGACTTAGGGAGGCCGAGGCGGGTGGATCATGAGGTCAGGAGATCGAGACCATCCTGGCTAACACAGTGAAACCCCGTCTCTACTAAAAACACAAAAAATTAGCTGGGTGTGGTGGCGGGCGCCTGTAGTCCCAGCTGCTCAGGAGGCTGAGGCAGGAGAATGGCATGAACCCAGGAGGCAGAGGTTGCAGTGAGCCAAGATCACGCCACTGCACTCCAGCCTGGGCGACAGAGCAAGACTCCGTCTCAAAAACAAAACAAAACAAAACAAAACAAAACAAATCTGGTCTTGTCCTAACCACCACCTGTCACATGCAAGGGCTGAGGGGCTGGCCCTGCTTTTCTAATACCCAACCATGACACTGGTGTCTGTGTGAGCACCAGAAGTCCCCAATTGAGGCACTCCATGGAAGGCAGCCAGGTTTCAGAGAGTGCCATCACATGGGCCTGCCAGGGTCTCAGGTAGAAGACCAGGGCCAAATGGTACCCAGACGGGCTGAAGGGGGTGGACGTCACCAGTGGTGAGGACCAGGGCCCCACCCCTGCAGCACCTCATTTGATCAGGATGGCACAGGCGTGGGCCTCGTCTTCTGCCAGGTTCCTCAGGTTCTTCTCTGACTCCTCAGAGGAGCTGCGAGATGGGGATGGTGCTCAGGGGTGGGGGCGGGGGAGCCCCTGGCAGCCCTGGGGACGGAGGCCTAGGGGACAGGGCAGCCCCCCCTGTGGACCTGCCCACCAGCCTCACCCCAGGAAATCCTTCACATCTTCCACTGTGACGTCCCCTGTCGTGTCCAGCGTGGTGTCAGCACTGGTGGCTGAGTCGATGGACATGGGTGAGAGTGCAGCCTCGGGTGGCTCCGGGGTGTCTACAGGGAGCAAGTCATCAGCCCCTACCAGGACCCTTAGCACCCTCTGCACCTGGGGGCCTAGGGACACAGACCCATAAGGCAGCCCATGGTGAGGGGTGGCACCAGTGAGCACACAACCACCCATCTCCTACAGAAGCCTGCCCGATCCCTGAGCTATGTGAGTCCCGACTCCCTCCCCCAGGGCACCGTGGGGCCAGGGTCTGGACCCCTTTCATGCCCCCCTCACCAGGTCCCATGCTGTGGGCTGGATCAGGGCTTCCATCAAGGCTCTGTGGGGCCAGCAGGATGCTTGGGGTCCCGTTAGCCTGGCTCAGCTTGGGTGACTCTCGGATCCTGTAACTGCAGAGATGGGGCCATGATGGGGACCATAGGTGGATGACTTGAGGCTGGCACGCTAGATCCTTGCCCTCCCACTCCTGAGCCCAGGGAAGGCAGATCTCGGGGGTGGGATGAGACCTGGCCCTGGGCACAGGTCCCCCAGGCTAGGAGCTGCCCCTCCACACACCTGGCCTGGGTGGCATCGCGGGGCCAGTTAATGTCCAGAGAGCAGAGCGGCTCTGTGATGTTCCGGGCACTTAGGGAGAAGCGTTCAAATTCTGATGGGGATATCAGGTAAAAGCCTGGGTGGGCAGAAGAATGAGGAGTGCAGTTAGAAGATACCACCAACCACAGCTCCTCCGTGGCCTGGGCCTGTGCCCACCTGGAGTGCCCTTCCTGCTCCCAAGCAGTACTGGTCCCACTCAGTTCGCTCGCCTGAGGAAGGCCTCCTCGGCCTCTGCCCCGCCTCACCCTGGCCATGGCGCGTAAAGACGCACGAAGCGATGCCGCTGATGTCCTCCTTCCGGATGCAGGAATAGTGCACCTGGGGCCGCAGGCCAGGCACCGAGAAGACGTGGACGTCACCCAGGTTGGTGAGGCAGGCCAGGCAGGTCTCAGCATAGTCCTCGCAGGCCACACTGGCAAACGTGGCCAGTGCCACCTTGCGCACACGACAGCCCTCATGGGCCGTCAGCTTGAACTTGGTCTTCGCGCTCACCTTGGGCAGTGTGAACACCTGACAGCAGGTGGCTGGTGAGCACAAAGCCTGGCCCTGTCCTCGTCCCCAGGGCCCCTCACCCTCGTGGCTGCTGACCCAACAGCCCCCACCACAAAGCCCAGCTGCATGCTACGTGGCCTCCCGTGCCTGTACACCTGGCTGCCCCACTAAACTCCAGACTTCACACTGTACTCCAGAAACCTCCCAGGCCCTCTCTCGATCTGTGACAAAATCAATCACAGAGTTATGCCAAGGTTATGCAGCTGGTATCCCCATCAAACCTCGAGTTCTTTCGAGGCAGAGCCCCTGGGGACTGGGCTCAGGGGTCTGGGCCCAGTACAGGAGCCTTGTGTGGCACAGTGAGATAGGACTAGATTCCTGCCCTCCCAGGGGAACTCAGCAGGCTGAGGGGGCATCAGGGTTCTTGGGTAGGAGTTCTCTGCTGGCTGGGAGTGTTTTCTGGGGTGCAAGGGAATTAGGGTCCCAACAGTGGGGGATACAGGCAGGAAGGGTTTCTTGAGGGTCCAATGGTGTCCATGAGGTTGGGGCCTGGAGGGGAGTCCCCCAGAGTCCCCCACAGCCCACAGTGGCTCACCTTGAACTGCTCCTCAGATGCGATGAGCACAGCGTGACCACCCTGCATGTCAGGTGCCTGCGCCAGGTCCCGTGAGGCCTCGTAGGGCTCGGGCAGTGGGCGGCCACGCCCGTCCAACACGGCAATGGCCACCACAGGCGCCCGGTGCATCAGCTGCACCTCCTTGCCCAGCACGGCCTCCACCGCTTGCTCAGGCCGCTTCTCACCACCCACTGCTGCTGCCGGCACCTCCAGTGCATAGGCGAACACAGAGCCTGAGTTGGTGCCAGCCCACATGGTGGGCCCGTGGTGGGCCCCTGCAGAAAACAAGCGCGTAGGAGGGTGCTCCCTGTGGGCCAGGCATCTCCCCTGGGGTCTTCCCACAGACTGCAGGTCCCTCCCTGCCTCTCTTGTAGCCCTGCTTCCTAACTATGACACCCTGGGACTCAGGGCTGATTCCCTCCTGCCCCATGCCTCCCTGGTGACCTCCAGCCTCGAGGCCTGAGACCCCAGCTCTATGCTGCTGACTGCAGTCGGAGCCCAGGATGCAGCCCTCCTGCAGAGGCCCGAACAGCTGTAGCGCATCTGCACAGAATGCTGATGGGCACCCAAACCAGACCTCCAGCCCCATCCCACTGCACCCTCAGCCCCCATCTCAGTAAACGCAGCTCCATCCTAGCATCACTCAGGCCCCAAGCCCCACAAGACCCCGACTCCTCTCTCCACCCCTGCGTCCCCTTGCTAGTCCTGTCGACAGGTGTGCCTTGTCTTAGCCCTGCTTCACCCCCACTGTCTTCAGTGTGCTCCCTACGTGGCAGCCAGAGGAAGCCGCCAAGCCTGGGGACACCTAGGACGACCATCCATCGACCCTGCTCTGCCTGTGTGAACTGAACCTCTGGGTGACAAGCTTTAGTGGAGAATCAGAGCCCAGCCCAGCAGAAGCAAGAGCAGACTCGGCACCTGCTCCCTGATGACCCGATGGATCCTGAGGCATTAAGTGTCTGCACAACTCAAAACATGCCCAACAGGAACCCCAGCCGGCCATGAACATGAACCCATCGGCCTTCTCGGGCCAGTGGAACAAGTTAAAAACCCCAGGCTCTCCTCTTCTAGGTCTTTGTAGTCAAAAAAAACAAAAAGTCAAAGAACCCCCCACCCCCAGCTGCACCCGCCACATCCAGACAGTGAGAAAATCCACTGCACAAAGACCCTCGACAAATAAATGGCATCAGAAAGCTGAGCTCGTAGACCAAGCAGATGACACTCAGGAATTCACATTGGTTCTACAGGGCATGATGTGAGCAGTGGCTGTCAGTGACATCTGTCAGGAACATGCTGAAGTACTTGTATCTGGGTTTTCATTTAAAATACCCCGGCAAAAAAAACAGCAAAGAATGTGGAGGAGGGGGGCAGAATCCGCAGGGGCACATGGCTGGTGGCAGGCATGTGAGGTATGTGGGACAACTTTGCACCTCTCTATTTTTGTGTATGTTTGAAACTCTCCCATTGTACAAGTTCAAAATCAATCAGTGACTCAATCAACAAATCCAGGACCTTCCCAGGGCTCCCAGGCCACTGAGAATCAAAGCCAGGTCCTCAGCCTCTGGCCAGCAGCAGTATCTCCCTGAACCACACACCTCGACCCTCACCTGCTCCACTCCAGCCAAGTGGCTGGGCAGCTGCCCACACACATGCCCGGCTCGGGGCCTGGGCACTGGCTGGTGCCCCTCACCGTCATCCACCAGGCCTCAACCTCCCTTCTCCTGGCTCAGATCTGAGAGGCCCACCCAGCTCACTCAAAAATCCTTTACCATCCAGCTCCCCCAGAGAGACTGGGGGTGACCCAGCAGTCCCCCTGGGAGAGCTGGATGGTAAGCTTTTTTTCTGAGAAGGTCTCACTCTGTTGCACAGGCTGGAGTGCAGTGGTACGATCTCGGCTCACTGCAACCTCCGCCTCCCACGTTCAAGCAATTCTCCTGCCTCAGCCTCCCAAGTAGCTGGGATTACAGGCGCCCGCCACCACACCTGGCTAATTTTTGTATTTTTAGTAGAGACGAGGTTTCACCATGTTGGCCTGGCGGGTCTCAAACTCCTGACCTCAGGTGATCCGCCCACCTCGGCCTCCCAAAGTGCTGGGATCACTCACAGGCTTGAGCCACCGTGCCCAGCCACCTCCTGGAAGGTGCAGTCCCACCACCTCCCTTGCCACCACCCATCTCCCAGGTGGCCAATTGAGGCCAGCCCCCCCAACCCTTGCCCTGTCCCTGCCCCTGCCCCTGCCTTACCATCTCGAAGGAATGTGTCGGCAAAGTATAGGCAACGCACGACACCCGACAAGGAGTCATCGGCAGAGCGGGGCTCAATGCGGCGCTGCACGGGCGTCATCTCCACGTCGTGGGGGCAGGCCTGCTCAGCCAGCTGTGCATTGGCTTCCTGCAACTGCCGGGCGGGGGCTCCTGAACACTGTCTCCCTAGCACCCCAGTGGCTTGCATCCTGCTTTGCGCCCTACGTTCTGTTACCATTCCTCTACCACCCAGCTTAGTTCACCCATCCCTCTGGAGGGCCCAGGGGCTGCCGAGGGAGGAGCACTGAGCTAAGCAGGCCCCAGGGGTCCCAGGCCAGAGCCAGGCCAAGGCACAGGACACAGGCACAGCTCCTGTGCAGCCCACCCCAGCTCACCTTGCTGCTGGCATTAGCAGCCCGCTTCTTGCCAGAGACACGACTCTTGCGAATGCGCCGGAAAGACTGGCGCAGTGACTTCTTGAGAGACTTCACCCGGGAGAGCGGACCCTCCATGGCCAGGGAGTCATTGGGGTGAAGAGTGCACCTGGGGGAAGACAGGGTCCAGTCGTGCTATAGAGCAGCCTCCTGGGGCAGCCACCACACTCCTGCTGGCCTGTGGAGGCACCCAGGTCAGGGAGTCACAGCCCCTCTGGCGCAGTCCTATGGACCCAGCTGCAGGTGGTACTGAGAATGTCCTTCTTGGAGCTGCCAGGTTATTTCTTATAGGGCAATGGAGGTTAGTGGCCTTTGCCACACCAAACACTAGAGGTGGAAACGGAAGCCCAGACCCCATCTCGCTGGGGGCTCCAACTGCCCAGCCGGCCCCACCCCACACACCTGGCCAGCACAGGGCTCTTGCGCTGGTAGTCGAAGAGGCCAAAGCCATGACTGGTGCCAAAAGCCACGAGGCTCCACTCGGTGTGGAGTGTGACAGCGGTTACAGCAGCTGGCGGCAGGCACTGCACCAGGACACGGGGCTGGAAGCCAGCAGGCCAGGGCAGCGGCCCCGTGCGTGGGCTCAGCCGCTCGTGGCCCTTCCATGTGAAGCCCTCGCGGTCCTGGAGGAGGTCTATGATGGCCACGCTGACCGCCTGCTCCACCGGCACATCACTAAGCTCCAGTACCAGCACCTGAGCCCACAGCCAGGCAGGGGGAGCATCAGCGCAGGGGAGGGGCCGCCCTGGGCCCCACTCAGCCTGGAGCCTCTGAAGCAGCCCCAGCCACCACCAAGGTGGTTCTAGGACTGTCTTCAGTTCATCAGCTAAACAAGCACTCACTGAATGCCTACTGTATACCAAGGCCCTGGCTGAGCACAAGGAACACAGTGGTGACCAAGACACACTAGTCCCTGCCCTCTGAGGGCAAAGTGTCCACCCTTACCCTGAGCCTCTATCTCCCATTTAGCAATAAGGACACATTGAGCACCTCCTGTATGTCATGTGAGTGCCGGAGCACAGCACTGACATGAGTTCCCTCCTCTCAACACTGTGGTTCCCCCAGCGACAGGCCCACTTCCCATCTGTCCTCACCCCAGCCAGCCCCACCCAGAGCCCTATTCCCACCTTGGCTTTTGCCTGTGCCAGTCCATCTCCCTTTCCACCAGACCCTCCAGCTCATCTCTTCCAGAAAGCCCTCCCTGACATCTCCAACCCAGGGGACACCCAGCCCTACCTGGCCTGCAGTGCCAGCCACCACCATCTGGGCTGTATACTTGCAGAGAGCAACCTTCTGCACGCCAAGCCGGGGATCGTCACTGTAGGGATCGAAGCAGCCCACCTAGAGGGATGGGAAGGAGTAATGAGTCCAGGCGGGGTCAGGACCAGCTCATCAGGGCCAGGGGAGGGGCCCACCTTGCGGAAGGGTGGCCAGTCGTCCTCGGCAGCCTGGGCCAGGCTGTCAGCGTGCTCACAGTCTGTCTGGAAGAGGCCAGCTGTGCTCAGCTTATAGAGCGGCCGCAGCGCCACACCCGAGGCATCCCAGAACCTCACGGTGCCGTCCTCATGGCTGCAGGGAGGGCAGATGTCAGGGCTACCCGAGTTCCTGGGAGGCCTGCACGCCCCTCCATTCACTCATCTGATAACCACTCACTAAGCACCTACTGCACGTGCCAAACACTGACCGGAATCCTACTTTTACAAAAAACAATAGGCACCTACTGTAGACAGCACAGGTACACTGTGCACCTGTTATAGGCCAGGCCACATGCACCATATGCACCTGGAGCCTTTAAACCAAACAAGGTGGAAATGACCACCCTGATTAACAGGAGGTGGCAAAGGGGGACATGTAGAGAACAGAGGACTTTGGGGGTTCTGCCTGCACTGGAGCAGCCATCAGAGGTGATCAAGAGTAAGGCAGTCACAGAACAGAGCATGGGGCATCCCGGGGGAGGAGCTGCATGGGGCCCAAGGCAGCCACGTAGGTGGAGGAGCAGGAAGACTACAGAGGCCGGGAGAAAGCAGGGAGGGGGCAGGGGAAGGAGTAGACAAATCTAGGGCGCAGCCTTGGGACACAGCTGCAGAGTCCAAGCAGGGCCCCAGGCGGTGGTGAAAGCCCAGAGCCAGGGCGTGAGAGGTGTGTGACTGTGGGGGTGGTTGAGACTCATTCCAGCAGCCCTGAAAGCCACGGCAAGCTCTTCAGCAGGGAAGGGCACACCAGAGTCAGAGGCCTGAGGGTCCCAGCACAGGCGGGAGTGGGGGCAGGGCAGGAAGTTGAGACCTGAGTCACTGGGCACGTCAGCGCCCGCCAGGCCCACGCTGGGCTCTCTGGCACCTTCCCTGGGCAGCTCAGCGTGGGCCAGCCCAGATTTTCCAGTCCCAGGGCAGGCAGGCTGGGCGGGTGGAGCCCTGGGGTTTGGTAGAGCTCAGTTCCAGGCCAAAAGGCAGATCAGGGCAGCACCTTGAACCAAGGTCCAGGGAGGTTTCATTCCAAACCACCTTGGGCAAGGAGGAACTACCTGGTCCCACCAGGGGCCAGGCCTGAGTCTCCTGGCACCTCTGCACCCACCAGGCCCAGGATGGGCTCTCCCCCAACAGCAAGGGGCCCACTCACCCACATAAGCACGCACACCTACCCCGTCAGCAGCAGCCCTCGCTGTGACGGCTCCTGGGCCAGGTTTCGGCCCCCAGTGATGGGCCAGCTCTGGGAGGGGGTGGCAGAGATGTATGCACAAGGTTAGGACGAACATCTTCTCCCTCTCACCCCGAGTATGGCACATTCTGACCTCCGGGCTTAGAACTGAAACTCTCCCCCTCCTCAAGACTCCACCCTGTAAGACCCCCCTGATCGCCGCACACACCAAGGCACTGGAGACAGGCTGGGGGCTCTGCTGCTCGCCAGCGCTCACAATGCGGGCCCACAGCTTGGCGGGGACACTGGCCACGTGGGCCGAGCAAGTGATTGCAGAGGAGTGCAGCGGGGCCAGGTATGGGGCAGGCACAGCTGGCCAGCCAGGAGTCTGCAGGTCCAGCACCACCAGCTCCTCTTCCAGCAGCACAGCCAGGGCCTGGGGGTCATCAAATTCTGTGGGACGGAGGGAGTATGGGGTGAGCACAGCCATAGGTGGCAGAGGGCACCAGGTGGGGCTGGGAAAGGGTAGGGTACGGCAGGGCACGCACCATCCTCGGGCCGTGTGCTGTGCACTGTGAAGAAGTCGATGATGCGGGAAGTGAAGTCCAGCGTCACCAATGTCTCGGCTCGAAGCACACTTACACAGTGGCGGTCACCATAGCTGGCACGGGGCATGCCACCGCTGAAGATGATAAAGTGGCCCCTATGTGCAGAGGGAGGTGTGCGAGCCATGAACCACTTGGGTCCAGAGCACATACTGCACAACCTAGGGAGAGCCCACCCTTCCAGCCCCCTAGCCAGACCCAACTCACATCGGACACCCACTCCCTCGACCTACCCAGATTCACAGTTCCGCCACAGAATCTTGTTAATGGCCTTGCAGGGAAAGGGGCCTGAGGGGTGGGACAGCGTCAGACCAGACTCACTGGTGGTTCTTAGCAATTCTGCCATTCCTGCTCTGCCCTCCACTGCTCTCTACCTTACAGCTGCCTCCTGCCTCCCCGGGAAGTCGGCGGGAGACACACTGCCCCCAGACCACCCCCTCGGGGAAGTCCCTCCTCAGCCAGTTTGGCTTGGCTCAGTGGTGCCCCCTCCCATCACCACCCTCTGGCTAAGGTGTCCCCAGCACTCACCGTAAGGTGTGGTGGCTACCGTGGGCTGCAGCGTTGGGAAGCTGCCGGCATCCACAGACCAGACAGCATAGCTGCCATCGCTGTGTGAGCTGACCACAGTGCTGCTATCACGCCCCCAGCATAGGCTCTCCAGCTGCTGCGGGCAGGCAGGGGCAGGCAGGCAGGCAGGCATGAGCCATGGTGGGCATGCACAAGGGGCCCAGGCTGAGGGGACACAGGCCTCACCTACATACCTGGTTCCCCAGGAAGATGTGGTCCACACACTGCGAGGCCTGGTTCCAGATGACCAGCAGGCCCCGGCTGTAGCCAATGAGAATCTTTGTGGGGTCCCGCAGGTGTCCCTGGAGTGACTCCACGGGGCCCAGTGCCTTCCCACAGCGGTAGTCGTCTGGCACGCTGTGGAGGAAGGCAGGTGAGCCAGCAGAACTTCCCGGGCACACAGTGGGTGCTGGGAAGCCCACCGGCCTCTTACCTGCGCAGAACCTCGCCTGGGGCAAGCGTCTGCCCCTCGAGCAGGGTCAGGGTGGTAACATCCAGGAAGAAGACACTGCTGCCCTCAGTGCCCAGGGCTGCTATGTCGCTGGCAGCCACCAGCAGGACCACTGTGACTCGGGTAAGGCTGAGCGGAGCACTGCAGGGAACAAGGGGAAGGGAGTGAGGGTACAAGCCCATCCACCTGCTCAGGTGGGGTGTGAGGGGCTGGGCCACTGCTGATAACTCATCACTGGCCCCACAGCACTCACCAGGGCCTACTTACAGAGCCACCCCAGGAAGACATGCATCATCATCAGCCCGCTCAATTATTCATCAGGATGTCAGCAGGGAGATGGATAAAAATAGGGTCCCTAGGTCTTGCAGACTGGGCTCCCAGCTCCTCCCACCCACCAGGAGAGGACAGCAGGAACCAGGGCACTGCCCAAGCCAGGACCAGGAGCTCCCCGCTGAGCCCCTCCTAGGAATCCCGCTGCCAGCGCTCAGACATCTCCTGACTTCGCAGGAGGGCCCCAGATACCCCCATCTGCAGAAGCTGGGAGGCATCAGGAATCCATCCCTGGGTTGGTACTCCCCTTTTCCAGCTATTTCAGGCAGGGCTGGGGAGAGAGATGCCCCACACTCTCACTCAGCTGGGGCATGCTGCCAGCGCCTTACCAAGCACAGCCCATGGGACCCTCCTTGCCCTCAACCCTGCCTATGCACAGAAAGGCCTGTCTCCCACCCACAACTGAAGAGGCCAGGGGACCCTTCCTGTTACTAACTGGCTTAGGCCCTGCCCCAAACCCCTAGACACCCCCATCATTGCAGTAAGTGTAGTGCCAGGCCTCAGGTCCTAGAAGTTTGGCATATAATGCATGTACCTCCTGCTGCTCACAATGTTAATTACCTGCTCACGTCGGACTCAACCCAAACCTCCCATTTAACCTGAAAAGTTCAGAGTATACCTCAGTAAAGCAGGGTCCAACAGCTGCAGCCTGGGACCCAGGCCCAGCTCAAGGCATCCCGCCCTGAACCGCTGCCCATCTCCATGCTGCCTTTGCACAGCAGGTTCCCACAGCCTCCCCCAGATCCTCCCTGCCCGGTGGCTGGCCCCAGCCAAGTTCTCCAGTACCTGGCACCATCAAAGCCGGGCCGGCTGGGCAGCTGGAAACTGAGTGCTTCTTCCAGGTGGGCACAGCCATTATGGTGGACAATCTCCCAGAGATGCAGACTGCTGTCATCAAGCAGGGACAGGAGGCGGCCCTGGTGTGTGAGCAGAGATGAAAACTAGGCTGGCCTAGGGGGATGAGTAGATATGGGGGCCACAGGGAGCTGGCTAGTGGGAAGCAGAGGCTCACCTGGCCGGTCAAGAAGTGCATCTGTGTGACAGTGGCTGCATCCCGGTGCAGGCCTGTGAACTCCACGCCAGGTGCACCATAGCTGAGGGTGGCAGGTCAAGGTGGAAATAGGCATAGACCAGCAAACCACAGTGAGGAAGACACCCAAGGCTCCTCCTTGACCCGGACTATTCCAGTGGGCCCCGGCATGGGCCTGACCATCCAGGAGTCCTCCCTGAAGAACGGAGGCCCCCTCCCTAAAGCTCCCACTCTGCACCCCTACAGTATCCCCAAGATCAGTGTGCAGGCTCCACTCACTCCTGCAAGTCAGGTGCTGCTATAGGACCTTCACTTCCCGTAAATTGGGCCAGTGACTCCCACTTTACAGGACTGTTGCAGATCAAGTGAGAATAAACACACCCAGCAGGCTTGGCCTCAGCCTGGTGAGAGGATGGGGCTCCGCTCCACTTCAGCTCCGTGTGTCTATGGGTTCTGGGAGCTGCGCCTTGCCGGATGGGATCAGGCAGGCCAGAGGTGCAAGGCCAGGCCTGGACAAGAAAGCCAGGGGGCAGAAGAGTCCAGGCTGCCTTTTCCCACAGCTTCAGGCCAAACTTCAGCCATGGGTAAGAAAACCCACCTCCTCTGGGCACGGTGGCTCGCTCCTGTAATCCCAGCACTTTGGGAGGCCGAGGCAGGTAGATCACAAGGTCAGGAGTTGAGGACCAGCCTGGCCAAGATGGTGAAACCTCGTCTCTACTAAAAACGCAAAAATTAGCCGGGCATGCTGGCAGGCACCTGTAATCCCAGCTATTTGGGAGGCTGAGGCAGAGAACTGCTTGAACCCGGGAGGCAAAGGTTGCAGTGAGCCAAAACTGTGCGACTGCACTCCAGCCTGGGCAACAAAGAGCAAGACTCCATCTCAAAAAAACAAAACAAAACAAAAAAAACCCACCTCCCTCCAAAGCAGGCAGCCAACAACTGCCATCATGAGGGAGGAGAGACTCCAGCCTGCCCATTTCACAGATGAGCACACAGACTTGGAGGGGGTGGATGACCTGCTTGAAGTGCCCAGTGTCAGTGCCTGAGTCCCGGCAACTCCAGGGCTGATGGTGGACAGCAGGGCCTGAGGGGGCCCCATGACAGAGGGTGCAGGGAGGAGTCAGCAACGTTGCCCCGGTGACAACACAGGAGCCGTTGCCTGGAGCTTGAGCTCAGATTCCCTACAGGAGCCTGGCGAGAAACTCCGAAGAAGGGACAAAAGAGGGGACAGGAGCAGCTGGGCGGGAACCAGGGTCGTCAAGGAGATGGGGCTGGCCTGGCAGGGGGAGGGGCAGCTTCTAGTGACCAGGGCTGGCCCTCTCCAGCCTCAGTTTCCCAACCCAAGGGGCTCCAGGCAGTGGCAGTCAGGGGAAAAAGGGAAGAGGACCCCGGGCTCCAGCCTCCTTTCTGAGGCTCAGTCTCCTCATCTGCACTTCAGGTTCTTTTTGAGCCTGAGGACAAGTGCACTGGAGACCCCAACACAGGAGGGACACCTGAAGGCTGCAGGGACACATGTGCGCACGCAGCGCAGCACCCACAGGAGTGGGAGCAGCAGGCCAGGCAGCGGAGCATGTGGGGCCCAGAGCACTGCCACACTCACCAACAGAGGCCGCTGGGGCCATGGGAGAGAAGGGGACATCTCAGCCCATCCACACTCCCCAGAGTAGGCAAAGAGCTCACAAACCACAGGCTCAGAGTCCCATCCCTGCCTGATCAGTGCCCCCAGTCCTGGGGTGAGGAGACCCCCATCCCACACCCTCCCCTTTCCCAGCACTGACACATTTTCTGGGAACTGATGTCTGAAACCAGGATACTGAAACCCAGAAGGCCACACAGGAGGGGTAGGGGTCAGCACCCCTCACCAAGCCGCCATCAGCCAGACCCTGGCACCTCGGCTTCCCCAAGAGCAGTTGGGGTGGGATTCTCCAGGGCTGGCAAGGAGACACTGAGCTGCCGGCCTGCCCCCACCCCCACCCCAGGCCTGCAGGGAAAATGCCCGCTTTGTGTGGCTCACACAGCCCATTGTGCAGCAGCCAGTATCCAGGTGGGGGCCGTGCTGTGCTCACCATGCCGAGCCTGGCACTGCCCCCAGGCCCCTTTGCTGAACACATGTGTCTTCACATTCACACATGTGTGCATCAGCTCACCAGGGCCCCCAGCCCACCTGCCACCCTCCATGGGTATCATAGCCCAGCCTTCTGCCTGGCCTCCCCAGAGTTGCTGGGACGATGGCAGGGTCGCCTAGGTAACTGGCTGGCTGACACGTAGCAAGGGACAGCTGTGCTACTGCAAACTGACCCCCCACCACCCGTCTCTCAGCAAAAGGACCCCATCATCTCTGCACAGTTGTCTCAGGTACAGAAGCCACGCCAACCTCCGCAGAAGCCCCCACTACTGCCCATCAGAGCACCTCTGTCCTCCTCTCGAGCTGGACACTGCCAAGACTGGGACCCCAGAGCACAGGGAACTACAGGCAGGTGGTCCTGAACAGACCCTGAACACCTGTCCTGCAAAGGATACATCTTGACAGCCCCAGACCTGGTGCCGATGGCCATGATGCGAAGTTCCGGGTCGAAGGCCAGGGCGCTGGGCTGATTGGGGAAGCCATGCTCCACAGTCTGCAAGGAGGGGAGGGCTGCTGGGGGTAAGCACTCCCAGGCACCTCTGCCATGGCCCACCCTGAGGCCCACCCCAAGGCAGCCTCCAGGGTCTGCAGCTGACACACTGGGGGTAGGAGGCAGGTCTACTTGCTCTGTGCCTCAGCGTCCTCAACTGTGAAATGGGTTATCATGCCTCCAGTTGGTGGGGAGGTGGCTAAACCCCTAGCCTCCACCATGACTGTACCGCGTGCATAGTCCACAGAGGCCCGCCCTTTGCCAAGCCCCTGTGCCCCTCAATGCACACAGGCTCATGTGGGCCCCACTGCATGGAGGCTCCAGCAACAAACAGGTGAAGCAAGGCTCACAGAGGTGCAGGCACTGATGAGGCCCCACCTGCTCCATGAAGGGCTCTGCACCCCATTTTTAGAGGCACAGACTAAAGCTTGCGGAGGAGTCCCGCAAGATGACCATGACACTCCCCAAACACAGGCCTGAGTGGAGGTCAGAGGTCAAGGGACAACATCCAGGATCAGCTAGGCAGAGGCTTTTGACTCCTCCCAGACACAGGGAGACAGAGGCCCAGAGAGGGGTAGCTTTCTGCCTGGACCCCGAAGGCATCCTCCCACCTCCCCACCTGCCAACAGCTGGGCAACATGACTCCCATAACCATCAGGGGCGGAGATGGTGTTAAGGGGGTCTGTGTGCCCAGAGTGTCGATGAAACAGCTCCCCACCCGCTCCCCTGCCCCTTTCACAGCACACCCTTTCTGCACCAGTCTCCTGTCTTTGGCCTGGCTGTGCCCTCCCTGGGAAGCCTGCACAGCTGAGCTCCAGCCCCATCCTGAACACCAGTGCAGGACACCCACGTGGGCCACTGGTAACTCCTTTTATCTTGTTGTTGTTATTTATTTTTCACTTTTACCACTGGTAATTCCTGACCCACTGCCTCAGGAAGATGCACATTTGTAAGAAACCCCAGTTCCCAGCCTGTAACGCGAACCTCCCTCCCTGCCTGCCTCTGCCCATCCAGGTGGGGACTGAGCCCTCTGGGCAGCTGGTTTGGTCACGGCCTAGCTGTCTGGCCTTGGGCAAGTCACAGTACTCTCCAAGACTCAGTACTCTCCAAGCTTCAGTCTCTCATCTGGGCCCTTGGGACAGTAAGCCCACCTAAGGACAGAGTTGGCGATTTGGCTGGGGCTTCTCTCTCCCACCAATAATACCACGCCCTTGCTGCACCTGACCTTGTCTAGCCAGTCCCTCGCTACAACCAGGGTCCAGAGACGGGACACTGCATCGCAAATCCCCACAGCCTTCCCATTTTACAAACGAGGAAAGGAGGTTACATGCACTGTCCAGCATCTGCTTCCCTCATACCCCACGTCCAGTCCATTTCTGAGCCCCATCAACTCAGTTTCAAAACACACAGAAGTCACCTCCCTCCCTGCTCCAGGCCCCACCGTCACGTGCCTGGATTGGTACTCACTACAGTCTGTTCCCACAGAGGCCAGAGGGATCCTATGAAAGCCACAGCCAGATCCTTGTCCCTCCCCTGCTCAGGATCCTCCTGGGGCTCCCAGCTAAGGGAGGCTTGTGCCTCAGGGCCTTTGCACCTACTGCCCCTCTGCCTGGAACGCACTTCCTCCAGCACTTCCTGTCGCTCAGGAGTAATCTCCTCAGAGAAGCCTCCCAAGGCCACCCTGGCTGCAGCAGCCGCCCTGGCCACACCTCTCACCCCCTCGCCCTACTTTATTTGATCCACAGCACTGGCTACCATCCCAACTACAGTCTATTTTACTTTTTTGTTTTGGCTTTTCACTGTCTCCTGCACAACTATATCAGCCACCTGAGTTAACAGGTATTTGTCCTTTTTGGTAACTACTGTTGTCCCCAGCACCTTGGAGACCTCACACACAGTGGGGCTCAGTATTAACAGAGAAGGCACATTCCACAGGCGATGTGTGGGCTGGACTGGGATTTGAACCCAAGACTCAGAGTCCAAAGTCCCTGCTCACTCCTGACCTGTCTCCCACCCCCTAAGCTCAGGAATCAGGGGCCTATTCCCTAGCGATCACCTATTACCCACTTAGGTGACTAAGTCCCTTCCCCAAGACCACCCCACTTTCCACCACTGCTGCCCACGCTTCATCCTCAGCGGAGGGCCCTTACTTTCCGCCACCCCAAGGCTAGCCAGAGTGGGCTGAGCTTCACCCCCATCTGTCTCCAGCCCCCACTGCACACCCCAATTCACTGGCTGAAGAAATGACATTTAGGCCAGGCATGGCAGCTCATGTCTGTAATCCTAGCACTTTGGGAAGCCAACATGGATGGATAGATAGCTTGAACCCAGGAGTTCGAGACCAGCCTGGGCAACATGGTGAAACCCCATCTCTACAAAAAATACAAAAACTAGCCGGGCATGGTGACACGAGCCTGTAGTCCCAGCTTCAGGAGGCTGAGATGGGAGGATCACCTGAGCCAGGGAGTTGTGAGGCTGCAGTGGACTGTGATTGTGCCACTGCACTCCAGCCTGGGTGAGAGTGAGACCCCATTTCAAAAAAAAAAAAGTGACATTTAGCCCTGTGCCTGTTGCTGCCTTTCCCTGAAGGGCCATTCTCCTCTCACCTCACCCTCACAGCCTCCCCGGCACAGAAAATAGGTGCCATCTGGGGACCACGGAGCACCAGCTTCCCTTCTGGGCCCCTCTCAGGTTCCTAGCAGGTTCTCAGCCACCGTGTGAGGGTCCTGGCAGCTCTCATCGGCAATCACTGCAGACCTAGGCAGGGAAACCCTGAGACATCCCAGTGCCTCCACTACTCCAGGTCCAGCCGTCCCAGAGCCTCCTCCAAGACAAGTGTCTCCTCAAGGCAGCCCAGGGCGCCTGGCACAACACTGGCCCAGGACCACAGCAGCCCCTTGGAAAAATCCCTGCCCCTCAAGGCTAAAATCCAACCCCACTGACACAAGAACTCAAGAAAGATATTGGTGCAGCTCACTCTGACTCCGGGCAAGCCGTCACCCCTCTCAGAACCTCAATTTTCTCACCTGTATTTTGAAGATAACTCTAATTTCGAAGAGCACTGAGAGGCTCTGCCATCAGTGGGCTCTGGGGTAAGAATGAGGACAAAACCAACGTCCCCAGAGCAGTGAGCCAGGAGTGGGCTGAGGCCCTGCTCTAACATCAGTGCAGAGGGAGGCGGGGGCTGAGGCGGCCCCTTTCCCTGGCCCCTAGTGTCCCACTCCGGGAAAGGAAGGAAAAGCCTCCACCTCACTCCACCTTGGTGCAGAAAGGCAGGACAGCTGGCCCATGTGGCAGAGGGAGCCAGGGCCCACAGTATGGAGAAAAGTAGCCTCATTTCACAGCTAGGGAAACTGAGGCCCCACGATGCGAAGTGCAGTGTAGTACACAGCCAGGCATGTCCCCTGGACTCGGAGCCCCGGGCAGGGCAGAGCAGGGCAAGGCAGAGCCTGGAGCAGTGGGGGAAGGAAGGAGAGGCTCCTTGAAGGGATTTCCCAGCCGCACCCCCCACAGCTGCCTCGCCCCCACTAACTCTCTCACCCTCCTGGGTGCCAAAGCACAAAACAAACCGGGCCCCAGGGCTGTCCCAAGGGCCGAGCAGGGACGCAATGGAGCCCCTAAGAAAAAGGATAAAGAGACAGAAGTGAGCGACAGAGGTCGAGAGACTCCACAGAGACAGAGAGAGAGACACGCAGGGAGAGACAGGCAAAGAAGACTCAGAGACGCACAGGCAGCAAGAGAAATGAGAGGCAGAGAGATAAAGGGAGACAGGCAGAGATAGGAAGGGGCAGAGGCAGAGACACCCCCACCACACACACAGGCACAACTGGGGCGAGACAGCCGGTCAGCGGCGGAGAAAGAGGGACAGAGACCCAGAGACAGGCAAAGAGTCTCAGAGACAGACCCCCACACACACAGACTGGCAGAGCCAGGGCCAGAGCGGCCCGCAGAGACTCGGGGAGCAGACACGGAAAGTCGGCCGGAGACCCAGACCCACCCAGAGTCCGAGCCAGAGCGGGGCCCGCCGAGGGGGTGCGCGGCCCGGCCCGGCCCCGCCCCGCGCCGCGCTGCATGCCAGCCCCCGCCCCCCGGGCCCGACGTGGCTCCGACCCCGGGCCCCCAGCCCAGGCCCCCGTCCCGCCCCCTCCCGCCCGAGCCCGGGCCCGGGCCGCCGCCGCACCTTGTTGAAGGCGAAAAGCTCCTGCTTGAGCTTCTCGCGCTGCGGGTCGGCGCCCTGCCGCCGGAACCGAAACTTCATCATCTTGCGCCCGGCTGCAGGCGCCTCGCCCGCCGCCGCCGCCCGCAGGATGCGCCGCGCGGCCCCGCGGGTCCTAAGGCGCGGGCGGGGCGCCAGGCGGCCCGGGCGCGGGCGCGCGGGGCCGGGCCTGCACGGGGGTGGGCGCCGGGCGCGACGGACGCGCCGCCCGACCAGTGAGCGAGCCCGCCGTGCCGCCCGCCCCGCCCCTGTTGGCCAGACAATGGTGAACTGGGCCCCCGGGCTCGGCCGGGCTCGCGAAGGGACGCCCGCCTAGCATGCGCCGCGGCGCGGGGCCTGCCGGGACTTGTAGTCCATGAGCCGGGGCTCCAGCGCGGGCGGCTGGGGAAGCGCTTTGGAGGGGGATTGGCGCACGTTCCCGGGCTTGGAGGAGACTTTTTCCTCCTCCCAGAGAGCGAGCGACGTGCCCACTCATGTAATGGGGCAGCCCTGTTCCGAAAGCCAAGACAGCTCTGACTGGAACAACTCCCTGGCCCCTCTGCGCCTCAGTTTCCCCATCTACACCATTGGTCAAGTGATTGCCAAGTTTATATTTTACCAATTTCACAGAACTCCATTTCGTCTGTTCCCCGCTCTGTCAGAGCACCTCCCACCGCCGTGCTTTTGCCTTGGCTTTGTAGTCAGGAATTCTTTCCTCACCCCCAGCCCCTGGGGAACTCCTACACATCTTTCAGGACCCAACGCAAAAGGCTCTGTGTCACAGCACAGGGGATTCTTTCTTAGCCAAAGAAAGAGACGGGATCCCCAGGAGGTGGCATTTGGGACTGTTCTGGGGTTGGATTGGAGCTTTACGGAGATGGGGGAAGGACCTCCCCCCGCAGAGAACAGCGTCTGAACAAAGCTTAGCCCTGCCCCTACTCTCAGGGGCCGTCTGCCTGTCCCCACCCACCTCCCAGGCCTTTTCTCATCTGGACAATGGCCTCGAGGCTGAACCTTTCCTTCCAGGCTGAGGATAGGCCGCCTGGCTCAGGGCTGGGGCTGCGGGAGGTCCTAGAAGCTTAGGTGGGGCAGGTAGGACAGGCCCCAACCCCACCAGCTGTGTCCAGGGAGCAGGAGCTGACCTCTGAGCCCGAGGCGGCTGCCAAGCCTTGGGGCCTGGCTGTCCCCCTCCACCCACGCCAGGCCGGCGGTGTTCAGCCCTTCCCCGTATTTGGGGCTGGATCCGGAAGAGGGCCCAGGAGTGAGTGAGGAGGTGAGAGGAGGGAGAATGACGACAGTAAAGCCCCTAAGTGTCTACTGCGGGGCAGGCGCTGTTCAAAGCCCTTTCCTGGTTTCAGCTGACTTAGTGCTGTCAGTAGCTCTACGAGGGAGCCAACAATATTACCCATCCCAAATGAGGAAGCTGAGACCATCAGCCAAAGGCTGTTAGTTGTTGGCAGAGCTGCTGGACTGAGGAGGATGAGACCCCTTTGGCCACTGGCCACGCCACACCAGCACAGGCAGCAGGGACAGCTCAGAGGTCTGGGTTCTGGTCCCTGCCCTGCCTCACACAGGAAGTGTTAAGAAGTTGCTGGCTGGGCGCGGTGGCTCATGCCTGTAGTCCTAGCACTTTGGGAGGCCTTGGAGGGAGGATCTCTTGACCCCAGGAGTTTGAGACCTGACTGAGCAGTAGGGTGAGATCTCATCTCTACAGAAAAAAAATAAATAAATATTTTTTTAATTAGCTGGGCATGGTGGCCCAGCTGTAAATTCCAGCTACTCAGGAGGTTGAGGCAGGAGGATGGCTTGAGCCCAGGAGGTTGAGGCTGCTGTGAGCTGTGATCGTGCCACTGCACTCCAGCCTGGGCAACAGAGCAAGACCATCTCGAAAAAAAGGCCAGGAGCAGTGGCTCACACCTGTAATCCCAGCGCTTTGGGAGGCTGAGGCGGGCAAATCACTTGAGGTCAGGAGTTTGGGAAAAACCCAGTCTCTACTAAAAATACAAAAAATAGCCGGGCATGGTGGCAGGTGCCTGTAGTCCCAGCTACTTAGGAGGCTGAGGCAGGAGAATCGCTTGAACCCAGGAGGTGGAGCTTTCAGTGAGCCGAGATCATTTGCTCTCCAGCCTGGGCAACAAGCGTGATAAATGAAAAAAACAAACAAACAAACAAAAAAAAAACGTTGATTCACATTCCCACTTTACCATTTGGAAGCTATGTGACCTGGAACAAGTTACCTCAAATTCTCTGTGCCTCAGTTTCCTCATCAGTAAAAATGGTGATAATATTAGTATTTACCTCAAAGGGTTGTTGTGGAGATTAAATGTGTCAGGGTAATATGAACCAGAGCAACTCCATCTTGAATAGGAGGTGGGTAAAATGAGGCTGAGACCTACTGGGCTGCATTCCCAGATGGTTAAGGCATTCTAAGTCACAGGATGAGCTAGGAGGGGGTCGGCACAAAATACAGGTCATAAAGACGTTGCTGATAGAACAGATTGCAGTAAAGAAGCTGGCCAAAACCCACCAAAACCAAGATGGCCACGAGAATGACCTCTGGACATCCTCACTGCTACACTCCCATTAGCGCCATGACAGTTTACAAATGTCATGGCAACGTCATGAAGTTACTCTATATGGTCTAAAAAGGGGAGATATGAATAATCCACGTTTAGCATATCATCAGGAAATGACCACAAAAATAGGCAACTTGGCCGGGCACGGTGGCTCACGCCTGTAATCCTGGCACTCTGGGAAGCCGAGGTAGGTGGATCACCTGAGGTCAGGAGTTTGAGACCAGCCTGACCAACATGGAGGAACCCCATCTCTACTAAAAATACCAAATTAGCCGGGCATGGTGGCACATGCCTGTAATCCCAGCTACTCGGGAGGCTGAGGCAGGAAAATTGCTTGAACCCGGCGGGCGGAGGTTTCAGTGAGCCGAGATTGCACCACTGCACTCCAGCCTAGGCAACAAGAGTGAAAATCCATCTCAAAAAAACAAAGGACAACTCTGCCTATGGAGTAGCCTTTTTTTCCTTTTTCTTTTCTTTTTTCTTTTTTTTTTTTTGAGATGGAGTCTTGCTGTGTTACCCAGATTGCAGTACAGTAGCACTATCTTGGCTCACTGCAGCCTCTGCCTCCCAGGTTCAAGTGATTCTCCTGCCTCAGCCTCCCAAGTAGCTCGGACTATAGGCATGCGCCACCACACTCAGCTAATTTTTGTATTTTTAGTAGAGACCGGGTTTCACCATGTTGACCAGGCTGGTCTTGAACTCCTGACCTCAGATGATCCGCCTGCCTTGGCCTCCCAAAGTGCTGGGATTACAGGCATGAGCCGTTGCACCCGACACCCAATCTCCATTTTTCTTTTTCTTTTTCTTTTTTTTGAGACAGAGAGACAGAGTTTCACTCGGTCGCCCAGGCTGGAGTGCAGTGGTACAATCTCAGCTCACTGCAACCTTTGCCTCCCAGGTTCAAGCGATTCTCCTGCCTCAGCCTCCTGAGTAGCTGGGACTATAGGTCTGTGCCACCATGCCCAGCTAATTTTTTGTATTTTTAGCAGAGACGGGTTTTCACCGTGTTAACCAGGATGGTCTCGATCTCCTGACCTCGTGATCTGCCTGCCTTGGCCTCCCAAAGTGCTGGGATTACAGGTGTGAGCCACCGCACCCAGCCAGCAGTCCCCATTTTTCAATGGGACTTGGTTATTAGGCAGTAAGCAGCCATGCCTTTCCCAACCCCTATCTCACAGTTTTTTGGGGAGCAGGGCAACAGAACTGAGTCGAGACCACAGCTAACCATAGCTCACCGTCCTATGATGGGGCATGCACTGGGGCTGTGGGAGCCCAGAAGAGGCATCTGGCCCAGGGTCAGTGTCCTGCTGGGAGAGGACAGTGCACATGGGTTGTAATGGGTAAGGAGTGTACCTAGTGGAAGGAGCCAGGGGATAGGCAGGGAAGAGTCTCATGGCAAACGGATTCGCAAAGTGTCAGTACCCCCACCCCACAACACACACACACTTGTTAATTCAGATTCTAGGTCCTGCAAATGTGAATGACAGGCGAGTGGGGCCCCAGAATCTGGATTTTAAACCAGCTCCTTTCCCAAATGACCCTGAGGCCTAGCTTGGCCCCATCTGATCAGGTTAAGAGGGGTCAAATGGGTATACAGATACAAATGGGTAAACTGAGGCCTGGGCATGTAGGCCCAGCCTACCCATACCATCAGGCAGGGTTCAGAAATGGCACTAGAGAGGGCACCATCTCCCAGGCTGGGAGGGTCTGGGACACTAATGACTGTTTTTCTGTCCCCTCCCCCGCAAGTCAGGGCAGCCCAGGCCTATGATTACCACAGCAGCCCCAGGGGGCAGAGATTGGCACAGATGGCCATGCCAAGTCAGCTCATTGCTAGAACAAGAAACTGAGGGTCAGGGGAGCCCAGACAAACAACTGAACACAGGGTCCCGGTCATCTCAGGTGCCCACCCATCCTTGGAGCTGGGGGAGGCAGGAGGGTTCCTGAGTCAGCAGCACTGGCAGGGGAAGCTGGTTCTTCCTTCAGCCTCCCAGCCTCAGGTCAATCTCAGGCTAGGGGGGGGCTGCCTTCTCGGCATTTCCTTGGTGGGGTGTCCCCCTCCTCTCACCTCCTCCTAGGCTCCCATAGGGCTCTCACCCAGCTCTGGAGTCCGCCTTCAAATCCCAAGACATCCCCTTGCTCATTGGGTGACCTCAGCTAAACCATGAGTCCACCCTGGGCCTCAATTTCCTCATCTGTAAAATGCAGTAAGGACTAAATGAGATGACTCAAAACAAGATTTGAGGCCGGGCGCGGTGACTCACGCCTGTAATCCCAGCACTTTGGGAGGCCGAGGAGGGCAGATCACGAGGTCAGGAGATAAAGACCATCCTGGCTAACACGGTGAAAACCCATCTCTACTAAAAATACAAAAAATTAGCCGGGCGTGATGGCACAGACCTGTAGTCCCAGCTACTTGGCAGGCTGAGGCAGGAGAATCACTTGAACCCAGGAGGCAGCAGTTGCAGTGAGCCGAGATCAGTGCCACTGCACTCCGGCCTGGGCGACAGAGCGAGACTCTGTCTCAAAAAAAGAGTTGAGCACAGGACCCAGCAGGGTTTGTTCCTAGTGAACCAGCTGTGCCTAGAATAGCGCCTGGCACATAATTAATGCTCGACACATTTAAAACAACAGATTAAAGCCGGGCACAGTGGCTCACGCCTGTAATCCCAGCACTTTGGGAGGCTGAAGCAGGTGGAATACGAGGTCAGGAATTCGAGACTAGCCTGACCAACATGGTGAAACCTCATCTCTACTAAAAATACAAAAAAAAAAAAACATTAGTCAGGTGTGATGGTGCATACCTGTAATGCTCAGGAGGCTGAGGCAGGAGAATCACTTGAACCCAGGAGGCAGAGGTTGCAGTAAGCTGAGATCACGCCACTGCACTCCAGCCTGGGTGACAGAGTGAGACTCCGTCTCAAAGAAAACAATTTTAAAAAATAGATTAAAGATCTGAGGCCGGGCACGGTGGTTCACACCTGTAATCCCAGCACTTTGGGAGGCCAAGGTGGGCAGATCACTTGAGGCCAGGAGTTTGAGTCCAGCCTGGCCAATATGGTGAAACGCTGTCTCTACTAAAAATACAAAAATTGCCGGGCCCACTCGCTCACGCCTGTAATCCCAGCACTTTTGGAGGCCAAGGCTGGTGGATCACCTGAGGTTGGGATATCGAGACCATCCCGGCTAACACGGTGAAACCCTGTCTCTACTAAAAATACAAAAAATTAGCCAGGTGTATGGCACATGCCTGTAATCCCAGCTACCCTGGAGGCAGAGGCAGGAGAATTGCATGAACCTAGGAGGCAGAGGTTGCAGTGAGCCAAGATATTGCACTCCAGCCTCGGCAACATGAGTGAAACTCCATTTCAAAAAATAAATAAATAACAAAATAAATAAAAATAAAAATATAAAAATTAGCCAGGTGTGGTGGCGCATGCATGTAATTCCAGCTACTTGAGAGACTGAGGCAGGAGAATCGCTTGAACCCGGGAGGCGGAGGTTGTAGTGAGCCAAGATCGCACCACTGCACTCCAGATTGGGCAAGAGTGAGACGCTGTCTCAAAAAAAAAAAAAGAAAACAAACAAAAACAACAACAAATAATCCATACTGTTCAGGAGTTAAGTCCACAGAAGTGGCGGTTTGGTGGTTGATGGGATGTAAGTAGGCAGGTAGGTGAACAGGATGGCATGCATTGAAGGTGTCTTCGGACGTAGGTGCCCCAGTAAAGGCTATATCTGTGCATATCTCCCTGAATCCTCATAGATACCAGAACAACCCTGTTTTATAGACAGTAAATGGAAGATACGTGTAGAGAAGTGACTTGGTCACTCCTCTGCAGAGGGAAAGAGAAAGGGTGATCTCAGGGAGCGACAAGTGGGGAAGCTCCAAGGGAGGTAGATTAGGGTCAGTAAGGAAGTGGGAGGAAAACCAAGAGTCTGACTGAAGAAGGCAGGCCCTGGCTTTCAGAAGCTGGCCCAGATCCCAGCTGAGGCCATGACCCTCTCGAGCTGCCCAAACCACGGACTCAACTTCTTCCTAGTGGCTCCTGGGGGGCCAGATCTGGCAGGCTGGAAAATTCCTGGAGTGGTCTAGGTTGGGACAGAGCTAGGCAGGGCCCAGGATGGAAGGAGAGAGATGAGGGAGTGGGAGAAAGGGTGGGCTTACTGAGACTCCAAGACAGGGTCAGCAGACCAGCCCAAGCCAGGGAGGAGTGAATACCTCATCCCATGTGGTATGCAAATGAAGCTGAAGCTTAATAAGGTCTTGTGTCCTTTAGGTCCAGACAGAAGGGAGCAATGGATTTAGGGCCTCCTCAATCTACAGAGAGTGAATAGTGTTGTGTGCCTCCATGAAAGAAAGGCCAGACAGGTAGGGGGAGTGTTGGGGCTGACCTACTCTGTCCTTGTTTTATACAAGGGAGGAAGCTGAGGTTCAGAGAAGTGACCTGCCCAAGGTGACAGGTGAATAATATATGAGTCCCTGGACCTCTAACCGAGTGCTCCTTCTCTGGAGGCAGGACTCTCAGCCCTGACACTCGCTGAGCCTGGATCCTGAGTATGCTTTTCTTGGCTCATGCTGGGCTACAGGAACGGGGATCTGGGCACACCTGCTCCCTGCAAGGACTGTCAGGATTGAGGCCCAAGGGGCTGGGTATGTGGACATTACCACAGACCTGTTGGAAGGTGGGGCTTTGTGTTTCACTTCTCTCTGGTGCCCCAAGTGCTAATCCTGCCTCTGCCACTTTCCCTCTCTGGGCCTGTTTTCTCATCTGCGAAATGCGGGCTAATATTAATTGCTACCATTTATTAACACTGAGCACTTAGTCTGTGCCAGGCACTAGTTATTCCTTTAATCTTATGCCCATTTTACAAAGGAAGAAACTGAGGCCAGAGAGGTTAACTTGCCCAAAGTCACACAGCTAGTATATTGCAGAATCAGGATGTAAACCTAGTCCCCTCATGACGTCTCAGAGGTTGCAGCGAGAATTAAATGAGACAGTAAGTTAATGGCCTCACTCAATGAGAGTGCAGGAGAAGGTGGGAGTTAGGGCCCTGTTTCCCAGCCTGGAGTGGAAACACTGGGACCACAGAGTACACTCTAGGCAGTGCCAAAGGAGGCCCCGGTCTGGGTGGGGGAGCCCAAAGGCACCCCTGAAAAGCCTGGGAGGGGGCCAGAGAAGGTAGCATGGAAGAGAGCTGCCTGAGGCAGAGTACTGGCACTTGCAAAGATGTCTAGAACTCTCCAAGGAGCTGGGGCCAAGAGAGGTAGCGTGGGGCCCAGGCTGGGACTGCTGTTATGTGTGGCCTGGGGGTGGACCTGATGGCATCTGCTTGACCCACAGGTCCCAGTGCCCCTCCACACCTACTAGGATTAGTAAGGAAGTGGGAGGAAAACCCTACTAGCCCTGAGATCCCTGGCTGAGAAGGGCAGAAGCAGTGGGGAACCTAAGTTATTGGCTCTGAGTAACCTCTGGCAGGTTCGGGGGTCTCTGGGGACCTCAGTTCCCCATCCAAACCAAGGGACAGCTGCTGGCCCTTGCCCTCTACTCTGAAGCACCATCACTCAGGCTATGCTGCCACACTGTGGACACAGGAGGAACTGCGGCAGCAAGCGCCTCACACCTAACTGGAGGACCCCAGCCCTGACACTGCCCGAGCCCTTAGTTTTCCATCTCTCACAAAGACAGTGGATTTTCTTTTTTCTTTTCTTTCTTTTTTTTTTTTTTGGGGGGGGGGACGGAGTCTCACTTTGTCACCCAGGCTGGAGTGCAATGGCGCGATCTCGGCTCACTGCAACCTCCGCCTCCCGGGTTCAAGCGATTCTCCTGCCTCAGCTTCCCAAGTAGCTGGGATTACAGGTGCCTGCCACCATGCCCGGCTAATTTTTTTTGTATTTTTAGTAGAGACAGGGTTTCACCAGGTTGGCCAGGATGGTCTCGATATCTTGACCTCGTGATCCGCCCACCTCGGTCTCCCAAAGTGCTGGGATTACAGGTGTAAGCCACCGTGCCAGGCCTTCCTTTCTTTCCTTTTCTTTTCTTTCTCTTTCTCTTCTTTTCTTTCTTCTTTTCTCTCTCTCTCCTCTTTCTCTCTCCTCTCTCTTTTAGACAGTTTCACTCTTGTCGTCCAGGCTGGAGTGCAATGGCACGATCACAGCTCACTGCAACCTCTGCCTCCCGGGTTCAAACAATTCTCCTGCCTCAGCCTTCCGAGCAGCTGGGATTACAGGCGCCCACCACCAGGCTGGCTAATTTTTGTATTTTCAGTAGACACAGGGTTTCACCATGTTGGCCAGGCTAGTTTTGAACTCCTGACCTCAGGTGATCCACCCACCTCAGCCTCCCAAAGTGCTGGAACTACAGGCGTGAGCCACTGCACTCAGCTAAGAAAGTGGTTTTCTTATTGATTTTGACAGTCCTCTGCACAGCAGCACCAGTGATCCTACATCTGTTCACATCACTCCTCTGCTCAAACTCTCTATGGGAATCTAGTGGTGTGCTGGAGCCCTCTGCAAGAGCCAAATGGCAAATTTTCAAGAACTTTTGTGAGTCAGTTGTTAAAGTCATTAAAAATTAATTATATAAAATTAAAATTACACTAAAAACTAAGGGTAATATTAAAAACTAAGCATTTCCTACTTATTTTGCCACATTTTCCTATTATCTGTACTCTTGGATTACATCTATTGTATCTGTATGGTGGAAACACTATATATTGGGGTGTTACTGCACATTTCTTCACAGCTCGATGTTCAGTGACCTTACCTTGATCAGCTGCAATCAGCCATGATAACCCCTGGACTTAAGCAATCCTCCCGCTTAGCCTCCTGAGTAGCTGGGAATACAGGGTGTGCTGCTGTGCCCAGCTCTATAGTTTTCTAGACCAGTACCATCCAACAGAAATATAATGCAAGACACATATGTAATTTTCATTATTGAGTACCCAGATATAACAGTAACAGAAAACAGGTGAAATTAATTTAAATAGCTTTTTTTTTTTTTTTTTTTTGAGACAGAGTCTGGCTCTGTTGCCCAGGCTGGAGTGCAATGGCACGGTCTCGGGCTCACTGCAACCTCCGCCTCCCAGGTTCAAGCAATTCTCCTGCCTCAGCCTATTTTATTTAACCCAGTATGTCCAAATTTAACATATGTCCAAAATAGTTTTTTTTTTCTTCTTTTTTGGGGGGGTTTTGAGACAAAGTCTCGCTCTCTCACCCAGGCTGTAGTGGCACGATCTTGGCTCGCTGCAATCTCTGCCTCCTAGGTGCAAGCCTGCCTCAGCCTCCCAAGTAGCTGGGATTACAGGCGAGCGCCACCACACCTAATTTTTGTGTTTTTAGTAGAGACGGGGTTTTGCCATTTGGTCAGGCTGCTCTCAAACTCCTGACTTCAAGTAATCCATCCACCATAGCTTCCCAAAGTGATGGGATTATACGTAGGCCACCATGCCCAGCTCAAAATAGTATCTTCAACAAGTAATCAATATAAAGTTCTTAATGATTTACATTGTTTTTTTCATACTAACTCTTCAAATTCTGGTATTTTACACTAAAAGCACATTTCAATTCAAACTAGCCACATTTCAAATACTCAATAGCCAAGTATCAGTGGCTGCTGTACTGAAGAACACAGGTCTAGATTTAAGAAAGTGATGAAGAGGGCCGGATGTGGTGGTTCACGCCTGTAATCCCAGCACTTTGAGAGGCCGAGGTGGGCAGATCACCAGGTCAGGAGATCAAGACCATCCTGGCTAACACGGTGAAACCCTGTCTCTACTAAAAAATACAAAAAATTAGCCAGGCGTGGTGGCGGGTAGTCCCAGCTACTCAGGAGGCTGAGGCAGGAGAATGGCATGAACTCGGGAGGCAGAGCTTGCAGAGAGCCGAGATCATGCCACCGTACTCCAGCCTGGGCGGCAGAGCAAGACTCCGTCTCAAAAAAAAGAGAAAGTGAAGGAAAATATTAATGATTCAGATTAAATTTAAAAGTACTGCTATAGCTGAGAAATTTTAATCCAACTAATATTTGAGGATGAGAAAGCAGATGATATATCAGATTTAATGGCAATAACTTTACTGGGAGAAGGGCATGTAGGGGCTGATCCATGGCCTCCACAAATATCGGGTCATTATCCCTGGGACCTGTGAATGTCACCTCATAAGGAAAAAGGGTCTTTCGAATATAATTAAACATCATTACATAGGGGACCGGGTGCAGTGGCTCAGTGCTTTGGGAGGACAAGGCAGGAGGATCACTTGAGGCTGGGAGTTTGAGACTAGCCTGGGCAACACAGTGTGAAGTCTTCTACAAAAAAAAAATTTTTTTTTGAGGACAGAGTTTTGCTCTTGTCGCCCAGGCTGGAGTGCAGTGGCACGATCTTGGCCCACTGCAACCTCCGCCTCCCAGGTTCAAGCGATTCTCCTGCCTCAGCCTCCCAAGTAGCTGGGATTACAGGCGCCCACCAAGCCTGGCTAACTTTTTGTATTTTTTAGTAGAGATGGGGTTTCGCCACGTTGGGCAGGCTGGTCTCGAACTCCTGACCTCAGGTGATCCACCCACCTTGGTCTCCCAAAGTGCTGGGATTACAGGTGTGAGCCACCACGCCCGGCCTACAAATTTTTTTTTTTTTTTTTTTTTTTTGAGACGGAGTCTTGCTCTGTCGCCCAGGCTGGAGTGCAGTGGCGCATCTCAGCTCACTGCAAGTTCCACCTCCTGGGTTCACGCCATTCTCCTGCCTCAGCCTCCCGAGTAGCTGGGACTACAGGCACCCGCCACCATGCCTGGCTAATTTTTTGTATTTTTTAGTAGAGACAGGTTTTCACCATGTTAGCCAGGATAGTCTTGATCTCCTGACCTCGTGATCTGCCCGCCTCCACCTCCCAAAGTGCTGGTATTACAGGTGTGAGCCTCC
Organism: Homo sapiens; assembly: GCF_000001405.40. NCBI lineage: Eukaryota > Metazoa > Chordata > Mammalia > Primates > Hominidae > Homo > Homo sapiens. The sequence continues at coordinate 18,214,259 of NC_000017.11, read as the reverse complement.
GCGCCTGGCCCAAAATTTTTTTAAAGAAATTAGCAGGGTGTAGTGGTGTGTGCACACCTGAGGTTGGGAGGCTGAGGCAGGAGGGTCACTTGAGCCCAGGAGTTTGAGGCTGCAGTGAGTCGAGATCATGTTACTGCACTCCAGCCTGGGTGACAGAGGGGCCCTAAATCCAATCGTGAATGTCCTATTAGGAGAGAGGCAGAAGCCAGGCACAGTGGCTCACACCTGTTATCCCAGCAGTTTGAGAGGCCAAGGCAGGAAGATTGCTTGAACCTGGCAGGTCAAGGCTGCAGTGAGCTGTGATCCAGCCATTGCACTCCAGCCTGGGTGACAGTGAGACTCTGTCTTTAAAAAAAAAAAAAAAAAAAAAAAGAGGAGATGTGGTACACAGAGGAGGAGGCCATGTGACCATGGAGGCAGAGACGTGAATCTGCCCGTTCCCAAGTCAAGGAATGTTAACAGCTAACAGAAGCTGTCAGAGGCAAAGAACAGGTTTTCCACTAGACAGGCAAGCCCAGTGATGTTGAGTTTCCCAGAATTTGAGAGAAATAAATTTGTCGTTTTAAGCCACCAGGGTTGTGGTGACTTGTTATGGCAGCCACGGGAAACTATTACAAGCAGGTATGATGCAAGTCCCTTTGTCATATCATGGCTGAATTATAAGCACAAGCAGACTACAAATACAGTAATTCAGCAAAAAAACTAAAATAGATTTCTGTGAGAAAAGATTGGTTATATGGAATTTATAAGAATATATATGTTTTAATAATTTAAATGCTGGCCAGGCACAGTGGCTCACGCCTGTAATCCCAGCACTTTGGGAGGCCGAGGTGGGTGGATCATGAGGTCAGGAGTTCAAGACTAGCCTGGCCAACATAGTGAAACCCCATCTCTACTGAAAATACAAAAAATTAGCTGGGCATGGTGGCAGGTGCCTGTAATCCCAGCTATTCGGGAGGCTGAGACAGGAGAATCGCTTGAACCCGGGAGGCGGAGGTTGCAGTGAGTGGAGATCACTCCACTCACTGCACTCCAGCCTGGGCAACAGTACAAGACTCCATCTCAAAAATAATATTTATATGCTATACTTCACATCAGTAAAATTTATAACTTTATGCGTATATGACATCATATACTAGGTCTGTCTTGTATCTCCAGCACTGCGCAATCTCAGCTCACTGCAACCTCCACCTCCTGGGTTCAAGTGATTCTCCCACCTCAGCCTCCCGAGTTATCTGGGACTATGGGTACGCACCACCATGCCCAGCTAATTTTTGTATTTTTAGTAGAGATGGGGTTTCACTATGTTAGCCAGGCTGGTCTCAAACTCCTGACCTCAAGTGATCCACCTGCCTTGGCCTCCCAAAATGCTGGGATTACAGGCATGAGCCACTGCGCCTGGCCAGACACTATTTTTTGAATGCGTGAACGTGACCTCTGGCCAGTCAACTTCTCTGGGCCTCAGTTTCCCCTTCCACACAAAAGGGTTGGAGGAATGGGATGGGGTCCTAGCGGGGTGAGGGATGGCACCAGCTGTTAGAGCATCTACTGTGTAGAAGACTGGGCTAGGGACAGGGGTTGATGGGACTCAGCACCTGGCCTGAGGCCCTAGGAGATGGCTGGGAACAGGCAGATCCAGAATCAGATCAGGCAGATCCAGAATCAGATGTAGAGTTCTAGGGACTACTCAGAGGATTATGTTACAGAGATAGAGTGCTACTGTACAGGTAGAGAGACAGCAGGAACTGCTAGGGCCAAAGCCCCCTCCTCTAGTCCTCCTATCTCTCCATACTACAGGGTGAAGGGCCTTTTTCACCCAGGGATTGGGAAGAGGCTGAATCCTTTTTTTTTTTTTTGAGACAGAGTCTCGCTGTGTCATCCAGGTTGGAGTGCAGTGGCGTGATCTCAGCTCACTGCAACCTCCGCCTCCCAGGTTCAAGCAATTCTCCTGTCTCAGCCTCCTGAGTAGCTGGGATTACAGGCACGCACCACCGTGCCCAGCTGATTTTTGTATTTTTAGTAGAGAAAGAGTTTCACCATGTTGGCCAGGCTGGTCTCGAACTCCTGACCTCATGATCCGCCTGCCTCAGCCTCCCAAAGTGCTGGGATTACAGGCATGAGCCACCACGCCCGGCCCGAATCTTTTTTTTTTTTTTTGAGACAGGGTCACCCAGGCTGGAGTGCAGTGACGCGATCTCGGCTTACTACAGCCTTGACCTCCTGGGCTCAAGTGATCTCCCACCTCAGCTTCTGAAGTAGCTGGGACTACAGGTGCATACAACCACACCTGGCTAATTTTTGTATTTTTGTAGAGACAGGGTTTTGCTGTGTTGCCCAGGCTGGTCTCAAACTCCTGGGCTCATCCATCTTGGCCTCCCAAAATGCTGGGACTACAGGTATGAGCCACTGTTCCTGGCTGAGTCTGACTTTTTTTTTTTTTTGTTTTTTTGAGACTGAGTCTTGCTGTCGCCCAGGCTGGAGTCCAGTGGCACGATCTCGGCTCACCGCAACCTCCGCCTCCCGGGTTCAAGCGATTCTCCTGCCTCAGCCTCCTGAGTAGCTGAGATTACAGGCGCCCAGCACTACGCCCAGCTAATTTTTGTATTTTCAGTAGAGATGGAGTTTCACCATGTTGGTCAGGCTGGGAGTTTTTTTTTTTTTTTTTTTTTTTTGAGATGGAGTTTCGCACTGTCCGCTGGGCTGGAGTGCAGTGGCACGATCTCGGCTCGCTGCAACCTTCGCCTCCTGGCTTCAAGTGATTCTCCTGCCTCAGCCTCCCAAGTAGCTGGGATTACAGGGGCCCGCCACCATGCCCAGCTAATTTTTTGTATTTTTAGTAGAGACGGGGTTCCACTATGTTGGCCAGGCTGGTCTCAAACTCCTGACCTCGTGATCTGCCCACCTCGGCCTCCCAAAGTGCTGGGATTATAGGCATGAGCCACTGCGCCTGGCCAGAAGTCTGACTTTTTAATGGCAATGGAAAATAGGGTCCTCCACAAAGACGGTTCCTCGCACTCCCCCAGCCCTTCTCTGAGCCCCTATCCCATGCCCCAAGAGTCAGAAGCTCAGGCATGGAGTGGGGGATGCTTACTTCTGCCATTTATACTCTGGATGACATTCTGCAAGTCACTTTCTCTCAGATCCGGTGTTTCCTTCTCCAGGGGATCCAAGGTCCACTCTGCCTAGCCCAGTGTCTACCCCTCCAGGCCCAACTAGCCCCAGACCACACTTGAGACTCTGGCCCCTCTCTCTTCAGACCCTCGCACTAGTTTTTAGACCAAGCCTGGGCCAGTTACTTGCCCCACTCTGGAGTCTCTCTTCTCTGGTAAATGTGGAGGTAAGCAGCTTATCCAAGTTTCCACAGCAAGAATTTGGCCAAGCAGACTAGCTCTGAGCACTAGAACAGAGTAAGAGACTCTAGATAGAAGCCCTTTACCAGGCATAGGGAGCCAGGTCTGAAGTCTGGAGGGACTAAAGCCCTCTGGGCCCCAGCCTTACCCATTGAAAAACATCTGCTTCATGCCAGTACCTGCACTCCACACTATCATGAGCATCTTGAAAGGAGGGACCAGAGTTTTGCTCACTATTGGGGTCCCAGTGTGGCTTGGTATACAATAGGAACTCAAGAATTTTTTTTTTTGTTTTTTTGAGACAAGGTCTTGCTCTGTTGCCCAGGTTGGAGTGCAATGGCACAATCTCGGCTTACTGCAACCTGTGCCTCCCAGGCTCAAGCAATTCTTGTCTGTCTCAGTCTCACTAGTAGCTGAGACCACAGCTAAACGCACCTGGCTAAATTTTTGTATTTTTAGTAGAGATGGGGTTTTGCCAAGTTGCCCATGCTGGTCTTGAACTCCTGAGCTCAGGTGATCCACCGTGCCTGGCCAAGTATTTGTTTAATGAGCAAAATCACTCGCATATTTTCCACAAAAGCCAGGTTCTCCCTTGCTTTTGTGCCTGCCATCTCCCCCTTCACCAGCACCAGCCTCTCAGTGATCATATCTAAAAGAGGGACTTCCAGAACTCCAGAAGGTGTGGTCCCTGGGCACCTGGACATTGTGGTTTATGAAGTTCACCCTCCTTGGAGTGGGAGAAAGGACAGTGGGGTGAGGGCAAGTCCACCTTCAGCCATAAACCCAAGGCTAGGCACACAGGAGGCCCAGTGTCCAAGACCAACCAACTCCTCTGGGACGCTGGCGGCCAATGAGCTAGCTCTGCCTCCCCAACCCCTGTTTCAAGTTTAAGAAAGTAAAGGGATTAAGGAAGCACCAAAGGCAAGCCCTCTCTTACAACAACATCAGACAACTGTTTCAAAATATATTAGATTTGGTTTTTATTGTAGAGCACACATATCAGGGCGAAGTGCTGCACACACAACTACAAATCATTTTTGGGAAAAAAGCTGTAAAAAAAATAAAACTGCAACTGCTTTAATTATGCAGTCCCGACTTGAGAAATCCACGCTGGCAAAGGAGTTCTGGCCCCTGAGAGGGGCTTCTTGATGGTGGCTGCCCCAGATTTCTGCAGCCTATGAGGTCTCAGACCCGGACCTCTGTACACAAAGCCCCCAAAGTGGTGGTATCCTGGTTGCTGGGAGGGCCTCTGCTCTTGGCAAGCCCGGGTCCTGGCCTGGCTGACAAGAAGACATTCCTAATGAATCTAGATCCACAAAACCTTGCTGCCTTCCAGGATCTGAGTGGATAGAAGCTACCAAAGACTTTACCTTTTTTTCCTTATTATTTTTTGAAAGCCCCTTCACCAACTCCCATACCCTGAAGCGGAGGAGGCACCAGCCCAGTCTGCAGGCCTGAGCTCTGGCCTTGGATGCATGCTGCCGGCAGACAAGATGGGGCAGGCGCCTTCCTAGAAGGATGACATGAGGATGAGGCCCAAGCTGGCCAGTGGAGAAGGGAAGGGAAAGGAAAAAGCCAGGAGACTAAAGGGGGAAAAAAAACTCAAAAAAGAAAACAAAAACCCTACCACACACCACAACAATTTTCCATACCCCAAATGCTAGACTTGGAAGGACACCAGTCCCTCTAGCTAGAAACAATTTCTAAAACTGACCCAACGTGGCAAGTCTAACTGTTCCAAATAATCACACGCATATGCTCAAAAGGAGCAACCAGCAAAGAAGTGTGCTCTTGATAAGAGAGGTCAGGACCACTGCACTAGCCCCTCAGCAGCCCAAGGAACTGTGGACATGGCAGGCTAGTGGGCGTGGGTGGAGGACGCCTGGGGGGCTTAACAATAGCTTTGGGATGGCAGGGGCTGGCACTGTTTAAGCCCCTGCCCAGGCAACCTGAACAACTCTGCCGCAGGAGGAAGAAAGGGTGTTTGCATGAGCTTGCAGGGCGTGGATGGCAGGTGAGAAGTGGAGAACAGCAGAGCCTGTGAGGCTCCAGGAGACCTCAACCAAGTGCAGACATCAGTGAGGGAAAGGGGCGAGCAGAAGACTGAACTTTGTTTAGAACACTGCGAAGATTTACACTGAAAGCAAAATAATTTTCTTAACCAAAACATTTTGTTGCTTTTAAATAAACCCAGCCTGATACAGCCCCACTTAAAAGATGGCTGCTCTGCTCCACCACCTCTACTGGCCACTCCAGCATCAGCCTCTGTCCCCTATTGATGCCAACAGCCTTTCCATCCAGGAGGAATACCAAGAATATGAGAACCTAGGTCCTGGCCAATTCTATTCTTCAGCCCTAACAGGCAACAAAACCAAGGAAAAATATATAGAATCAAAAAAAACAAAAAACAAAAAACAAAAACCCCCCAATGAACAAAAACAAAACCCTCAAAACAAAAGGAGGGGCAACTACGTAAGGATGAGCCAGAGTTCCCAGGAGGGCGGCGGGTAGACTCAGTGCCGCCGCATCTTCACCTTTCGGGCAGGGCTGCCTGCTGCCTCAGAGCAGTCCTCTGAGGACTCGTATGACTTGCGCCAGTAGTTCTCAGAGCTGAAGCTACCCCTCCGCCGGTGTGTGGGCAGCAGCACCGAGCGCCGGTTCTCTTCCTTGTCCATCTCCAGGATCCGTGGCCTGCAAGGAAAGGGAGGTAGGACGTTATCTGAGAGGCTGGCAGGAGGCGCCTGGCTTTACCGCTGTACCTCGTCTCATCCTTGGGATGGGTCACTTCAGCTCAGTGGTCCTCAACGAAGGGTAGTCCTGGCAGAGGCCCTGGTATCGGAGGTTCTTGCCCACTAAGTGCCAGTGACCATCCCAGTCTTTGGGACATTTCCCAATTACCCTGTGGGGTCTGCCTGGCTTGGAGTCTGGTGCCCTGGGACACTGCCAGGGCTGCTGGACAGAGGTCTTCCCTACCACAGCCTCAAGACTCTGCATGGTTCTGCCATCTACCTTTACTTCCCAGCTCTACCCACTTTCTCTCTCTTGGGCCTCCCAACACCCCCTTCTCCACTTACTAACCCCATTACCCCCTGAAACCACAAAGCTCTTTTGTATCTCAGGGTTTAGCTCATACAGTATTTCCTGCCTAGAATGCTCTTCCATGTCTTCCTTATCCTTCTGGAATCAACTTAAACATTACCTCCTTGGAAACCTTCCCCAACACTTAAAAAATATTTTTTTTTTTTTTGAGACGGATTCTTGCTCTGTCGCACAGGCTGGAGTGCAGCGGTGCCATCTCGGGTCACTGCCAGCTCCGCCTCCCAGGTTCACGCCATTCTCCTGCCTCAGCCTCCCGAGGAGCTGGGACTACAGGTACCTGCCACCACGCCTGGCTAATTTTTTGTATTTTTTAGTAGAGACGGGGTTTCACCGTCTTAGCCAGGATGGTCTCGATCACCTGACCTCGTGATCTGCCTGCCTTGGCCTCCCAAAGTGCTGGGATTACAGGCGTGAGCCACTGTGCCGGCCAAAACATTTTTTTTCCTTTAAAAAAAATTATCTCCTCAAATACCTTTTATCCAATCCTTTTTGAAATAAGTCCCTGGTTCACTATTATCCAAGTCCCAAGATTCCCTCCTGACATCTAAGTATAATTCCACAAGGGTGTCTGGGTGAGACTGAACAAGGAAAGTCATGGGAAAGCCATGATATTGCCATCTGTTACAGTCTCTGCCTGACCCCTTCTCTCTGGGTGTACAGGCAGTTGGCCAGGGTTAGATGGGAATGTCACCAATGCCACCAACCCAGAGGAACCAGACATAAGGTTTTGAAAGGGTGAGCAAGCCAAGGCTCCTAAACAGCCTACCCCAGGCTTCTCCACCCTTCTCACCCTGCAGCCAGGCCTTTGCCAGCCTTTGCTGAGGGTCCTAAACTGAGTACCTGTGGGCAGCATCAGGGTCTGCCTTGCGGTGGGACCGCTTGGGTTTCAGAGCAGGGTCCCTGTTGTTTCCTGACAGGCGATCTGAAGCATAGCTGGGTGGTAACACGGAGCTGCTCAGGGACTTTGTTTCCAACCGGGGTGCATCTAATCTTGTCCTGCAAAGGAAACATGCATGGGGTCACCAAAGGGCCTCCGGTGAAGGTGTGGGCACCATCAGACCAATTCTCTGGCCAGGCCAAGTGGGAGCCAGCTAGACCTGGAAGCCAGCAGTCTCTGCTCTGTACCTCACTCTCCTTGAGGTTCAACTAGAGATTGGTCTAGCTGACTTTCAAAGACCCTCCTCAAGTCCACCTTTAGGAGTAAGGAATGGGAACACTTCTGTCTGGAAACTCCCAATGACAGGCTGTGCTACCCTAGGGGCAAGATCCCAGGGCTCGCTCTTAGCTGAACCAAGCAGCCTCACCTCACTCCACTTGGACCCACAGGTTCTCTGGGGCCATCTACTTCATTTGCCAGAGGACCAACGGCCCCACTGGTGGGTCCCAACACAGGAAGGATCCCTGGTCCAGGCCTGTAGAGGGGCTGGAGAGAAAGAGAGCCAGAGCTACCCTATCTTCTCACTGTGCAGACAGGGATGCTGAGACTGAGTGGCAGAGCCAGGGTAGGGAACCCAGGCCCACTCCACAACCATGAGCAGTCATCTGGCAGTTTCTGCTCATTTCAGGATGCTGACAAGGTAAAGGCCAGAGGGCTTTTGAAGGCACAGTCCCCACCAAGCAGCAGGTGTAGCCATAGGTTTCAAGGAATACACTGCCTAGTAAAGGGAAGGCACACAAATACAGATGAGGAAGAGGGGGATGGAGAAGCTGGGTAGCGGTAACTCAGGGCAGTGATCCAAGTCCTTTATGAAGCCAGAACAGAAGGGAGCTGGCATGGAAAACCTCAAAGCCCTCAGGCTCCTTGTGTGGTACAGAGAAGGCTGGCAAGTCAGGCAGGTGGGAGCAAAGGGCAGAAGGACCCATGTAATAGACTGGGTGGGAAGCGATAGGACATAGCTAGCAGAGACCCTGAAGGCACCTTTTCCAGGGTCTGCTAGACACAAAGTAGTAACTTAGTTCCGAAGGAGTAGGGGCTGCAGTCAGAGCAGGACTCTAAGGATACTAGAGGATGCTGGGGAGAAGTAAGCAGGAGGGAAATCCAAGAACTGCCTTGGGCTAGGCTGCTTGGCATCCTTGGTAACAACTGCATCTGGTCCTCAGTTTCCCCCATTCCCCATGGCTGCCTCTCCACATTCCACTGGCTGGCCTACTGTACATAGATGGGAAGGATCAGAAAGGCAGTAAGTCATGCATCCTGCAAGTCACGGGGGAAAGTTTAAAGCCAAAGTGAGACTTCAAGCCTGACAGGCAAGAGTTACTCTGAACGTGGGTAGGAAATCTCTCTCCTAAAGGCAGCAGGGGCATCTCCTTCCTTCCAGCTGGGAACCAATGTTCTGATGCCTCAGGCCCAAACTGGTGGGTAGGCAGGTAGGACAGGCATCCCCATCCCTTTGGGTTGGCCTTGCAGAGGGGGATGCCAGTAGGGCCCAGCTGCAGTGAGTGACTCTTCAGTCTCAGACTCCACTCTGGACTCCTCCAGACTCATGGATGCAGAACCTAACATCAACAGGAGGATGATCTAGTTTTGGCACTGCCATTCAGAGTCCAAGCTAGTCACCATCCCTCCTCGGGCCTCAGTTTCCCCATCTGAGCAAAAGAAAGAAATGTGACTAGCTCTAAGGCTTCTTTGCGCTGAGGGTCTAAGGAATCGAAGGCAAGTTGCCTCCTTCAAGGCTGGGATTCTCTGGGTAGAGGTGGTACTGGGCAACTACCAGAGATGAGTATGTGAAATAGAATAGAACCATTCTTTTTTTTTTAAAGAGAGATCGTGTTTTGCTCTGTCGCCCAGTCTGGAGGGCAGTGGTATGATCATAACTCACTGCAGCCTTGAACTCCTAGGCTTAAGGGATCCTCCTGCCCAAGCCTCCCAAGAAGCTAGGACTGGGCCACCATGCCCGGCTAATGGTTTTTTTTTGGCGAGACAGGGTACCACCATTTTGCCTAGGCTGGTCTCTAACTCTTCTAAGTGATCCTCCCACCTCAGCCTCCCAAAGTGTTGAGATTACAGGTATGAGCCATCAAGCCCGGCTCCAGATGAGCTTTTTATTTTTATTATTATTTTTTGAGACAGGGGCTCCTTCTGTCGCCCAGGCTGGAGTGCAGTGGCGGGATCTTGGCTCATTGCAACTTCAAGCGATCCTCCCACCTCAACCTCCCAAGCAGCTGAGATTATAGGTACCCGCTGCCACACTCGGCTAATTTTTATATTTTCAGTAGAGACAGCATTTCACCATGTTAGCCAGACTGGTCTCAAACACTGGGGCTCAAGCGATCTGCCCATCTCAGCCTCCCAAACTGCTAGGATTATGGGCCTGAGCCACCACACCTGGCCCAATTACCTTTTCTATTTTTTTTTTTTTTTAAGAGAGTTTTACTCTTGTTGTCCAGGGTGGAGTGCACTGGCACGATCTTGGCTCACTGCAACCTCCGCCTCCCGCGTTCAAGCAACTCTTCTGCCTCAGCCTCCCGAATTGCTAGGATTACAGGCATGCACCCCAACGCCTGGCTACTTTTGTATTTTTAGTAGAGATGGGGTTTCTCCATGTTGGTCAGGCTGGTCTTGAACTCCCGACCTCAGGTGATCTGCCCGTCCTGGCTTCCCAAAGTGCTGAAATTAAAGGCGTGAGCCACCACGCCTGGCCCAATGACCTTTTCTTTACCAGGCTTCGTGTCATCAAGTTGAGAGGTCCAGGTGGCAGAAATCAGACTAAATAAAATGTTAGCCTTTATACTTGACTTAAAGGACTCTAAGGGCCTCATTGAAGAAAGTCCCTCCTCTGGTACCCATAAAGCTAAGACTCTATAGGTGCCAGGGAGCCCATGTTCAGGGAAGGAAGGCCCCTGTGTGCCCCAAAAGCCCCAGTGAAGCCCTAGTGGGGGCACTCTGGAGTTGTTTCTTCGGGTGAATGATGGATGGTAGGAGAAAAGCAGAGCCACCAAGATGAGAGCTCTTGACACATCCCCTGGGACTGTTATAAGTACATCTCATAACAGCTGGAGAAGCTCCTGCCCTCCCTACACTTCCAAAAATTCACCAAGCTGCAGGATGCCAGGCTAGAGCTTGACTCCAAGCCCAGTGCCCACCAGTAGCTTAACTTCAGAACATGCCCCTGTTAAAAGGCAACCAACTCTCATGGCGTAGGCCAGGTCCTCAGGGTTTAGCAGAGAGTCACAAATCTGGATTCAGGAGGCTCAGTTCTAGCAGTAAGGTCTGGACCCAGGCCTCCTCAGGTGGCAACAGGAATGAAGACCTGCCTTACAGATGAGTCAGTATTCAAAGGTCAGAGCAAAGCACCTCGGGCATGTGACCTCGGGCATGTGAGGTTGACCGTGATACCCAGAGCGGCCACCTACCGTGTCAGGACAAAGCAGGGACAAGGGAGGTCACAACAAAGGATGGCTGTAGCACTAAAGTGTGAACCGAAGGGAAGGGAGGGAGTTGATCCTATCCTAGGTCCTCCAGAGAAGCTGCTGGGGTGAATTATTCTCCCTGTAGGGACTGGAGAGCAAAGCTAAATCCCAGAGCAAATCACTAGCTTGAGTCACAAAGCTACTACCTACTACTCTGTGATGGCCTCTAAAGCACAGGTGGGGCCAGGCACAGTGGCTCACACCTGTAATCCCAGCACTTTGGGAGGCCAAGGTAGAAGGATTACTTAAAAGCCAGGAGTTTCAGACCAACCTGGGCAACAAAGTAAGACCTTGTCCCTATTTAAACTCTTTTTTTTTTTTTTTTTTTTAAAAGACAATCTTGCTCTGTCTCCAGGCTGGAGTGCAGTGGCACGATCTTGGTTCACTGCACCTCCACCTCCCAGGTTCAGGCAATTCTCCTGCCTCAGCCTCATGAGTAGCTGGGACTACAGGTGCACGCCACCATGCCCAGCTAATTTTTGTATTTTTAGTAGGGACAGGGTTTCACCATGTTGGCCAGGATGGTCTTGATCTCTTGACCTCATGATCCGCCTGCCTCAGCCTCCCGAAGTGCTGGAATTACAGGCGTGAGCCATCGTGCCCGGCCCTAATTTTTTTTTTTTAATTAAAAAATAAAGTGCAGGTGGGCCCTCCTCAGTGCAAGAGAACACTGTGCATGCAGGTGGCAGCACCACCATTTCTGGGAAGATGGTAAACCAGACCGCACTCAGGCCACGATGACTCTGGAGCGAGGGCAGTCCCCAGCCAGCTACCAACTACTCTCCAACGTCTGGCACCACCTTTACCAGGCATCCTTGTGCTAAAAGCTTGGCTTTCCAACAAAGCGAGGCAGAGACCAGTATTGTGGGCCTGTCCAAGCACCCTCTTGCCTATTTAGTAACCTGGGTCCCTAGAGCTAAGGTCTAAGCTCCAGCACCTTTGAGAATCAGACTCCCACAAAGCTCAGGTCTGTACCTTGCTGGCTCTCCTGCAGTAGTACCCACTCCCCTCACGGGACTCTCCCCACCCATCTTCCACCAGCCCCCTGCCAACATCAGACTTCTGTTTTTTTTTGTTTTTTGTTTTTTGTTTTGAGTCGGAGTCTCGCTCTGTCGCCCAGGTTGGGGTGCTGTGGTGCGATCTCGGCTCACTGCAACCTCCGCCTCCTGGGTTCATGCCATTCTCCTGCCTCAGCCTCCAAGTAGCTGCAACGACAGGCGCCTGCCACCATGCCCGGCTGATTTTTTTTGTATTTTTAGTAGAGACGGGGTTTCACCGTGTTAGCCAGGATGGTCTCGATCTCCTGACCTCACGATCCGCCCGCCTCAGCCTCCCAAAGTGCTGGAATTACAGGCGTGAACCACCGCACCCGGCCAATTAATTACTTTCTTTGAAACAAGGTCTATCACCCAGCCTGGAGTGCACGGGTGGGATTACAGCTCACTGCAGCCTTGACCTCCTGGGCTCAAGCAATCCTCCTGCCTCAGGCTCGCGAGTAGCTCGGACTATAGGTATATGCCACCACACCTGGTTTTTTAAATCAATCAATCAATCTATCTATCATCTATCTATCTATCTATCTATCTATCTATCTATCTATCTATCTTATCTATCCTATCTATCTATCTATCTATCTATCTATCTATCTATCTATCTAAGATGGAGTCTCACCCTGTAGCCCAAGCTGGAGTGCAGTGGTGCAATCTTGGCTCACTGCAACCTCTGCCTCCCATGCTCAAGCGATTCTCCCAAGTAGCTGGGACTACAGATGCATGCTACCACGCCCGGCTAATTTTTTGTATTTTAGTAGAGATGGGGTTTCACCATGTTGCCCAGGGTGGTCTCAAACTCCCGCGCTCAGGCAATCCGCCCACCTCGGCTTCCCAAAGTGCTGGGATTACAAGTGCGAGCCACCGCACCCAGCCAGGAAGAGTTTAGAAGACCACCTAGCATTCACAAGTTTAACCACAACTGCCCAATTTACAGGTGCAGATAAGACTGCATTTGGAGAGGAGTGGCAGAGCCAGGGCAGAAGCCCAAGTTTGTCACCTTCCTGGTGATCCCATTGTACCCATATTCCTTGGGCAGGCCACAGACACATCAGAACAGTCAGGCTGCCAAAAGGGCAGGGTGTATGCACGTGGACACAGACTTACTGAACCAGGGAACAAATGTAAGCTAAATCTAACCACAGGAGACACAAATCATGGAGAAAGGAGCAACACCAAGCCCTGGTCAGAGAAACTAAGAGCTAGCCACCCCTCACCCCACTGCTGAGGAACGAGGTCCAGAATGAGACCTCCACTTCCTTCCACTGCTCATCCATCCACTCAGCCTCACATTCAGATTGCTCTGCTCTCATGGAAGGTCTCCTGACTCCTCGAACTCTGTGGATCTAATGACCAAGTAAGCTATTGAGCTTCGCTTCCTACAATCTCTCACATGCAAATCCCTCACCCCACTGCTCACATGCCTCCACGGCTCCCCAGCGCGCTTAACATTTCTCTGCACAGCGTGAAGCTTTTGCTGTCTTAGGCCGGTGTATCAAGTCCTCCACTCCTTATCTATTCTGTGTTCCAGAACAGAGTTCCTGGACTCCAAGCCTCTGTAAAGAGCATCTCTTCTGACTGAACTATCTTTGCCCCTGAGCCTCATTCTATGCTGGCTAAGGTCCAAGCATCCTTGACTACCTTCAGGTGGCACTTATCTGGAAAGCCTTCTTTGACCAGTTCCTGTTGAGATGCTAAATGTCTGCCTTTTCCCAAAGGACAAAAGAGAATAGGAACCCATACAAACCCCATTCCGGGTACTAGCACAGAGCCTAGCACACACCAGCTTAGGTTACCACTTGGCAAAGGGATCTCCAGCTGCATTTCCCAGCTTCAGACCACTCTGAGCTGAGTTCCACTTGACCAAAAGCAAATAAATGGGCTATATATACTGCTTTGTGCCACTTTATCTGGTTAACTGGAGAGTACCAATCTCAAGAATACAAGTCTCACAGTGCAATCCTGAGGGCCTCCTAAAAACCAAGGGATTGGGTGCCCTAGTCACCAACTCAAGGCCCCGAAGACCCATAAGCCATCTCTTGAGAATCAAATGTTGACCTAAGGCCTCCTTCCCTCTTTCATTCCTCATCTACAGAAGTCCCCTATATTTCCCTGCCTCCTAGCCTTTGAGCTTACCATTTCTGCCTGGCCAGCAATTTCTAGCTCAGGGGCCAGATCTACCAAGCTCACCTTTACCCTTCCTCCCGCAAAGCTGGATGTAATTTAAAAAAAAAAAAAATTTTTTTTTTTTTTTTGAGATGGAGTCTCGCTCTGTCTCCCAGGCTGGAGTGCAATGGTACAATCTCGGCTCACTGCAACCTCCGCCTCCCAGGTTCAAGCAGTTGTCCTGCCTCAGCCTCCCCAGTAGCTGGGATCACAGACACCTGCCACTATGCCCAGCTAATTCTTGTATTTTTAGAATTTTCATCACGTTAGTCAGGCTAGTCTTGAACTCCTGACCTCAGGTGATCCAACTGCCTCGCCCTCCTGAAGTGCTGGATTACAGGTGTGAGCCACCACGACCGGCCTGGGTTTTTGGGGTTTTTTTTGCAGGGCTCCCAGAGAATACCCTGTGCTTTTACACCAGTGTTCACTCTGCTTTGTGTTGGAATGGCAGGCAAAGTGCAAACTTATTACATGTGAAGCACCAAGGGGGCACTAAATTTCCTGCGGTGCCCACCTCAAGTGCCTTGTACATAGTAGATACTTGATGTTTCCCTCAAGTCAGAAATCCCTGCTCAAAGGCCATTCCAACTAGCAATGACCTGAGGCAGCTCACTTCCTACCTGAGCCCCTTTCCAAACAGAGTTCATACCTTCTAGTTTCAAGGTTAATATGTGGATGCTTGGCACAGGGCAGCTAGCAAGGCCTACCAGGAGCAGAAGCACAGAGTGCACTAGTGCAGGAGCACTAGGGAATCATGGGAAAACTGGAAGACTCCCCTCACAGATGAATTATTATACCCCAGAAGTTTGTCAGCCTCTTGGTTATCTAACTAGTAATTTAGAACTTTAACCACACCTCCAGTAAGGTTAGGTCCAGCCTCCCCTTCCAGGGTTACCAACGATTACAGAGAAAAGACTTGCATGCTGCGGCAGCTTGCCCTCGGTCGGCTGGGAGACAGTAACATTCAGGGAAGTTTGGGGGTGCTGAGGCACCTCAAAGAGCCGACTAGCCTGTAGCTGCTGCCTCACCCCACTCTCTGTAGAGTGCCCCCTACATACTCATAACATTCTCCCCAATCAGCACAACTCTCTACTTGCACAGCAGAGGCAAGAAAGCCCTTCTATATCTGAGCTCCAGTTTCCTAACTCAAAGCATCCATCCCAACGACACACTGGGGGAAAGGGCAGGACTTGGGGTACTCCACTGTGCAAACCACCAACGAACCACAAGACCCAGGTTCCAGGTGTCACTCAGCCATTTACTGGCTAAGTTGTGACCCCAAACATTATAACACCAAGGGACAGTCTGAGGATTCCACTCTGGGGAGACTTTTTTAAAAGGTTACTTCCAGCCTCCCCGTAAGAAACAAGGGCACATGTGCATGAAGACTTGGCACCACCCATGTTCACAGAAGCTGCGTTCTGTCCAACCAGAAAGCACTTGGCAGCTGCCCACCCATTTCCTTCCGTGAGGCCCTTAGAAAGACCTTTCCAGCTCTGACTGACCTGAGCTGGTGACAGAGCTCCCAGGGTCTCCACCAGCAGCCTGTGCAATCTTTATCTGAACTTATGAGAAGGCAGGACCGGCTCTAACTCCTCTACCATAATCAGGGCCAGGCTCAATGCCCAGATTCTACCCACTGTAACACAACCTCACCAGAAGACATCAAACCAGCCAGGTATCTTCCAAGGCCACATCATACTTATCTCCGGGCAATGCCTGGGCCAAGATGCTCCCCTTTTTAAACTTGTCACAACCCGTCCTTTCCCAAGACAAACCCATGTAGCTACTCTGGAGCTGCTCCTCACCGGCCTGAATTGTTCTCCACACTAGTTGATGCCTCCTCTGGGCTGCACCTCATGCTAGGCCCCAGATGAACAGGGATCTCCTTACTCCTACAGAATGCAGATTTGAAAATTCACAATGGCAAGCGTATGAGCTGTGACAGTCCAAACAGGGGTGTGTGTATGTGTCTGCATGTGTGCTGAAAGGGCTTTAGGTGATGCTAAAAAGCTAAAGGGCTTTTTATATGATGCTTTCTGCATGTCAAAATGGTCAATCTGAACGATGAAGAATGACTAGGTTATCTGAGGAGTTGGTTATCATGTAGGTTTATTTGGGGAGTTGGGATATGAATCAGAGGATGAACATGTTAGATGAGAAGGTATGCCCAATGGAGGCCACATTGCCACAAGAGCCCAGGCACAAATCCATAAACCATAACAGGAGCTGCAGATACTTTAGAGTTCCCCACAGCTGTGCACTTCCCCAGCTCAGCTACCTGGGGAAGCTGGGACATCCTCCCACTCTTCTCCAGTCCCCTTACACCACAGCTCTGTGCTTCTGCACTCCAGCCCAGTCTGTGAATGGTTCCTGGGCCCACTGAAGTCAGAAGGTAGAAGAGCTTCAGTCACCCAGTAACAGCCATTCCCAAGGTCAGGCCACTGGCAGGGACCTAGCTGGCTGAAAAGCTTCCCAGGGAGCTGATTAACGGTGCAGACTCCTAGCTGTGCTGAGGAGCATCTGACTCAGTTGGACTGGGCGGCCAGGTATGGGAGTCACCATTCAATAAAAGAGTAGCAGCTGGAAGACTGACACTCCAGCTATGGCCACTACCACCTGCACATCCAACTAAGATTTCCCCAAAATAAGCTATTATGGGAAGATGAGAGGAACTCTTGGGAAGTTACTGCTCTGGTTCTATGTAACATTAGAAGTTCCTCTCCAGGTTCCTGGCCTGGGCAGGCCACCCATCCCTGGCTGCAGTTGGAGGTACCAGGTACAGCCTGAGAAGAAATGACTGGAGGAGAGGCTGGAAGAGTGCTACACTCTGGACTCCATTGTTTCCGAGTTCTTGCCTATGCTGGTTATCACAGAAAAATAAAGTACAAGGCAGATAAAAACTCTTCCCTTCCTCTGACAAATTCTGGGAACAGTCTTAGGCTAGAAAAGAGAGGCTGCCAACCCCACCAAGTTGACCCAAGTTTCTGGAGCTCCCACGTGTTCACTGCTCTGCCTGTACCATAGGACTGTCCCACAGATATGGATCATACCCATCTACTATAGTTAAAACAGACTAAAAGTTTTGACTTGGCAAAGTGGCAAAGCCATACCAAAGAGACTTCACCACTACAATATTCTGGAGTTATGGGCCCAAAGGACCAGGATGCCAAAGTTATTGTTTACTGACTAAAGTTGATGCACCAGAAAAAATTCCCAATGACCAAAGCTGGAAGAATTTGAGCATAAAATAAATTCCTAGGAGTCCATACTTACATAAAAAATATACTTATATAAATAAATGATTGAATAAATGAAGGAGAGTAGACCAATCCCCCCTGCAGAAGAATTCTAAGTAATTCACCTGCATGCTCCCCCTCAAGGAGATGGTGCTAACTCCCACACTCTTTAACTGTGGGCATGCATGGTGACTTCCTTCCTAAGGGTACAGTATGGACAAGGAAAAACAGTAATTTTACAGTGGAAAACCTGACAGTGCATTGGCCAGATGATCAATATCAATAGTGTTAAGTTACATTGATAGTATATATTCTTGGTTATGTAGTAAAAATGGCATACACTTTACCATAAAAACATCAGACAAATTCTAATTGAGAGATTTTCTATACAATACCTAACCAGTCAATATCATCAAGAATAAGGCAGGCTGGGCATGGTGGCTCACACCTGTAATCCCAGCACTTTGGGAGGCCAAGGCAGGTGAACCACTTGAGGTTGGAAGTTAGAGACCAGCTTGGCCAACATGGGGGAAACCCCATCTGTACGAAAAAATAAAGTTAGCTGGGTGTTGTGGCACACGCCTATAGTCCCAGCTACTCAGGAGGCTGAGACACGAAATCACTTGAACCTGGGACGCAGAGGTTGCAGTGAGCCGAGATGGTGCCACTGCATTCCCGCCTATTCCAGCCTAGGCGACAGAGTGAGACCCTGTCTCAAAAAAAAAAAAAAAAGAATAAGGCAAAGTCTGAGAAACTGTTACAGCCAAGAGGAGTCTAAGAGGAGTCTGAGTTGATATGTCAACTAAATGTAACGTAGGATGATCTTGGGACAGAAAAAGGACATTAGGAAAAACCTAAGGAAATCTAAATAAAGTATGGACTTTAGTCATACCAATAAAAAATTAACAAATAGGAGAAATGGGATGCAGAGTACATGAGAACTCTGTACTATCACAATTGTCTGTAAATCTAAAACTATTCTAAAAAATAAAGTTTAATAAAAGGAAGGAAGGAAGAAGACGACAGACAGCAAGTTTTATGGGTCAAGCCTAAGTTTACGTGCTTGTTTTGCTCTGCTCACTGACTTCTATGACTCTGGGCAATCACCTATCTTCTCTGGGACTCTATTCAAAAGGTAGGCGTGAACCAGGTATGGTGGCACTTGCCTCTATTCCCAGCTACTGGGGAGGCTGAAGCAGGAAGAGAGCTTGAGTCCAGGACTTTGAGGATGCAGTGAGCTATGATGGCACCACTGCATTCCAGCCTGAGCAAGATGGGTGGACAGTGGGGCAAGGCTTGTCTTGATCCAATGTCTGTGAGGCTATGGCTTCTTCCACTCACCCCGTGAAAGAAATAAATGCTGGTGAAGCCAGGTTTGTTGATGTTAAGTAGCACATCCCTGATTCCCTCCCCAGAGAAGAGCCACAAGCCATGATTCTGCCGAATACTACATCCTAACCTCCCACCCTTGTCTCCTCTCTTCACTCCCTGTTCCTTCCAGCAGTGAAAACCCAGGCATTTTTAAAGCAGGCTGCTAAAGGCACAGTCTAAAAATAATCACCAAGAGTACGTGTAACAAATAAGAACGAAGGAGGTGAGGAATAGAGGCTAAGGGGTGGGGTGAGGTTTGGAAGAATGTTGCCCAAATCTTGTCTCAAGATTATACCCACAAATATTGGGCGTATATGCTTTTGCTCAGTCCTAAACTCCCTAAATAGAGTACTTAATTTTCTGATAAAACAACAAAACAACTTTATCCTCACAGGATTCAAATAAAAAGAGAACTTAACAGTTCTGCTCTCCACTCTGCCATGCCACTGATACATAGGAGCTGAGTTCTAAGTGGACCCAGAGCTACATCTCCAGACAGGCCTGCAGGTGAGGCAGAAGGTCAGACATCAAGGCACTTACTTCCTGAGGATGATGACTGCTCGGCGCTCCTTGATGTCCTGAGGCCGTATGCAGTGAGTGATTTCATCAGCAGCATATCCACTGAAAAGAAACACAGAACATGTGACCATGAAGAGTAGACAGACAACCAAAGTTCCTGGGGGATATAACAGGACAGGAACATGGCCTAGGTCTTACGGCTGCTCTCTACCCATTACTTGAGAGTTTCAAGGATCTACATGGAAGGGAATATCATATTAAGTTCCAGGATGCTTTTGCCAAGAGACTGTAATACTCAAGGAAAAACCTGGTATGACACAAAGGAGACCCCTTGGCCACTTAAGGCAGAGGCTGGAAGCAAGACTCTCCCTGAACAGGCCAGGAACCCTTTTTTAAAAGGGTACTCCAGAGAGTACACTGTAGCTCCTCCTCATTCTCCCTCCATTTAGCAGGTAGAGAAAGCCAAGGCAGCCACTGATAGCACTGAGTCACCAGGGAGAGCTAGGACTGCCTCATTCCAAAATAGAATATCTACATGAAGTCTCCATTTGGGGGGATCCAAAATTTTGAAGACAGTTGTGTTTGAATATTTTAAGAATTTCCGGCTGGGCGTGATGGCTCATGCCTGTAATCCTAGCACTTTGGGAGGCCGAGGTGGGCGGATCACCTGAAATCAGGAGTTCGAGACCAGCCTGGCCAACATGGCGAAACCCCATCTCTACTAAAAATACAAAAATTAGCCAGGCATGGTGGTGGGCGCCTGTAATCCCAGCTACTTGGGAGGCTGAGGCAGGAGAATCGCTTGAACCTAGGAGGCAGAAGTTGCAGTGAGCCAAGATCACGCCCACTGCACCTGGGCAACAGAGCGAGACTCTGTCCCCACCACTGACCCCCACCCCCTGCCCCCCGCCCAAAAAAAAAGGATTTCCATCATACTCAGATATCTGTTTATTTTCAACAAGTTACATGACTTTTAAAACCGCTCAGAGACCAACTAATGTGGGTAGATGACTGTCCTCTTCTCAGCTAGCGTCATTCCAATTTGAAACTCTGGAAGCAAGCTCTGAGCTTCCTATACCCCTCACATGCTATCACTGGAAGCATGGCAGCCACAAGATACTCCCACTCCAAGTTACTCTACTGAGCTGCAGCAGTTCTACACACCCAGAAACTCAGCCACAAGCCTAGTAGGACAAGTATGGCTTAGTTTCCCTACCTGGCCCTGTACCACAAACCCTTCTCTCATGGCTGCTGATCAGCTCCCTTCTCAAAGGCTAGTTGTACAGACACAAACTTAACTATTAAAAACACTGCAGGCCTGGGAAGGACCCCTCAAGATGGCCAGGCTGGCCAAACCTCAGCTCTAATAACTGGATGCAAGAGCCAACAAGAGATAAAAAGCCAGACTGCTTCAGGCTCAGCCTTAAGGAAGCACCTCTGATTTGGAAATCTGATTTGAGCTCATGCTGGGGATAGAACAAACCTTTATTTTATTTAATTTTTTTTTTTTTTGAGACAGTCTCACTCTGTCACCCAGGTTGGAGTGCAGTGGCACAATCTCGGCTCACTGCAACCTCTGCCTACCGGGTTCAAGCGATTCTCCTGCCTCAGCCTCCCAAGTAGCTGGGACTACAGGCGCACCCCACCACGCCTGTCTAATTTTTGTTATTTTCAGTAGAGATGGGGTTTCACTATGTTGGTCAGGATGGTCTTGAACTCCTGACCTCGTGATCCGCCAGCCTCGGCCTCCCAAAGTGCTGGGATTACAGGTGTGAGCCACCGCGCCCGGCCCAAACCTTTATTTTATAGATCCACCTTCTCCCTCAAGCTGCTCCTAGACAAGAATTTTTCAAAATTTTCTCCATGAACACCAGTCCCATAAGAGACAGTAGACAGGCTAGGCACGGTGGCTCACGCCTGTAATCCCACCCAGCACTTTGGGAGGCCAAGGTGGGCATGTTGCCTGAGGTTAGGAGTTCGTAACCAGTCTGGCCGACATGGTGAAACCCCGTCTCTACAAAAATACAAAAATAAGCCAGGCATGATGGCAGGTGCCTGTAATTCCAGCTATCGCAGAGGCTGAGGCAGGAGAATCGCTGAACCTGGGAGGTGGAGGTTGCCGTGAGCCGAGATAGTGCCACTGCACTCCAGCCTGGGTGACAGAGTGAGACTCCGTCTCAAAAAAAAAAAAAAAAAAAAAAAGAAAAAGACAGTGGACGAATGTCTACAGTGAAATCAATTTGTAAAATACTGATTAGAGTTTCAAAAAGCATTAATATATTTAAAGCACATGAGAATTACTACAGCAAAAGAACCCACTGACTTTGAGCACTTACCAAAGAACCTTCTCTCATAATACCTATTAATACCCATCAGCCCACAGTGAGAAGTACCACACAGGAGTTAGTGAGTTGAAGAGACCTGGGTTCAAATGTGAGCTTTGTCTCCTACTAGCTTTGTGACCTTTGTTAAATCACATGCTGAACCTAAAAACCTGTACAGTTTCTTCATCTGTAATAAGGAGAACAGTAGGTTCTTGGGTATTCATTTTGTTATGCTTTATAATTTAGCTATTCTTTTGCTGCTACTAATATTACAAGATTTTAAAAATGGGGACAGTTTTAAAGATTACAAGATTAAAGTTTTTAAGATTACAAGATTTTAAAAACGGGGCCTCCTCCCTTCCAGGCAGAAAAACAGCATTATATGACTACTTGGTTGACACTCCTGGAAAGGGGTGGTGAGAGGCCTACCTGCAGGGGTATTGCGAGAATTAAGTCAGATAATGCAGGGTGCCTGACACCCTACAATCTTTACTAAGCACTCTGACAAAAGTCAGAGGGCCCTGGACTATCCTGGGGCAAGCCAGAGCCCTGGATTCAGCATCTGCCAAAGAGACATGGTCTGGGCTCCCCCTGCAGGGATCTGCCAGTAGTGGGGGCCGCCTGGGCCCCATTTCCAGAGCTAGGAACTCTAGTTCTCATCCCATGCTTTTATCATTCCACACTGGGGGAATGGGGGTCTAGACTGCAAGACTGTCCCATATAGACACACAATACTTTCCCAAAGAGCTGTCAAAGGTCTCAAAGGCACTTTTTTTTTTTTTTAAAGACAGAGTCTCACTCTGTTGCCCAGGCTGGAGTGCAGTGGCATGATCTTGGCTCACTGTAACCTCCACGTCCCAGGTTCAAGCAATTCTCCTGCCTCAGACCCCCAAGTAACTGGGACTACAGGCTAATTTTTGTATGTTTAGTGAAGACTGTTTCCCCATGTTGGCCAGGCTGGTCTCGATCTCCTGATCACACGTGATCCACCCACCTCGGCCTCCCAAAGTGCTGGGATTACAAGTGTGAGCCACCATGCTCGGCCCCAGAGGCACGTTTCTAAGTCCTGAATCTGCAGTGCTGGCTACAGGCAACCTTCCCTGCCATTGACAAGTGTTATCAATCTGTTTGACTTGGCTATATGCATAACCAAGGGCCCTGACTTCCCATCTCCAACAAGGAACCACTTTTCTTAATGCAGTTCTGGAGCAAATCCAGATGTTTGTCAAAGCTTGACTGCCCGCATGCTCCCTGACCCCATCCCCCAAAGGGCTCTAGAACAAACAATAAGCCATGTCAGGTTCCTGCCACGGAGCCCAGGCCTTGGAAGAACTAGTATGGAGGTAGGGCTGCACAGGCCCACAAAAATGACTTTGGCACTGACCCAACCTGGAAGGCTTATTAGTACTGGTCTTCTAGAACTTCCTAGCAGCTATGACACAGCCCACTGACCCTTTCCTCAGAATATCCGGCTGCTCTGGCAACATGAGCTCAAAGTCCTGATTAAGGGAAGCTCTCCTGGCCAATCTCACAAAATGTCGAGCAGAGACCACAGGGTATTATTTACTATTAAGGAACCTACTTGCTACAAAATAAATTGTCTGAAAGTCTCAGTCGGCCAGCTTGCAACTTAATATGCCCTTGGGTCCAGCCCTACTGCTGGCATGAAAAGTTCCAGGACCTCCTGCTTTTTTGTTTTCACAGGGAAAGGAGAAGAGGAAATAACCTTATGCCATCTGGCTTGCCTGCTCCCTCTCTGGGCTGAGCCCCCAGCCCCAGCCCCAGAGGCACTGACCAGTATATGTTGCAAATGTCACCCACTAGTCCTATACCTCAGAGTGACTCTCGAAGGAGCTGACATGTCTATCTCCTCTTTTGGGGGCCTTTCCCTGACTGCCCAGGCTGGGTTCCCCCTACATTGCTCAACCACACCCTCTCATGCCTCTTTGCTATTCCATCTGGCCTTGTGGAAATTGTGTCTTCCCTTCAAGACAAAGCTCTTCAAAGGCCTTACTCATCCCTGCACAGTGGACACTAAATGAAATGTGTGTTGAGCTGAACTATTCTACCACTTAGAACCTGTTTCTGCCTCTGCAAAACAAAGATCACAGCAAGCCCCTCCTCAGAAGATTAGGTGCAAATTAAATGAGGTGTCTGAAATTTTTTTTTTTTTTTTTTTTTTCGGAAACAGAGTCCCACTCTGTTGCCTAGGCTGGAATGCAGTGGCGCAATCTTGGCTCACTGCAACCTCTAGCTCCTGGGTTCAAGCAATTCTCTGCCTCAGCCTCCCGAGTAGCTGGGATTACAGGTGCCTGCCACCACGCCCGGCTAATTTTTGTATTTTTAGTAGAGACGGGCTTTCACCATCTTGGCCATTCTTGTCTTGAATTCCTGACCTCAGGTGATCCACCCGCCCTGGCCTCCCAAAGTGCTGGGATTACAGGCATGAGCCACCGCACCTGGCCCTGAAAAATTCTTTAAAGAAACTATGCAGGACTGTACATCTCTCCTCTAGGGGACGGTCTTGGAAACTGAGTTGTTATGACACATTTCCAAGATGGCCACCATTTTCCATCTACTCCATGCCCTGCCTAGGCCAGGATGAACCAGAGATGGAGGGACTGTCCAAGATCCCAGCCTGGTGACTGTCTCTCTCCAGCTATGGCTACCTGCCTTACTGACAGACCCACAGGACCAAGAAGGTCAGGCTTTTGGGGGCAGCAGACCAGCCACCTGGACCCAGGGGCAGGATTGTGAGCTCAGGCTCAATTATTTACCAGACCCAAGCCTCCAAGACGACCCATGGCCTAACTTTATAAGAAGTCCTGGGGCTTTCTGAATCCAGAGGGAAGGTCAACCTGCCAAGTCCCAATTCTGTACACACCAAGATAGACAGTACTAAACACAGAAGGTAGCCCATCTCCTGAGACACTTTTAGCTAAATTTCAAGCATTCAATAGATGACAAAGATTCAACTTTCTATAACAACTCTATAGCATCATTAGACTGGTTTTGCAGATGAGGAAAACTGAGGCCTCAAAAAGCTTAATTTCCCCGAAGTCAACGAGTTAAAATGGTGGTGCTGTAACTCCAACCAAGTCTGCTGTCAAACTTTCTGGATTTTGTTGTGGAGGCGGTAGGAAGAAAAGCCCATCTGTGTTTCCTGGTAGCAAGCCTGTCCAGGGGGCCTTGCTGGCCTCACCAAAGGGCACACGTACACCCACTAGCCCCATGAAAGAGATTTGCAGAGATGAACCTATATCCCCCAGAGAGCTAGCACTGTATCAGTGAAGGCTATCCACCAACTGGCCAGCCAGCTCTGAATTTTCTTTTTCTTTTTTTTGAGACGGAGTCTTGCTCTGTCGCCCAGGCTGCCAGGCTGGAGTTCAGTGGCATGATCTCGGTTCACTGCAAGCTCCGCCTCCCGGGTTCGTGCCATTCTGCCGCCTCAGCATCCCAAGTAGCTGGGACTACAGGCGCCCGCCACCACACCCAGCTAATTTTGTTTTTTGTATTTTTAGTAGAGACAGGGTTTCACCATGCTAGCCAGGATGGTCTCGATGTCCTGACCTCGTGATCCACCCACCTCGGCCTCCCAAAGTGCTGGGATTACAGGCGTGAGCCACCGCGCCCGGCCTTGAAATTTTTTTTTTTATTATTTTTTTTGAGACGGAGTCTCACTCTACAGCACAGGCTGGAGCGCAAGGGCTCGATCTCGGCTCATTGCAACCTCCGCCTCCCGGGTTCAAGTGATTCTCCTGCCTCAGCCTCCTGAGTAGCTGGGATTAGAGGTGCACACTACCATGCCCGGCTAGTTTTTGTATTTTTAGTAGAGATGGGGTTTTACCATGTTGGCCAGGTTGGTCTCAAACTCCTGACCTCATGATCCGTCCACCTTGGCCACCCAAAGTTCTGGCATTACAGGCATGAGCCACTAAGCCTGGCCAGCTCTGAAATTTTTATGGCCTATTTATTCTCTGCTTGCTCTGAGCTTCATGATTAACACCATGGTTCACTGTTAGCTTCCTTTCTTTTACTGCCCTCTGCCTTGTCAGGCTCTGGCAGCAGCAAGGGCAGCCAACCCCCCTGGCCCAGAGCTCCTCCTGACGGTGCACAGCCCTGACTTCATCCTGTGGTTCCTCCCCCTCCAGTGGAATCAGAAGAGTCCACACAAGAGATGTGGCCCAGGACCTATCTGCCCT
Source organism: Homo sapiens (assembly GCF_000001405.40). Lineage (NCBI taxonomy): Eukaryota > Metazoa > Chordata > Mammalia > Primates > Hominidae > Homo > Homo sapiens. Next base: position 18,188,530 of record NC_000017.11, on the reverse strand, counting down.
ACTTTCCCAACTATTTTAAGCCAGAAAGCTAAATTTTGCTTTCAACCAGCTGAACAAGATCAGACTATCCCAGAACTGACAGGGGTGCCCACTCCACCCAATACCAACCGTTAACTGGAAGAGTCACAGGCTGAGCTCACCAGTGCATGCCCCGTGCCTGGGTGATACAGTCATTTCCAGACGGCTGGCCTAGGCCTGGGTCTCTGGGCATGTGGCCACCACACCACAGACCACGTAGCAGTGATTAAAGATAGCAGCAAGTAAGCAATTAGCCTTGAAGTAATTATTCTAATTAGTCCAATCAGAGTCTGTTTTAATCTGCCCCATGCAGCCAACAGGGAATAGGAGAATGAATGACAGATAAAGTGATATGAAGATAAAAAATATTTCCCTAAAGTACAGCCTTAAGAGGGGATCCACCCAGGCCTAACATGGGAAGGTTACAAAAAACAACTGACGACTAGGTTTGGAAAGGAGTTTGAAGCACTTCCAGAAGATTCTGTGAGGCCTTGTTCTAAATGCCCAGGTTTAGACACTGCTGAGTCAATGTTTGTGACGCACCAACATCCATGCTGATCACTATTAAATATAAAATTGTATTCTTGCCATGCGGTCTTAGAGGGGTACAGATACCATTGCCACCAACACCAACTGAAGTCTAAGATGCCTACTACTAGAATCCCTCCCCATCTGCACCGCACCACTGTTTTCACCAGCCCCTCCCTTCCAATCTGCAGCTTTACTGCTCATCACCTCTGGGCTAGGATCTGTACCAGGAAAAGAGAAAGCACCACTTCTTACCAGTTTATATGCAGGATTTGACGACGGGCACTACTAATAGGCAGGTGTTCACCCACCTGCATACCAAGGTAAGCTAAGTATGCAGGTGCAAGAAGATTTAATTAGTGGAAGGGTCCAGACCCTAGAGCAGTGACTCTCAACTAAGGATTCTGCACTTCCCCTGCCTCGGCATTTGGCAGTGTCTGGACACTTTCTGGTTGTCATAAAAAACACTATTGGCACCTAGCAGATAGAAGCCAGGAATGCTGCTGAACAGTCTACAATGCACGAACAGCCTCAACAATGAAGCATTATCAAGCCCTGAATAACAATAGCACTGTTGAGAAGCCCTGATCTAGAGTTCACCAGAGCACCCTCAACCACAGTCTCTACTAATGAACTCCATCTGCCTCCCATCAACATCCACCCCCTCTTACCTATGGCTACTCCTGCTACTGCAGCCAAAGACACTGCTGTTGTGTATTTCTCCACCTTTCTCTGCTTGGCTCATTCCTAGTCACTTTTCACATTCCAGTTCATTTCCTCCCCTAAACTTCCAACACTCCAAAGTGGAAAAGATGTCCCCCTTCAGTGTGCTTCTGCAGTTACCTTCCTGGGCTATAACTTATCCTCCTGTCTGAGGCCTCCATGGGGCTTGAACTACACGAAGGGAAACTGTCATGTTTCAGGCTCCACCAAATCCCTAGTTCCTTCCCCAGTGAGAGAGCAGGGGATCACTGAGTGGTTGTATATGAAAGCAAGCACCCATTTAAGTACCTACCCTGTGCCAGGCCCTATCTTAGACAACAAATCACCACATTTAATTCTAATAGGCTTTGGAAGTTGGCATCATCCCCACTTACAGATGGGAAAGCCAGCTCAGAGAACGCCTACAAGATCCCAAAGCAAATGAGAGAAAAGCTGGATTCAAAGCCTGGGGCAGCACTTTTCAGGACATGGCTGAGCCTCCCACACTAACACCACAGCCAAGTCTGAATCCAGAAAGGGTTGACAGGGACTGGGAAAGCTTTAGGACTTTACTATTCTGAGGAAAAGATGAAGAGAATTTTCCTGATGATGCAATCCTGTTGCTGATCACTAACAGACCTGCATACTAAGAACTCGAAACTTCTGTTCTTAAAATACAGGGTGGGCATGTGTTAAGGAGAGTAGTAGTCCCAAAACCAAAAAAAAATGCCTTGTGATCCCCTCATTAAGCACCAGACCACTACTAGACCTCCTGACAACCACCCTGAGGGCCAATGACTACGCAGAAAATTAATATCCCGCTAAGAGACCAAATGGTCCTTGTGTGAGGTAATTTTTGCACTGAGAACCCGTCAATGGGGTCAGACCCCAACCTGCCTTACACAGCAAGCACCCGGAGAGGGTGTGTCCTGGAAATCCCATCTTAAAGCATTTTGCCAAGACATCCATCTAGGAGCGCCATGAAGATCTGAGAAGCTCAGAAGCCCATTATAAGAAGGCATCTGACAGCTAGGCTGTCCTCTAAGTTTCAGATGCCTAAAGAGCTAAAGTATCGCTTCTGCTACTACTGACTTCCCACCTTCCCACCAGGACGTCTTGGACATTACAAGGCTCTGCTGCCATCCCCAACATGGAAGCAGCCTCAGCTGTTAGACTCAAATGAAACAGATGACCTAATCTCATATCAAGAAGGCTCCAGGGACCCTGCTTCTCCTCATGACTTTGGCCCTACTGACTCACTTCAGAACCTGGGCTGCTCACGACAAAAGCCCAGTGTGTCCTCAACCTTGTATTTGGTGGTGGTCAACCAAGCTGCTCTGAGAACAGCTGCGGTCTAAACCTAAGATGTTTTGGGTATTACTGAATTACATTACTAGGTTTACCTTTTTCAGGACTGGAAGGAGGCCGCTTCCAAATAAATTTTCACTTCACATAAACAGCAAAGGTGTTCCCAATGGCAATCTCCTCTGGGGGCCAGGGCACTGAGCTAATTCTCAGCAGGATCTGGGAACCGAATATAGGCCAAAAGCCTAAGTTCTGCTGCTCACGCAACTGTAAGGCCAAACAGTCAAGAGACCAGCTGTATTCTGTTGTATTCAGTCCTGACTACAAGTAACACGTTCTTACAAAGAACTGATGGGCTCTTCTGCAGCCAGGAGGGAAGAATTTTAAGAGTGTGCTGCTCTGTATGCCTGGCCCAACCACTAATCTGTTCAACTCCAGGGAAGTCACTCCCCCTCCTGGGAATGGAGAATGTGCTTCAATTAAATAATCTCTGGGGCCTTTGCCTGTGACTACTTTCTCTGTTAAGGAATCCAAAAATGGCAGAACAAGAAAGACTTTTAGATAAATTAAAAAAAAAAAAAATTTTAAAGCATAGATTTGTAAATGGAAGGCCAGAATGGAAAACCGGAAAATCACAAAGGGACTTATGCTAAGAAATGGATGGTGGGAAAAAAAAAAATCAAAGGGAACAGCCTTCTGAAAAGATGGCTTTCGATGAATTCTCAGCCAAGTCAGTGATCCCGTCAAACCTGCCTTCGGGGACAGGATTTCCACATCGGTTCCCTATTTTCTTGCTATAGGTATCTTAAACACAAAACCCTTCTCTCGCTCCCTACAATCTACAAACAGAAGAACTGGTCAGAACTGTAAAAAACGCAGACTCCTACGGGCTGCTGCTTTCTGGGCCAGGGTGGGTAGCTAAGGCAGCAGGCGCAGGGCCGCCCCCTCCACCCGGGTGGGTTACCTGAGCACAGTCACGCTTCCCCTGCGCACCGGCAGGGAAAGCACTGGTTCCGACACCCGAATAGGCTTGAACTGGAACTTGCAGCCGAAGCACAGCGCAGAGTCGCTAAAGAAGGACACGGACACGATGGGGCGCTCGAAGATGTGGATGGGGTCCACGTGAGACACGATGCAGCCGCCGGGCTGGTAGTCGTTGATGACGGCGCTGTTGACGAAGCCCTCGGGGATGACGCGGTGCTCCACCAGCTTTTGGATCACCAGCTGGTGCACCCACTCGGGGATCTCGTCCACGTCGCCCGGCGGGTAGAGGCGCTCCTGGCCGGGCCCGCGCTTCTGCAGCTGGGCGCCGTAAGTGTAGCCTTCGCCGAAGAAGTACTTGTTGCGCAGTGGGGCCCGGTCCACCGTGTGCTCGTTGTACAGGCCCTTCTCAGCGCGGGACACCACCTCGTCAATGCGGGCCTCGATCTTGGCGCACTCGTCCTGGCTGAAGAGGCGCATCTGGCGGATGCCGCTCTTCACCTTGCGCGCCTCCTCCTCCTTCTGCAGCTGCTGCTCCTCATAGTCGCTGCGCTCGGGGTCCGAGTCCTCCTGATACTTGCGCTTGGCCCCGGACACAGGGTAAGGTTCGGCGGCAGCGGCGGCTGCGGCTGCGGCGGCTACGGCGGCTGCGGCAGCGGCGGCGGCCTCCCGGCTGCCCGCCTTATAGTTGTCCCGGGACGTCATGGACTTGAGCTTCTCACGCAGGTCCGTGTAGCCGCTGGCGGCCGCCATGGCCCCCACGACGCTGCTCTAGGGTCCTCCGGGGCGGGCGGGGCAGCCGGGCATGGCTCTAAGGGGACGCGCCCCGGGGCCCCCGGAGGGAGGGGGGTCCTTAGCGCCGAACCCCCATGCGTGAGTGGGGGACCCGGCGGGGGGCGTCGAGGGTCCGGGCGTGGGGTAGGGCCTCAGGAGCGGCGGGTCATGCAACGGTGGCGACAACGGGGCTTCTTCCTCCTCCACCTTCTCCACGTCCCGCGGGGCAGGGGCGCCGGCAGCGCCTCATGCCGCGGAGGGCTGCTGCGGAGACGCGGCCCGACTCCCGACCAGACCCTCGGACGCCCGGCCCGGCCCGCACTTTAAAGCTCTCCGCACGACGTCACGGGCAGCCAGCCCGACGTCCGCCAGCGCCGCTCCTTAGCGGGCTCCTCACCGCGCACGCGCAGTGCTGCCGGCCACCGCGGCTCCGCGCGCTACGGGCATGCGCGTGCGTGCAGGCCGGGTCGGCAGAGGCGCCGGCGCAAGCGCAGACAGGAACCGCTTGCCGTCCGCCGCCCCTCCCCCACTCTCTGAGGGGCTTCAAGGGAACGCTCTCAAATAGCAACCTGTCTTCACGCCGCGCCGCCTCCAGGACCGAAGGGCTCCCTCTACAGGGGTGCGCTCATATTGCCAACAGTGTCGCCGTGCCGCGTCACGGCATCGTCCGAACGCCCGCAGACGCCTCAACCCCAGGGCGCATTCACCAGGGAACCGCCACAACGTAGGCCGCTCCGTTACCTCCCCCTTTGGCGCTTCCACTTCTTTAATTGGGCCGTGGGCCACGCGCCGGGCAGGCCCTGACTGGAGTTTCCGGAAGTCGGTTGGTAATCATGCGTGTCAATCAGGCAGTCTCCTTAGCTACTGTGTCCGTCACTTAATTAGCGGCTGGGCGAGCAGCGAGGACCCCTAAAGGAGAAATGGGTGGTTAAATAAGTGCCTGAATGGAGACTCCACCTGAGTAAAGCCCTTAGAACGCCTAAGGAAACTTCTGAAACCCGCGAAAACTTCTCAGACTGCGGGACCTGCAGCACCCGGCCCCAGTTCTGAACCCAGATAGGAACGTCCGGCAGAAGCCAGACGCGCGTTGTCGGGGTACAAGCCAGCCTGCCGCCGCTGCCGCCGCCGCCCGGAGCGGACGTTTCACGAGTCACGTCCCGGTGACGGCGAGCGTGGGGGCGCGCTGGGGTTGGCGTCGAGCCTCCTTGGTGCTGGAGATGGGCGTGGGGGCACCTCCTACGGGGACTCTGGAAGAAAACTCCAGGAAACGAACGGGCGCAAGGCTAAGGCTAAGCTATAGATAATGACTACAGTCAATTCAAAAAAGTTTTGAAGCAGTCAGCAAAGGCGTTGCCGGGCGCGGGGCCTCACGCCTGTAATCCCAGCACTTTGCGAGGCCAAGGCGGGCGGATCACTTGAGCCCAGGAGTTTGAGACCAGCCTGGCCAACATGGCAACCCCATCTCTACAATAAAATTTTTAAAAATGAACTGGGCGTGGTGGCGCGCGCCTATGGTCCTAGCTACTCAGGAGGCTGAGGTGGGAGGATCCCTTGAGCCCAGGGGATTGAGGCTGCAGAGAGCCGAGCTGGCGCCACTGCACTCCGGCCTGGGCGACAGAGCTGCAAAACAAAACAAAAAGGCGTAGCCGTGCAGGATGCACTGGAGGGCTCCAACAAATGGGGGTCGGGGGGGATCTGCTGGAAAATCTCCCATGTCTCCCAGGATAAAGTTCCCCTGCTTTATTTGGCACTCAAAGCTTTTCTTCAAGACTCTTCTGGCCTTGGCTCCTCCTCTCCTCTCTTTCCATGTACACTGAGCCCCAGCCTGGTCCTCATCCTGTAAGCCAGGTCTACAAACATACTGTGTCTCACCTCCTGGCCTTTGCCCAGGCTGTTTGCCATGGCTGTTGCCCATGCCAGTTCCTTATCACCCGTCTCCCTCTCTCTCTCCCCCTTCCCCTCCTCCTCCTCGTTCTTTTTTGACAGAGTCTCTGTTGCCCAGGCTGAAGTGCAGTGGCACGATCTTGGCTGACTGCAATCTCGACCTCCCGGGTTCAAGACATCCTCCCACACCTCAGCCTCCTGAGTAGCTGGAACTATGTAGAGGCGTGTACCACCACACCCCGCTAATTTTTCTGTTTTTAGCAGAGATGGGGTTTCACCATGTTGTCAAATTGGTCTTGGAACTACTGGGCACAAGATCCTCCTGCCTCGGCCTCCCAAAGTGCTGGGATTACAGGCGTAAGCCACTGCGCCCAGCCTGGAATGGACATTTTTTTAAAAAGCTTATCAAGTTTTTACTATGTGCCAGGACCTGTGCATATACTAGCCCAATTAATCGTCCAAACAATTCAATGAGGAGGGCATTATTATTATTACCATTGTATATATAGGGAAACAGGCCCAGAGAGGTGAAATGACTTGCCCAAGGCCATACAGCGAGTATGTGGCCTAGTGATGATTCAAACCCAGGCTGCCTGGTTCCAGAATCTGTGCTGTCCCTCACCGGGGCTCCGAGAGGGGAGAGTCCTAGCTCAAGAGCAGTCAGGGAGGAACACAGGGAAGCTTCCAATGCAGTGTCCGTTATGGGAGAGGCTGTGTCAACCTAGAGAAGAGGTGATTCACATTTTGGCTCAACCTGGATGATCTACTTCCAAGAAGCCGCTTGTAGTCTGTGTGGGAGGCCCCAGTTGTATTCTGAAAGCCAAAAGGGCCCCCTCGTTTTCACTCTGCCACATCATCCCTTCCTGAGCCTCATAGTTCAGCTTGACTAGGGAAAAGGTTTTGGGGCAAAAGAATTAGCCTGACACCCCCTCCCCCTCACACACACCATGTATGATCTCACAACAATGAGAAATGAGGGGCAGAGGGCAGGCCTCAGGGCTGCCTCATGTTGGAGCCCACTGTGCTCTGTTTTGGGGGTCCCTATACTGAGCATCAGCGCCGCAGGCAGAACCCCAGGGGTTAAGTGAGCTGCTGCCAGGCATGGCCCCTGCACAGTGGTAACTTGATTGACACCACACTCTTTCTGGTGAGTTCCTTACTTTCCTCACCTTGGGGTCTGCTTCTGGGGAAAGCCAACCCAAGGCAGTGGTGAAAAGCAGGACAGCCCTGTGGCATTTGTATCAGGGGCTCTTTCTTGATCCTCTCCATCCCAGGATGGTCTGATTGACCCCCTAGTCCTGCCAGCTGGGCCTTCTAATCTCTCCCCAGTTACCAACTTCTCCCCACCCATCACCACCACTAGAATCTATGACAAGTTTTCCAGCTAACACTGCAGCAGCCCCCTCTGGTCTCCCCAACTCCTACATTCACTCACCGTTCAGTGGTCAGAATGGCTTTAACAAAGTACAGTCTGTGCAGGTTGTGCCTCCCCTTCCCCCTCTGGAAAACCTTTGAAGGCTGCTCATGGCTCTTGGGATGAAATTCTAAATTTTTTTTTTTTTTGAGACCGAGTCTCGCTCTGTCGCCCAGGCTGGAGTACAGTGTCGCGATCTCGACACACTGCAACCCCCGCCTCCTGGGTGCAAGTGACTCTTGTGCCTCAGCCTCCTGAGTAGCTGGGATTACAGGTGCATGCCACCATGTCCGGCTAATTTTTGTATTTTTAGTAGAGGAGAGGTTTCACCATGTTGGTCAGACTGCTCTCAAACTCCTGAGCTCAAGTGATCCACTGGCCTCAGCCTCCCAAAGTGCTGAGATTACAAGTGTTAGTCACCATGCCCGGCCCAGAAATCCTAAATTCTTTTTTTTTTTTTTTTTTTTTTTTGGAGATGGAGTCTCACTCTGTCACCCAGGCTGGAGTGCAGTGGCATGATCTTGGCTCACTGCAACCTCTGCCTCCCAGGTTCAAGCCATTCTCCTGCCTCAGCTTCCTGAGTAGCTGGGATTACAGGGGCAGGCTGCCCCTGTATATTATTCTTATTTTAGTAGAAACGGGGTTTCACCGTGTTGCCCAGGCTAGTCTCGAACTGCTGAGCTCAGGCAATCCGCCTGCCTCAGCCTCCCAAAGTGCCGGGATTACAGTCATGAGCCACTGCGCCTGGCCCAGAAATCCTAAATTCTTAATGTAGCCCAGAAGCCCTATCGAAACCATCTTTGCCGGCCTCTTCAGTCTCAGATCCTGCTACAAGTAATGCGCACCTCAGGGCCCCTGCGTATGTTGTTCTCTTTCCTCTTTCCCTAGCTAACTCCCACTCACAGGTCTTATCCTAGTTTGCGGTGATTTGACTGTGATTAACTGCCAGTGCCTGGTATTTGCCTCATTCACAGTAGGTATTTAATAGCTATTGAATGGCTGAATAAGTAGATAAATCCTTTCTCTGCTGCCATGGATCTTGCAGCTATGCCCCCATCTACCTATCTAGTCTCCCCAAGTGTTCTCTGCCCCGCACAAGCTCCCCAAAGCACCAGCACTTTCTATCAACATTCACTCGTTTATTTTTTCATTCATATGACAAATATTTTTTAAGTGCTTACTCTCTGTTAGGCATCCTCCTAGGTTCTGGAAGATACAGCAGGGAATAAACATGATTTTCTCTGGAATGTTTATCCTGCTGTCTTCCATCTATTCTTAGCAAACTCCTACTCATCTTTCAAAACTCAATGCTAATGTCCCATTTTCCAAGAAGGCTTTTCCCAAACTTCTCCCTTGTACCACTCTCAAACTTGTGTGGCCCATCAAGTGATGGGGGTCTGGGGTTGGGGATACCCAAGGAGTGGGGGATGGTCTGTTCATAGGCAGTGAATCAGGGGCCTAAGGTAACTCCAACTCCTGCCTCCTCCCTCAGGCTTGTTTTCCGGCCACTTAGCAACTCCATGGAGAAATGGCTGCCAGGCACACCTTTTGTTTGCACAGAAATAACCAAAGACCAGAAATCCAGGCTGACTGGCAGCACAAGGAGGGGCCCCTTAGGAGGACATGTAAGGGCTAGGGTGTGGAGTTGGAGCAGATTCCAACATCAGACCCTGAGTAAACCAAAGGCAGAGGCCAGTTCATCTGGGCAACTGGTGTGGGGCTTCTGTGTCATAGGCAGGAGTTAGGGGCAGGGTCTGCAATGGGTACATGGCAGGAGGCCTCATGGTCCTGCCTTCTGCTCCACTGCACAGTGGGCCAGACTTTTGAAAGTTCCTCCTGCTATCTGATCCAAGTTTGCATGCTGCCATTCCATCCCAGTTCAGGATGGGTCTTCTTGTGTTCTTGGGGATTTGAGTTGCTCCTCCTGCCTCCTCTTAGTGTCCTCCAAGGCTCTGGCCCCTTACAGGGGTCATTGATCCTGAGAGGTTCAGTGATTTCTCTGAGGCCACACAGTGAGTCTTCTGGCAGAAGGTACTGGAGGGCTGGGGGCTGGGTCAGAGCAGGGTGATCTCGCTGGGGGGCAATGTGAGCCGCTTCTCATGGGCACTGAGCAGGTTCTCCACGTGCACGGCCACCACACGACACAGTTCCAGTCCCTGCAGGTGACAGTGACAGTCCACGCCCATCCAACACTTCCCCAGCTCTTACCTTGGGGTGGGAAGTACAGAATGGAGAGGTGGTTGGGAGATAGGTGGAGACCATCATTCATGCAGGGACCCTTGTCCCCACCTCCCCCAGGGCCTGAGAGGAGCATGAAGAGCTGGAAGGCCGAATGGTGGGGTGTGGGCTGCAAGGGGTAAGCAAGCAGGAGACCAAGTGCCTCTTCCGGCTTTGCTCCGTGTGAGCTGTGTGACCCAGGGTCTATCGCTTCACCTCTCTGAGCCTCAGTGGCCTCATCTGTAAGGTCTCAATTGACCAGGGGCCTGCCTCACAGACAGGGCTGTGGTGAGGATTCAGTGAGGCTTTATTGCATGTAAATTCTTTTTTTTTTTTTCCTAGATGGAGTTTCGCTCTGTCGCCAGGCTGGAGTGCAATGGCGCGATCTCGGCTCACTGCAACCTCCGCCTCCCAGGTTTAAGCGATTCTCCTGCCTCAGCCTCCCGAGTAGCTGAGACTACAGGCATGCACCACCACGCCCAGCTAATTTTTGTATTTTTAGTAGAGACGGGGTTTCACCATGTTGGCTAGGATGGTCTCCATCTCTTGACCTCATGATCTGCCCACCTCGGCCTCCCAAAGTGCTGGGATTACAGGCATGAGCCACCGCGCCCGGCCACGTGTAAATTCTTTAGATTTAAAAAATATGAATCCAATCAATAAATGGTAACAGTTTCTAACTGTCTGTTGCCATGGTTACCGCCTGGCTCCCACAGTGCACAATGGGCAGTGACCCAGGCTTAGTGCTCCCAATTGGAGCAGGGTAGGGGAAGGCATCAGGGAATTGCGGAAATCAATCTGTGAATGTGGTTCTCAGACGAAAGCCATTGTTGGAATCCCCCCAGGGAAGCTGCTCTGAGAAAGGATAAAATCATGTTAGAGGCGCACTCTGAGTGTTAACTGTGTGCCAGGCCTTGTCCTAAAGGCCTGATGTGTCCTACCTGTTTTAATCCCCACAGTGTCTCTAAGAGACAGGAGCTATTATATCCCATTCCACAGGTGGGGAAACAGGCACCGAGCCTTGAAGCTCCAGACTGCACAACTGGTAGGTGGTGGGATTTGAACCTGGATGGTAAGAGGCTTGAGGATCACACTCTGAAGTGCTCTCTGTTGAGGTTAGCTGTGCTGGCCCTGCCTTGGGGGCCACCTCGACTAATTAAATCAGCGTGTGCAAATGGAGTCTTCTCCTCCAGCCAATCCTTTACCTACCTACATGCTGCCATGTTCTAGGCCTTGCTGGGATTGTTGCTGCATTTGACAGTGTGGAACCTGAGGCTCAGTGAGAATCAGGGACACCTCAAGATCCCCTCACACAGCCTGTCAAAGGTAGGCAGGATAGGGACCCAGGTCTGTTAGTGCAACACTGCTGCACTTAGACATCACCTCCTCCTGGAAGCTCTCCCTGATTACCTCCCAGATAGCTCAGGTCCCCTGTATACCCTCCCAGCACTGATCAAGGTATATTTTATATCTGAGACCTGAGGCTCTGTGAGGGCCAGAGCTGAGGGGGTCTCAGTCACTTCAGTATCTTTGCTACACAGAGATGCTCAGTGGATCTATACTGAATGAGTGAATGAATGTAGCCCCTGACACATACAGGCCAGAGGCAGAGAGGGCAGCATAAGGAGGTCAGGTGGTGCTGCAAGGAAGTGGGAAAAGCAAAGAGGCCTTCATCCATCCATCTATCCACCCACCCACCCATGCAACCAACAAATATGTATGGAGCATCTACTATGTGCCAGGCGCTGAGTTATGGACACAGCATGAACAAGATGGATACGGTCCTGCTCTCTTGGAGCTGACATTCTGATGGGGGAATGATACAGTTTGGATATTTGTCCCTTCTAAATCTTGTGTTGAAATGTGATGCCCAGCCAGGCATGGTGGCTCATGCCTGTAATTCCGGCACTTTGGGAGGCCAAGGCGGGTGGATCACTTGAGGCCAGGAGTTTGAGACCAGCCTGGCCAACATGGTGAAACCCCGTCTCTACTAAAATACAAAAAAATAGCCGGGCATGGTGGCACATGCCTGTAATCCCGGTATTTGGGAGGCTGAGGCAGAAGAATCACTTGAACTGGGGAAGCAGAGGTTGTAGTGAGCCGAGATTACTCCAGCCTAGGCAACAGAGCAAGACACTGTAGTAAAAAAAAAAAAAAAAAAAAAAAGAAAAGTAAAAAAAAGAAAAGAGAAGAAATGTGATCCCCAATGTTGGAGACAGGGCCTGGTGGGAGGTGTTGGGTCATGGAGGCAAATCCCTCATGAATGGCTTGGTTACCCAAGGTAATGAGTGAGTCCTCACTCTAATAGTTCACACGAGAGACGGCTGTTTGGGCCCTCTCTCTCTTGTTCCCTCTCTTGCCACGTGATGTGCCTGCTTCCCCTTTGCCTCCTGCCTTGAGTAAAAGCTTCGTGAGGCCTCCACAGAAGCCAAGCAGATGCTGGTGCCACGCTTCTTGCACAGCCTGCAGAACCGTGAGCCAGATAAACCTCTTTTCTTTGTAAATTATGCAGCCTCGGATATTCCTTTATAGCAACGTAAAACAGACTAATATAAGGAGACAATACATAAACAAATAACTAAATGATTTCCAAGCCATAAGTAGGGCTATGGGGGCAGGGATCGTGAGTTCTTAGGGAGGAAGGTTAGGGAAAGCTTCTAGAAAAAGGTGATATTTGTGCTGAAACCCAAATAAAGGGAGAGAATGGGCCCTGTGATGGATCAAGGAAGAGCATTCCAGGTGGAGAGGACAGTGAGGGCAGAGGGCCCAGGGCAGGGAGAACAAGCTCAGCACAAGGGAGCCAGGGTGGCTGGAGGAATGAGCAGAGATGGGGGAGGTGGGAGAGGAGGCCACAAAGGTCATGGGAGGAAGGGACAGGGATGGGAAGGACTCCCAGATTTGGGGCCTGAGTGCCTGGGAGGATCGGGAGGAAAGCTGGAGAGGACTGTTGGTCTCCAAGGGGGATGCTGAGGGAGCCTGGAGCTCAGGTAGTCTGGGCAGGAGGTAGAAGTATGGATGCTGTGATGGTAGACATGGTTTTGAAAGCCTCAGTATCAGACAGGGTGCCCTGGGGAGAGACCCAGACTCAGCAACGTTTAGAGATTGTCTAGGGGGCCAGGAGTGGTGGCTTACACATGTACGCCCCTCCCTACACTTTGGGAAGCTGAGGTGGATGGATCACTTGAGGTCAGGAGTTCAAGAACAACCTGGCCAAAATGGTGAAACCCTATCTCTGCTAAAAATACAAAAATTAGCCAGGCATTGTGGCATGCGCCTGCAGTCCCAGCTACTTGGGAGGCTGAGGTGGGATTATCGCTTGAACCCAGGAGGTGGAGGTTGCAGTGAGCTGAGATCACACCACTGCACTCCAGACTGGGCAACAGAGCAAGACTTTGCCTCAAAAAAAAAAAAAAAAGATAGTCTAGAGGAGGAAAGACCAGAAAAGAACCAAAGAAGGAATGACCAGGCTCACACAAGAAGGCTGGAGAAGGCTGGGTGCAGTGGCTCACGCTTATAATCCCAGCACTTTGGGAAACTGAGGTGGGAAGATCATTTGAGGCCAGGAGTTTAAGACTAGTCTGGGCAACATAGCAAGACCCTGTCTCTACTGAAAAAAAAAAAAAAAAAGAGGTAGGAGAACACCACAGAGCCATTGCAGGGGCTCAGGGAGGTGGCCTCTGGGAAGGAGGCAGCAGACTCCAGGCAGGAGCAGATTGGGGTGTGGTGAGGAGTGCATTAGGACCCTAGACCCAAGTAACAGGCTCTCCAAGGGGCACAGGGGGCCAAGGAGACTTTGTCTGGTCCTGTCCCTCAGAGGCAGAGCTAGGACAGTGGAAGTCTCTCTCTCTTGCCCTGGGAAATCACCCCCTCCAAGACAGGCCCTGTCATGGGAGTGGTGCTGGGCCCAGACCTGGAGGGGGGATGTTACAGGCTGGACAGGGCAGACGTGTGGGTGTCAACCTCAATTCTGCATCTTCTCTGGGCCTGAATCCTATCTCTTCAGTGGGGTGAAAACGCTAGTCCTGCCCTGACCCCAGGGGGGTGTGAGACTTGGACAGGAGTCTAGAGGTCATCCATGCTTTTTTACATTTTATTTTAGAGATGGGGTCTCACTTTGTCACCCAGGCTGGAGTGCATTGGCACCATCACAGCTCACTGCAGCCTCGAACTCCAACACCTGGGCTCAAGCAATCCTCCCGCCTCAGCCTCCTGAATAGCTAGGACTACAGGCACTTTTTTTTTTATTTTTGCAGAGACTAGGTCTCACTATGTTGCCTGGTCTCAAACTTCTGGGCTCAAGTGATCCTCTTGCCTTGCCTCAGCCTTCCAAAGTGCTGGGATTACAGGCATGAGCCACGGTGCCTGTTTCACCCCTGCCTTTTAAGTAACAGCCACAGTTGCTACAAACATAGGAAGGCACAGGGCAGGTGGGTCTCAGTTTCACCATCTGTCACACAGGAAGCCCAGTTTCTCCACCCTCAATCCTGGGGCCTACAATCCAGCCTCCACATCTCAGCCCAGGTGAACTTTCTCAAACCTCTAGTGTCCTTGCCCTCTCATCAACCTTCTATGGCTCCGTACTGCCCTTTCCTGTGTTCCCACTGCCAAGTTGCTTCCCTGGATGGCCACCCATAATGATCTGCAGTTCCGTGCTGTGCTGTGGTTGGTTCTGTCCCATGCACTGGCCTGGATACTCCCTGGGGCATGGCAGGGACCTGACCTATCTTGGAGCCAGGCCCAGAGAAGGGCCCAGTGAGTGGAATGTTGGACTTAGCGCTGGGCCCACCTGCTCCAGCTGCAGCTGCAAGGTGCGCTGGGCCGCCACGTCCCCCAGCGCAATCTCCACATAGGGGTAGCTGGAGTTGGCCGTGGGCCGCTGGGTCCGCGTCGACTGGATCTCCTTCAGGGGGAACTTCACCATCAATTCCTGGGAGTAGGAGGAGAGGGGCCGGACAGGCCTGTGGGCGAGGATAGTCTCAACCACTCTTACCCCTGCCCTGCAAATCAGATCTGTAGGAGGCAGGAGACTCACTCCAGTTCAAGTACCAGTTCCCCAGTGACTTGCGTGACCTTGAGCAAATCACTTTACCTCTCTGGACCTCAGTTTCCTCACCTATAAAATTGATTCAACAAATACTGATGAGATGATGCATCTATCATGTACCAGGCACTGTTCTAAGTGCTCTAAGTGCTTGGGATAGAGAGGTATTGGTGCCCTGAACTTCACATCAAAGTTGCTTCTTGTGAACACCTCCACCTCTTTTTTAAATTTCCTTTTTGTGGAAAATGGGGCCTCCTGTGTTGCCCAGGCCAGTCTTAAAACTCCTGGGCTCAAGGAATCCTCCTGCCTCTGCTTCCCTAAGTGCTAGGACTGCAGATGTGAGTCAAGTACCTAGCCTGTCTAGGGGCTTGTTTTCTGGCCCAGGAAGCAAACTTGGACCACATACAGGGAAAGTCAGAGTGATAGAGAGTTAATGCCTCAGAAAGAAGCTCTTGCTAATGACAGATGGGAAGTGTTGAATGGACACCCCAGCTCCCTCACCCCCAGGAGAGAAGGAAAGCTCTAGTCTGTCTCTCAGGGCTCCCCAGCTGGACTGACCTCCAGGTGCCCACATCAGCAACTTGCTTGCTAACACCCCCTCTACTGGCTCCATCCCTTCCCTGTCTCACTTCCTCACTCCAGTGTTTCCTGGAATCAACTCTAAATCAACCACTTGCCCTGGAATCCCTGTCGCAGGGTCTAGTTCTGGGAGCAAAAACTAAGGGGGTAACAGGTCCTACTTATTATGGGCTGAATTATGTCCCCCACCAAATTCCCATGTTGAAATCCTAACTCCCAGTGCCTCAGAATGTATTTAGAAATAAGGCCTTTAAAGAGGTTACTAAGTTAAAATGAAGCTGTTAGGATGGGCCCTACTCCAATATGACAGATGTCCTTATAAGAGGAAATTTGGATACACAGAGATACCAGGGTTGTGCGCACACAGAGGAAAGGCCATGTGAGGACACAGTGAGGACAGCTGTCTGCAAACCACCAAAGAAACCAAACCTGCTGACACCTTGACCTTGGACCGCCAGCCTCCAGAATTGTGAGAAATAAACTTCTGTTGTTTAAGTTACTCAGTCTGTGGTCTTTTATTATGGCAGCCTAAGCACACAGATGTACTATTTGAGTGCATAGAGTATGTTTTACCTCATCTCACCTTCACAACAGCCCTATGGGTGGGGCTCAACTCTTATCCTCATTTTCCAGATGAGGAAAGCAAGGCTCAGAGGAGGGAAGAGACTTGCCTGAGATCATGAAGGTGGTAAGCAGTGGAACTGGGCTTCGGCGGCTGGAGGTCTTGGCCTCTTGGAGGGGGTTGGGGACCAGGGAACAGAGGGTGGCGATGGCAGTGCCAGGCTGAGGCCACTCACATGAGTCTCTGTGCTGAGAAAGTTGAGGCCATTGTGGTTGATGGCAAGGATGCAAGGGGCTGGCACAGCAATGTTGCTGCAGCTCTGGATGAAGAAGAAGGAGGAGCCGAACATAGGTAAGGCGCTGAGGAGGCCTGGGCAGGGAGAGGGGGTGGCAGTTACGTGCTGGGCAGGGCTCACTGACAACAGCCATGGCCCTGAACTGCATAGCTTCTCTGGGCTGTGTCCAGCCAGTGCAGAAGCCCTTGGTCTGGGTCTCCTCCCATCTCTCTGGCCTCCCTTCTCATGGCCTCTTCCTCTATCCCTGCTTGCAGCTCTTCTTCCTCTGCCCAGGGCCACTTTGAGCCTAGGTGACATCTCCATAATGTAAAGACATGTTTTCTCCAGGCAGGTGCTCAGCTTGACTGGCACTGAAAAATGCCTTTGTGCAAAGAAAGAGGTGCCTCCATACCCATCCTCCATGACCACCCTCCTCAGCAAAGCCCCCTATGATCACCTCCCCTGCCCTGCAGCTCTTACCCAGAAACTGGGCACGGGCCTGGTGGGGGCTGAGCGCCTGTGTCTGCTGCCGGTGCTGGCTGACCAGGTTGAGCCAGGTCGAGCCTGCCGTTGTACGGTAGAGCTGGGCTGGGATGTACTCCTGGACTTCCCGCCTGTGTACGGAGGAAGGGGAAAAAGGTCCTGAGTGAGCTCCCAGGCTCAGGCAATCCTCACTGTGCAGCAGGCATGCAGAGCAGTCCTGATCTATGCACCTCCCTGGAAGACTAAATGCTAGGGAGTGTAAATGGGCTGAAAGTGGGGTAGAGGTGCCCACAGTGCCTTGGTACTGCTTAATCATGGCCGGGGCCAGTACTGCTAGGATCCCTGTTTGCAGTTAAGGGAACTGAGGCTCTGAGAAGTTCACTGACTAGTTCAAGGTCACACAGTGACTGAGTGAGTTAGCGGCATGGGTTGGTGGGGGCAAGATGTGAACCCAAGGCAATTTCATCCTTCATACCTTCTGCCCCCAAGGAGAAGCAAAAGCCGGAGGGGTGAGAGGAAACATCAGGGTAGGCAAAGCAGCCACAGGGCTGTGCAGAACCTTGAGCAGAGGAGTGCTGGGCCTCCAGGCTGAGGCCCCTGGGCATCAGCTTGCCCCAGCCCTCTTCCCTCTGACATACGCTGGCTGCTACCTCAGGCAGCCCCTTTACCTCTTTGGACATCTGGAAAATACCAATAGCAGTACCAGCCCATCCTGACCAGCTGGAGCTGCAGATGAAGGAAGGGTGGGGAGAAAACCAGGGGAACCCCCTCCTCCCAAGAGATCCCCTGGGTAACATCTGTCCTTCTTTCCACTGCTGGGGTAAGGGCCTGGCATCTGAACCCAGCCTCCCCAGTTTTGGATTCTAGTTCCCCCACCATTAGCTGGCTAGTCTTCAGTAAGCCATATAACCTCTCTGGGCCTTATCTGTAAATGGGGAAAATAAAATGGAGTTGGGAAGAATAGCTGAGATAATGCAGATGCAGAGTCCCTTGCAAAAAGTAAGAACTCAGTGATTATTTTCATCCAGGATTGGGATTATATCTTTATGTGCTTCCTGCTCTTTTCACTTAAAATTATACATTAAAAAAAGAGCTTTAGGCAAGGCGCGGTGGCTAGCGTTGAGATTACACCTGTAATCTCAACACTTTGGGAGGCTAAGGAGGGAGGGTAACTTTGAGCCCAAGAGTTCGAGACCAGTCTGGTCAACATGGTAAGACCCCCGTCTCTACAAAAATTTAAAAATTAGCTGGGCATTTTGGCATGCACTTGTGATTCCAGCTACTTGGGAGGCTGAGGTGGGAGGATCACTTGAGCCCAAGAGGTCAAGGCTGCAGTGAGCCGTGATGGGGTCACTGCACTCCAGTCTGGGTGACAGAGAGAGACTCTGTCTCAAAATAAATAAATAAAATAAAATAAAATAAAATAAAATAAAATAAAAATAAGGAGCTTTACATATTGAGCCCTTACTGTGTTACAGGCGCTGGAATACACATGGTACGGACATCATCTTACTATTCGTTTTTCCAGGGGTTCTCAAAGTGTGGTCGAGGGGGTTGAAAATCATTTTCATCACATTAGGAACTTGTCATTTTCTCTCTTGTGCTCTCACAAGTGTACAGTGGAGTCTTCCAGAGGCTGTATAACATGTGAGATGGTAACAGGCTGACTGCAGAAGCAGATCTGGGAAGGCAGCTGCCTTAAGTCAGACAGTACAGAGCTTTGAAAATGTAAAAGTACAGAGCTTTGAACATGTAAAATTCTCACTAATGGTTTTTTTTTTTTTTTTTTTTTTTTTTTGAGACAGGGTCTTGCTCTGTTACCTAGGCTGGAGTCCAGTGGTGCAATCACGGCTCACTGCAGCCTCGAACTCGAACTCCCAGGCTCAAGTGATCCTCCCACCTCAGCTTCTCCAGTTACTGGGACTACAGGCATGTGCCACCACGCCCATGAATCACTAAATTTTTTTTTGAAAATAGAGTTATTTTTCATAAAAAGTTATTTATATTGACATTTAGTGGGTTAATTTTTATTTTTAACTGAATTAATAAATCAATATTTTAACAGGGTAAATATATTCATTGATATAACCCACATAAACAAAAGCTCTTTGAGGTCCACTTTTTTTGTTTTTGAGACGGAGTCTTACTCTATTGCCCAGGCTGGAGTGTAGTGGTACAATCTCAGCTCACTGCAACCTCTGCCTCTTGCGTTCAAGCAATTCTTCTGCCTCAGCCTCCCGAGTAGCTGGCGTTACAGGCGTGCACCACCATGCCCGGCCACGAGGTCCTGTTATTATTATTATTATTATTATTATTTTGAGACGGAGTTTTGCTCTTCTTGCCCAGGCTGGAGTGCAATGGCATGATTTTGGCTCACTGCAACCTCCCTCCACCTGCCAGTTTCAAGTGATTCTCCTGCCTCACCCTCCCAAGTGGCTGGGATTACAGGCATGCGCCACCATGCCCGGCTAATTTTGTGTTTTTATTAGAGATGGGGTTTCGCCATGTTGGCCAGGATGGTTTCAAACCCCTGACCTCAGGTGATCCACGCACCTCGACCTCCCAAAGTGCTGGGATTACAGGCGTGAGCCACTGTGCCCAGCCTATTTTTATTATTATTATTATTATTATTATTATTATTATTATTATTATTTTGAGATGGAGTTTCGCTCTTGTCACCCAGGCTGGAGAACAGTGGCACAATCTCGGCTCACTGCAACCTCCACCTCCAGGGTTCAAGTGATTCTCCTGCTTCAGCCTCCTGAGTAGCTGGGATTACAGGCACCCGCCACTACCTCTGGCTAATTTTTTTTTTTTTTAAATTTTTTTAGTAGATACGGGGTTTCACCATGTTGGCCAGGCTGGTCTCAAACTCCTGACCTCTGGTGATCCGCCCATCTCGGCCTCCCAAAGTACTGGGATTACAAGTGTGAGCCACGGTGCCCGGCCAAGGTCCTCTTTTCAAGAGTGTAAAAAGGTCTTGAGACCAAAAATTTGAGAATGACTGATTTACATTGTGAGCATTAATTATAACTTAGAGAACGTCAGTTTAAAGGCTGTCTAGGCCAGCCAGGGTGGCTCATGCCTGTAATCCCACTGCTTTGGGAGGCTGAGGCAGGAGGGTTACTTGAGCCCAGGTGTTCAAGATCAGCCTGGGCAAAGTAGCAAGACCCTGTTTCTTTTCTTTCTTTTTTTTTTTTTGAGACGGAGTCTTGCTCTGTCACCCCGGTTGGAGTGCAATGGCGCTATCTCGGCTCACTGACTGCAAGCTCCGCCTCCCGGGTTCACGTCATTCTCCTGCCTCAGCCTCCCGAGTAGCTGGAACTACAGGTGCCTGCCACCATGCCTGGCTAATTTTTTGTAGTTTTAGTGAGACGGAGTTTCACCATGTTAGCCAGGATGGTCTCGATCTCCTGACCTCATGATCCGCTCGCCTTGGCCTCTCAAAGTGCTGGGATTACAGGCATGAGCGACCGCGCCCGGCCACAAGACCCTGTTTCTACAAAAATAAAAAAATTCAGCCTGGTCAACATAGCAAGACCCCGTCTCTATAAAAAGTGGTATATCATTTTTAAAAAAAGAAAGAGAAAATCAATAATTAATTAAATACATAAGTAAATAAAGGCTAACACCCATAATTTACTTGACGACTCCCTGTTGCTGGATATTGAGGTTACTTCTGATCTTTTGCTCTTGTAGCAGCATTGCAGTGAATGCTTTTGTGGCTGAATCTTTCTGCATAGCTACATGTATTTCCTGGACCACAGGGAACATGTGTCCTGAAAGCTTTTTTTATCATTACCTTTGCTCTGAGCTAATAATACCAGCCAGAAGCAACTTGCGAAAGAGAGGCGGGGTCCCAGCTCCTGTGGCTAGTTGGAAGACTTCAGCCCCCAGGCAAGGACAGCCCCTTCCCAGATAGCCCCACTGGTATAAGAGGGGAGCCTGAGGGCCTGGGGACTGCCAGCTCTGAGGAGGGTGGAGGTGGGCTGAGAGGGCAGGGTTGCCTGTCCACCCCAGCTGAGGCAGGAGGGCAGATGCTCACACGCTCGGCAGGTAGAAGTGGTCCTTGGCGCGATGCTGCAGTGAAGCCAGCTTGGACACCTGCTGCAGCAGCTGCTCGCTGGGCCGGCTGGCCGGCACACTGCTGAAGAGTCCCTTCAGGTAGTCAGGCAGGACCTGCAGGGAGCACCTGGGTGAGGGGCTGCCAGGCAGGCACGCGTGCAGGCACTTGGCTGCAGGGGACCTGGGGACATGCATGTTTAATGATTGCAGCCCCATCCTCTTCTGGGGTAGGATGGCCTATTACTTTCCTGGGTTTCGGGGAATGATGGCAGAAGCACATAAGGGTGACGTGGGAGGGCTGTGGCCTTGATGCCCATGAGGGAGTCCCCACAGCAACCTTGTGTAGGATGTGGGCTGGCTGGTGAGAGCAGAGCATCAACACTGCAGTGTGGACATGTATCTATCAGGCCTGCTGTTTCTCAAAACTGAGTGTGCCTGAGCCACGGGAGGGCTTGCCAAAACAGACAGCCAGGCTGGGCTCCTGAGGGTCTGAGGCAGGAGGTCTGAGGCGGGACTTGAGGATTTGCCTCCCGTTTTTGCCAGTCCACAAGCCTCAGGTTGAGTAGCATGGTGCTGGACTGCACAGGGCCATGCTTCAACAGTGACACCACGTGGCCACAAAATCTACGTGACCATATTGTGTACAATTCCTGAAGTTTTGGCACCAGTTCCACAAAAACACACACTTTCTGTCCAAGCACTTCCACACATACTGGCACAGTAGGAGAAACCTAGACTTTGTAAACTCCATGATCCTGACTTAGAGGACTTCTAAGTCTCACAGAATAACACACAGACAAAAATGACAGTACTAGCAAAGCCTGGCTTAGCACTTGGAGCAAAGGACAGGCCCATGTTCAGAGGAGGAAGACATCCGAAGGAAAGGGGAATGCAAAGAAGGCCTAATGGAAGAGGTGCTGTTTGGGGGCAGCTTGCTGGGAAGGACTTAAATAAGTCAGGAAGCACAGATGGAGGGATGGCATGCGCAAAGGCTCTCAAAGGTGGTGAGGGCTGTTTCGATTTCTCCAAAGAGACCACATAGGGGAGCAGAGACATCAGGGCTAGAGACATCCACAGGGCCTGAATCATGAACACTTCAAACACCAAGGCTGTGGAGTCTGATTCACAGGCCCAGGGGAGCCTAGAAGGTCCCAGAGTCCAGAGAAGCCTACGTGTGCTGACCTGGTTGTAGTGCATGGTCACATATAGCTCATTCTCGAACTTGAGTGGCTGATCCCAGAGCACACGCCGGAACCAGAGCATGTAGCCGCCGTCCACCTGCTCCATCTCTGAGGCCACATCCAGGATGTAAGCACGGCGACTGAGTGGGCACACATGCTGGCCTGCAGAGAGCAGGGAGGCAGGGCTGGGTGGGGGCATGTGTGCACACACATGTGTGCACCTGTACAGAGCATGTGTGCAGACCCCAATCTGCTACCCAGGTGAGGTATCACCTCGGACAAGCCACCTGCCTGTTCTGGGACACAGCTTCCTCATTAAAGGAGAGCATGCTTGTCGAATGGGGTGTCCTATGTTTTACTGAAATATTGATGACCACAGATGGTAATAACTCCAATTCAAAGCTTTAAGTAATGCTCCATTTCTCCTGGGGAAAGAGGGGCTCCTGAGGAGTGCCCCGAGTGTGGCCTGCCTGGATCTGGGAAAGTGCCCTGCATTATTCTCAGAGAAGGCCCAGCTCCTTTCCAGAGGAGGCTGGGAACAAGGACAAACACAAGAGGCCTCACACTATGAGACCCAGTGGGTGCCTTTCTGCAGACCTCCTTCAGGAGAGACCCCTTGCCAGGTACCTGGCATAGGTGGGGGTGGGGAGGACTGGGGTCTGAGCCTGGGAGAAGCTCAAGTCTTTCTCTCTTGCACTGACATTTTTGCCACCCATCTCACACCTGCAGTAAAATCTTACTAAAGAGAGGGAGTTTGGTATGATTACATGATTACCACTGTGTGACTGTAAGTCACAGCTTCTGTGGCAGGCTGAATAATGACCCCTCCAAAGATGTCCAGGTCCTAATCCCTAGAACTTATGAATATGTCACTTTCCTGGCAAAAGGCACTCTGCACATGTGATTAAGTTAAGGATGTGGAGATGGAGATGATCCTGGATTATCCAAGCAGGCCCAGTGTCATCAGCACATGGGTCCTCATAAGAGGAAAGCAGAAGGGTCAGAATCAGAGGAGGAGATGTGAGACCAGAAGCAGAGGCTGGCAGGGAGAGAGATATGAGGATTCTACACTGCTGGCTTTGGAGATGGAGGAAAGGGCCATGGGCCAAGGAATGCGGGCAGCCTCTAGAAGCCGGAAAAGGAAAGGAAACAAATTATTCCCTAGAGCTTCCAGAAGGAACCTGGCCCTGATGCCATTTTCATTTTAGAACTTCTGACTTTCAGAATTATAAGGTAATATATTTATGTTTTTTTAAGCCACTAAATTTGTGATAATCTGTTATAGCAACAATAGAAAACTAATACAGCCTCCCTGGGCCTCAGTTTTCCCATCTGTAAATGGAAAAGCTAACAGTCTCCATCCACTTCATAAGGTTGTCGTGGGGATTAAAAGAGTTCACAGAATGAAATGCTTTTTTTTTTTTTTTTTTTGAGATGGAGTTTCGCTCTTGTTGCCCAGGCACGATCTCAGCTCACTGCAACCTCCTGCCTCACCCTCCTGAGTGGCAGGCAAACGTCACCATGCCTGGCTAATTTTGTATTTTTAGTGGAGATGTGGTTTCTCCATGTTGCTCAGGCTGGTCTCGAACTCCCGACCTTAGGTGATCCACCCGCCTCGGCCTCTCAGAGTGCTGGGATTAAAGGTGCAAGCCACCACACCTGGCTTTTTTTTTTTTTTTTTTTTTTTTTTGCAGATAGAGTCTCACTCCATCACCCAGGCTGGAGTACAGTGGCATGATCATGGCTCACTACAACCTCCGCCTCCCAGGTTCAAGTGATTGTTGTGCCTCAGCCTCCTGAGTAGCTGGAATTACAGGTGCACACTACCATGGTTGGCTAATTTTTAGTAGAGATGGGGCTTCGCCATGTTGGCCAGGCTGCCCTGAAACTCCTGGCCTCAAGAGATCCACCCGCCTCGGCCTCCCAAAGTGCTGGGATTACAGGCATGAGCCACCACACCCAGCCTGAAATGCTTTGAATTATACCTGGGGCACAGCATCCGTTCAATAAATATCAGTTATTAGGACCGTTTTGTTACCTGCCATTCTCCCCTAATGTCTTAGCTGGACTTGGGCAGGCAGGGCTGATGGCACATGGCTGAGGACTGAGGCAGCAGTAGGGAGAGCTGGCTGGGGGTTGCTGGAGCTGACCAGCTGGTGACAGGAGGGAAGACCATGATCTAGAGTGGGCAGTCAGCAGATGGAAGGGGCTTTGGGATGCATGACGGTCACCTAGGGTCCCAGGAGCCCTCGAGAGGGGCTAGTGACACCTCGGGAGGGGCTTCTCTGGCCATTATTAAGGCATGAAAGGCAGGAAAGAAGGCTTGCACCTATAGGTTCCTATAGGTTCCATAATATGCGGCGCTATTAATGGAAACCTTTCCAGGATGTAATCTCCTTGAGGGCACGGCCTGTGTCCTCACATTGAGCATGTCCTGAGGGACAAAGGGAGGGATGAGAGAGGGCTCTCATCATAAGGTGAGGCAAACTAAGCAAAGCAGAAAGGGACAGATAAAGGGCTGGGCGTGCTTGGTACACACAGAGATCCTTCCACATGGGGGTCAAGGGGCTTCCTGGAGGAAGTGGCACCTGACTTGGGCCCTAAAATCTGGGTGGAGGGCCCCACATGGCACAAGGCCCGGGGATGGGAATGGGCCCAGCATGCTCAGTCTTCCTGGCACTCACCACGGTTGGTGACAACGAAGATAACATATTCATTGAAGGCCTCAGGGCGTGTCAGAGCCATCTCAGCACATATCTCTTCCACCACGTCCAGGGCCACCTGGGGGTGGGGCGGAAGAGATGAGGCCATGCCAGTTGGGCTTGACCTCTGTCCTTCTGGCCCCACTCAGGCCCCCAGAGGCCATGTGTGGAGTTCCTCAGCCCTCTTCACAAAGGCGCACAATCCTCTGAGGTCTCTGAGAATCAGCCTCAGGCAGGGAAAGAACACAGCTTGTGGTCTGAGACTTAGGTTTAAAATCTGCTTCTGTCCCTTTTTTGCAGGATGACCCTGAGCCAGAGGCTTAACCTCTCTGAGGTGCAGTTTGCTCTTCTGAGAAATAAGTCCTGCCTTGTGGGGCTGTGGGAGAGCCTGGGAGGGCTCAGCATCATTGGGGGCTTACTCCACCCCCATCCTGGAGCCTGGGCTGTCCTTGTCCCTGCCCCTCCAGTACCTGGCTGCAGGAGACATTTCTTCACTTACAGTGCATGTTTTGATTTTGAGATGGCGTTCAAGGCCTCCAGGAAGAAGAAAGAGTTGCCTCTTGGAACTGCGGCCTGCCTGGGGTAGATAGGTGGGAGAGGGATGACAGGTTGGGTCCTAGGATCTGGGACAGCCCTTGTCTCCTGCCCTGGGAGTTCCCAAGCCAAAGGATCCTGGGCTGGCACGTGTAGGAACACTTGAGCACCTGGACCGCGCAGGGCCTGTCTGCAAGCCCCTGAGTGCAATGCACCTGACAGAGAGGTCTCTGGGCAGGGCTTGTGTCTCCCATTCATTTTTTTGTGTGTGTTTGTTTTTGTTTTTTGACATGGAGTCTCGCTCTGTCACCCAGGCTGGAATGCAGTGGCACGATCTTGGCTCACTGCAACCTCTGCCTCCTGGGTTCAAGTAATTCTCCTGCCTTAGCCTCCCGAGTAGCTGGGATTACAGGTGCCTGCCACCATGCCCGGCTAATTTTTGTATTTTTAGTAGAGACGGGGTTTCACCATGTTGGCCAGGCTGGTCTCGAACTCCTGACCTCAGGTGATCTGCCCGCCTCAGCCTCCCAAAGTGCTGGGATTACAGGCATGAGCCACTGCGCCCAGCCTCCCATTCATTTTGAACCCACTCCCACCCTATGCTCACCAACATGGCCCGAAGCTCTATGCTGCTGGGGAGCTCCAGACGACCTCCGAAGCGCAAGGTTTTCTGCAGGTTCTGCTCGCAGGCCTTGGCGATCCCTGCAGAAGCAGGGAGTTCAGGCCTCGCCCAAGGTGGACTGTGGGAGAAAGGGGCTCGCTCCTCTTGCCACCAACCATGAGCCCACTGCATTCTCTCCACAAGCTGTGGGGAAGGCATTTACTCCCCCATTTGACAGTTGAGGAAACAGTTCAGACAGGGACAGTGACTTGCCCAAGGTCAAGAGCTAGAGGTTAAGAGCTGGATTTGAACCCACATCCCATGTGGCTAAGGACCTTTTATCTAGCCCATAGTCCCCTTGGCAACCTATACGCCTGGAAACCGCTGTCACCCTGAGCTGCTGACTGGGGAGCTTGTATCTCACAGGCTCTGTGGCTAGGGTGATGCAGCTCTGCTCATGCCAGCTGGGATACCCTGCCAGCTGCCCTCCCTCACCCAGGCCTCCCAGTGCAGGAGACCCCAGCATCAGTGCTCCATTTCTCTTGAGTCAAGAGTTCTAGGGCACATTCTGCTGCTTTTATGCATCTGGGAGCTCTTCCATAGGGAGCTGGGTCTATTCATCTGTGGGTTGAATGTTTGTTAATTGAATCAGAGAGAAGCATTCAGAGGCAGGAAGGGTAAGGTCTCCTATCTCCTCCACGGCTGCCATGGTGACTACAGGGGCCCCAGCCTCCTTCTTAGGGAGCCCCAGGGGTTGCTATGGAAACAACGCTGAAGAGTGGCCCCCCCTTTCTCCATATTCTAAGGGGGATGATACCAGCTTGGGCCCACCTCTGCCCAGATCCCTCAAGACCCTTGCTGAGTCCCAACAGTCAGAGAGGCAGGGCCGCACCCCAGTACTCTGGATTCTTGCCCACCTCCTTCTCTTCTCCCACGTACCACATATTCCCACTCCTGTCTTTGCTCCTGTCACTCACTCCACCTGGAAATCCCTCCTACCCAGGGCAATACTTCCTCCAAGGAGTCATCCCTGACCACCCCCTCCATTAGATCAGACAAACCACCACGCCAGCCCCTGTGAAACCTTAACAAATGTTTGGGGAGTATATTAATATTGGTAAACATTGCTCAGCACCTGTGAAGAGCGAGGCCCTCTGGGTTTCCCCTCCCACCAGCTGTCCACCCAGTCCCCAAGGGAGAAGCATGCAGCCCTGGGTTCCCACTCATTGACCTCTCACCCTGAAAGGGCAGGCCTGGGGTCCGGCTCACGTCTTGGAGGAAGCGAGTGAGGTGTGGGTGGAGGACCTCAGAGCAGCTGTGGTAGGCGGTCACGATATACAGCAGCCTCCAGCCTCGCTGGCAGCTGTCCCTGCAAGGACACATGGGGGCTACAGCAGAGGTGGCCACAGCACTAGAGTGTGCCAAGAGCCTCCTGGGATTGAGCTGAGACAGATTCCAACTCTCAGGCAGCTCCTGTCCCCTGAGGATGCCCCTCCCTGCGCAGTGATATGCAAAAGGCATATTCTGCTTGGGAAGTCAGGATTGGGGATAGGGACAGAAGGGGATGGGGCCCCAGACATCTTCCCCAGGTAGGGGAAGCACTGCGACTCTTTCCTCTCCTATTCTTCTCTTCTCTGCCTCACAACAGGTAGGGGATCTCTCTAGGGAGGCTTCTGGGAAAAGGGGAAGCTGCTGAGACTGTGTAGAGGTCATGCCAGGTAAGGCCCAGGGCTGGGAGGAGCAGGAGGACAAGCTGAGTGGTTCTAAAAATCCTGAGGAGATGGAGAGCAAGTGAGGAGGTAGTACAGATGGAGACAGGAGGGTGGACCTGATGGTAACAAGAGCATGCACACATTGGGCACGTACTGTGTGCTGGCCCTGCATGAGTGGAACACAGTAATTCATCTTCACATGGTCCTGGGTGTGAGGGTTTCATTTGTAGGGATATCTGGTGTCTGGGAACAACACTTGGGCTTCCTTTGGGAAACCACCCACCCCGCTCTGGATCCCTGTGGTTTGGAGATGGGCATGGAAGTCAGGTTTGGTCAATGTGAACACCGCAGCCCCTGGCCACAGTGATTGGCCCAGGGATAGGCATAGTTGGTTCAGGGTTGAGCATGTGACCAACTCAGGCCTGTAAGGCTGGATTTAAGAATTTCTACAGCAAATATTGGGTCAGTCTTGCTTTCTCTGGGATTGCTGAGCTGTTGCCCCAGACCTGCCACCTTGCTACTCTGTGCGAGAGGCTGTTTGGGAATGATCAACACAGAGGAAAGCAGAGCCAGAAGATGGAGAAAGCCTGCTTCCTGATGACACCTGGATCCAGCTATGCCTGAGGCCACATACTCACTGACTTTTCACTTCTCTGAATCAACAAGTTCCCTTTTGGCTAAACCAGATTGAGTTGGGTTTCTGTCACTTGCAACTAAGAATCTGGACTTACACATTATCACTGTCATTTTACAGATGAGGGCACTAAAGTTCAGAGAGCAGAAATGGTGTGTTCCAGACCAAGTAATTCCAAAAAACGTGCTCTATTGAGTGAGGATGAGGGTGAGAGGAAGATAATCCAGGAGGGGTCAGGCCTGAGGAGGTGGGAGGCTGAACTGGTCCCTCCTGGAGCATGGACACAGTGAGGGGATGGTGGGGTAAAGTCCAGTTCACTCACTGCTTGGAGCTGGTATTGTCTGTGATCTGCTTCACAACTTGGCAGTAACATTCATCCCGCATGACCTCATGGTCCCCGCACAGCTGAAGGGGGGCAGGGAGGTTACACACCAAAGACATGTGAGGGGCTATGTCATATACCAGGTACATAAGAACAGGGTGGGCACCTGAAGACAGGCCTGGTGTCCCTTTCCCAGCCCCCTCCCCACCAGCATGATGCATTCCTCTTTGGACCATGGGAGAGGTTTCCCACCCTAATGTCCTGTGACTCATTGATAGATGGGGAAACTGAACCACAGAGCAGGAAAGGGGGCATCTGGCAAAGTTGGCTGGACTGACCTTCAGGAGGTTACAAAGCACGTCCAGGTCACTCTGGCCCTTCAGTGGGGCATCCCCCATGAACCTCATTACAGCTGTAGGAAAGACCTATCCCACTCAGACCCACCAAACCCCCAGTTGCCCACCCACCCCAGGAAGCCCCAGGGCTGAGCCCCTCCCTGGGAGCCTTGGCCACAGGCAGCTGGGAGCTTCTATTCTCTTAAATGTGTTCCATGTCTGAGCTGGCGGGAGGGAAAGAATCTGAAGATCAGGGAGGAGTGGCAACCAGTAGAGATCACACAGTGCTGGATCCCACCTAGCCCAGAGCCCTGGCTGCAGTCCCACTCCCACACCTAGGAACATGTCGGTGGCCATCTTGCTGAGGCTGCTGTCGCTGAGTTCGATGAGGGATTCCTGGAGGGGAGTCTGTGGGGGAAGAGGGCTGTGTCATGATGGAGGAGGGACACGTCAGAACAGAAAGGGGACACATTGTGTTCCAAGGCCATATGATAACAGGAGGGTCCACGTCACAAAAGGGGAGCCAGGCCCAACACTGGGGACAGAGGCTGTCCTTGGGAGGGAATCAGGGTGCTGAGAATCAGAGGGTCTCACTGAGAACAAGTTTGTTGGCCCCAGGGGCCTGGGAGGGGGCCCCTGCATCACCATTTTACAGATGGGGAAACTGAGGTCCGGGACTGGACACCTTGGTGAAGCAAAGCATGTCCTCCAAGGTTCTGGACTCCCGAGGCTCCTTGGATTTCAGCCTGAGGCCATCCCTGCAGTGGGAGGTGGGTGCTACTGACCTGTCCTGCCCAAGCCTTGGCTACATCCTTTTCCACATGGGAAAGAACCCCCAGGGAGGGGGTTCTTGACCCACCACTGATCAGTCTACCGGTCACGAAGACCCCCAGAGGCAGGCACTGAAATGAGCCTCACACCTGGGTGGTCTCTCATCTCTCCCACCAGAAGTGGGGCCTCCGAGACTGACAGCCTGCAGTTTGGATGGCAGCAAGAAGCCCAGCACCCTCCCACTGTGGGAAGAGGGGTGGGGCCGCCACTCACTGGGGTCTCCTCTGAGGGTCTCGGAAATACTTCTGGGCAAACTCGAGCATTGTGTAGGGTGGGAGCGCCAGGGCGTCCTCCCCATGGTCAGCAGAGCGGGCCCTGACTGGGGGACCCTGCAGAAGAGGCGGAGCTAGGAAGGCCCAGTCCGGCCACACCACGCCTAGCCCTTCGGTCAAAACTGACAACGCAACCCCTAGCTGACTGGACCC
Organism: Homo sapiens; assembly: GCF_000001405.40. Lineage (NCBI taxonomy): Eukaryota > Metazoa > Chordata > Mammalia > Primates > Hominidae > Homo > Homo sapiens. Next base: position 18,158,426 of record NC_000017.11, on the reverse strand, counting down.
AGATTCTCAAGCCGCCCACCCACCCATCCCTGTGGACCCACCCGCATCCCGTTGTTCTTACCCCTTCAGCCCGCCCACGCCTTTTACTTGCTGTGCTAACCTGGCTCCCTGCCCCACTTGGCCACGCCCTTGCCCGGGGTTGACTTCCGCAACTGCCACGTCACAGCTGACCCCGCCCCTCGCTAGCTCCACAAGCCGCCCACTCACCTGGCACCGCCCCAAACCCAGTAGACTTCACCAACTGGCGGGCCCCGGCTGGTCTGACCCCATTGTCCTGATTACAACCAGCTGATCTTCATCCTTCCCTACCCCATTTGGCCACACCTCCAACCATCTCTGGTCCCATCTCCCGGGTCTCACCTGCGGCTCACTCTACCTGGTTCACCCTCACACTAGTCCAAGATCAGCCACGCCCCAAGAGCCTGGCCAGGCCCTTGGCCCACCTTATCCCCACTCGCCTCACCCCTTCTGCAGCGGCCCCTTCCCCCTGGTCTACCCCGCCCCACCCCACCCACACTGGTCTCACCTCTCTCCTGCGGCCCACCTCCTGTGCAGCGGCTGCAGAGGCCACAGCAGCGGCCACGGCGGCTGCTCGGCCGCGGCCTGGCTCCGTTGGCAGCTGCAGGAAGTCGGGGGCAGCAGCGGGCTGCACCAGCTCCGAAGGGAAGCGGCCCACGCGCCCGTGGATGGTCCCGAACCTCCAGCCTAGGGGTGGGTAAAAGGTCTGAGGCAAACAGGAGGGTCTTGTCTTGTGACTAAGGGGGTCCTTTAGGGAGATTTGGGAACATTCTTAACCCTTCTCTGGAACTCTATGAGGCAGGCCAGGCCATCAAACCCATTTTACAGATGAGGAAACAGGCTCAGGGAAAGAAAGGGATTTTCTCAGGGCCACAGGACCATAAAGGGGAAGTGAAGCAAAAAGGCAAAGCAGGGTTTGTGGACTCTCAGGTCATGTGGAGACATAAAGAGAGATTCAGGCCACAAACATGGAAATGCCCACGGAGACCCCTCAGGCAAAGCAGAGGGCTGGGCTGTCTGGCCACCAACAGATACTGACAGGCCACGGCTGGACCTTAGGAGACCTGACCAGCCCAGGCCACTTTCGGGCACCAAGAAACCCTCACTGTGCATCTGCACCACGAGTGGGTGAAACTAGGATGCGCCCCGTATGGGGTTCCAGGTTCTGGGGCACACACCAAAGTCGGGGCCTCTACGTCGCAGCTCCTCCAGGTACACCACCTTCCTGCGAACCACGCAGCCAGCACTGTAGCCTATGGGCCAGGCTCGGGTCAGCATCTGCCAGGGAGGCCCCCTTGGCCAGCCTCCCCCTCCTGCCCCCAGCCCACCCCAGTGGCACTGACCCACTCGAGGTGGCTCTAGGGGCTGCAGGTGTATGATGTCACCCTTGTGGAAAGCCAGCAGCGCAGGGTCCTCAGGCAGGAAGTTCCTCACAGCGACCACGTAGTCAGAGTCCTGGGTCAGCCAGAGGCAGGGTGAGGGCAACAGCCCTATCACCCCACTCCCAGAGGCCTAGGGCCACCCCTGCTCCTCACATCCTTCCTGACTCATCAGGGAAGGGAGCCTTCATTAGGTGAGAAGAGGGAAGGGCATTCTGGGTGGAAGAAAGGGCTGGAGGGTGAGTCTGAGGGACACAGATGGACTTTAGGGCACACACATAGGCCTTCCCCACTCAATCCCTCACAGACTTTCCTGCTGAAGTCTTCCTCGGGCCTGGGGCACAGAGATGACCTGCCCTAGGCCTGGGGGCTGCCAGTCAGGAGTGGGCAGAGGGGATGGAAAGAGATTGTGATGCAGTGGGCGGGCCATGCAGCCAAGGCAGGAGGGTAAGGAGTACAATTGCTGCAGACCTCAGAGGAGGTGCTGTGCCACCCGGCAGGGGGCACTGGCAAAGGTTTTCTGAAGGAGCAGGCAAAAGGGAGAAAGGGTATTCCAAGTGGAAGGCACAGCCAGTGCAAAGGCCTTAAGGTAGACAGAAATCTATGGACACAGTCATATTTCCCTGGAACAGGGAGATCCCTGTTGCTGGCCCTCAGCCTGGGTGGAGGGAAGATCTGTGAGAAGATCCTGACCTTCTTCAGCTCCAAGATGAAGTCATCTACCAGGGTCTTGACCTGGTGCGCTCGGGCTGAGAAGAGGATGACCTTCTCACTGGCCAGGTTGAACTCCAGCATGTTCTGGGAGGGCATGGTCACAAACAGGATATCTGCAAAGCTGGAGGATGGGCCGGTGGCATGACTCCCCTGCCAGAGGGATGCCCTCCTTCCACCTATTGTGCTGCTTCTGATCCTGTCCTGCCCCATTTGAAGCCCAGCCCCACCTTGGCCCCATTGTGCCAGCTCCCACAGAACCCTAAGCTTCCTGCTTCCCCTCTCTGACCCAGGCTGTGGCTTCAGCTCAGTTCCTACCACCCTTTGGGCTGACACTCCGGCCCCTCTCCACCCTTTGTCCCTTGGTCCAAGCTCTAAATCTAGATTTGCACCTACCCAAATCTCTCTTTCACCCATTGACCAAATTCTCTCCATCTTTCAAAGCATGCAGGTTTTACCTAACCAGTTAGCAAGGTTCCATTCCCATCCTCGTGTTAAAAAGGACAAAAGGGACTTCTAGCAGGGGAGGGAGTCTGAGTACTCAGTAAGGTGTCACTGCTGGCAGTGGTTCCCTCCCCAGCTGCATCAGGATTTGGTCATTTCCAGCACAGCTGCCCCTCTGCACAGTGCTGCTGCTGTGCAGGTTGGGGGGAGGGCAGGGGAGTGGGTGCCTAGCTCAATCCCTTCCTGGCTGTGTGACCTGAGACAAACAACTTCTCTCTCTGAGCCTCAGTTTCCCCAGCTCTAAAATGGGTTTGCTTCAATGGCTTGGCACAGAGCCTGGCGCATCATGGGTACTTGGTAAGTGGCTGTGGAGGGGAAGGAAATGCCGATGCCAGTCTGTATCCCAGTCTCCAGCCAGCCCCACTTCACCCCTGCTGGTCACCTGTATGCACGCAGGACCCGCAGCTGCCCGCCGGCCTCCTGGCCACCCTTGACCATCCTCAGGAGTTTGATGCCCACGTGGGACACAGCTAGGAGCTGCACACCAGTGCCCACGCTGCCCTGGGGCAGAGATGAAGGGCGTGTGAGGATCCTCTTGTCTCATCCCTGAATCCTCTGGACAGGTAGGGGGCAAGTGAGGGGCTCGCACCGTGGCGGGGAAGATGCGGGAGAAGTAGACCTCCCAGGTGTCTCGTGCAGTGCTGACCACGGCCCGCTTCACGCTTTCCGTTACCAGAGGCTTCTGTGTGTCCAGCTGGTTCTGGGCTATGGGAGGCCAGGTCTGGTCAGGACCCTCTCCCCACTCCCCTGGCAACCCCCATCTCGGGGATGTCAGGGAGGGAGGTGGCTGATACCCAGCAAGAAGGTATCTGACCAGTGTCTATACTAGAAAACTGAAACCCAGAAATGGATGAGATGGCCAGGACACACAGTGTGTCAGGCATTGCCAACCCCAAACATGCAGCCCGGCCATGCGAGAGGCCAGAGAAGCAGAGCAAGGAGGCACATGTCTGGGAGATGGTGGGCCTGGGCTTGTCAGCCTCAGTCTCCCTCTGGGACAGGGCTGGCTGTGCCTCTGACTGGTTGCCCCATCAGTACCCCTCCTCTCCCCCGAGATACCAAACAAGGCCTTCATCCTGAGCCTCTCATCCTCAGAGATGCGAAGGCAGGCCTCGGAGAGCGTGTCGTGCAGGATCTGTGGGAACAGGCTGTGATGCAGGCAGCACATGGGACTCCCCCAGCTGGGACCCAGGCTGGACTATACTAGGGTGAGTGGCAATGTGGGAGGGGTCCCATTTTGCAGCAGTGGGGTCATCTGTAAGCTGGGTCATCTGTGTAAATCAGATCCCACTTACAGGGCCCTCTCCTTTCTCCTCAGCCCCACAATCCAGGCCACCCTTCCTAGGCCACCGTTTCCTACTCTATATAGGGGGGTTTACAGGGTTTACATTTGATCTCTGGGCCATGTCTAGCTCAGACAGACTATGGCTCTGATTGGGTTGAACTGTGGGCTCACTGACCCTGCCCATGGGAGGGGGAGATTCAATAAAACAGCTGCCCATCCTCACCCCTGTCAAGGACCCCAAATCCCAACATGCAGAGGCAGGCTTTGCAGCTAGCTCATCTTTGCGTCCACACAGCCCTGCTGAGTTCACTGAGGCAGAAAGGGGAGACAGGACCTCACCTGCCGGAACAGGAGGTCAAGCTGCACAGGATGGCTGTAGCTGTCCTTGGGGTAAAACACCTGCAGGGGCGGGGCTTCAGTGGGTACTGTCCGACTGCCCCCTGGCCTTGCTTCACACCCGGCCCCGCCCCCTAAATGCAGTTCCGCCCCGGCTGTAACCCCACCCCTGGTTTCAGCCCGGCCTTTTTCTGTCCTCCTGGGCTCCCTCCCCAAGTCCTAGACCCTCCTCTGCTCGCTTCAGCCCCTCCCCTGCCCCGCTTCAGCCCCTCCCCTGGCTACGGCTGTGCTCGGCACCTCTTTGCGCAGGAAGATCTTCCAGGGGGCGTCCTGATAGCCGTAGAAGTTGGGATTGATGAGGCGGTGCAGCCGCGTCTGCGTGAGTTCCTCAGGGGGCTCCAGCGATCGCGAGGGCAGAGCTGGAGAGCGCGGGGATCAGGGAGTCAGGAGAAGGCACCTCGTTTTTTTATTTAATTAATATATATATATATTTTTGAGACGGAGTTTCGCTGTTGTCCCCCAGGCTAGAGTGCAGTGGCGCAATCTCGGCCCACTGCAAGCTCCGCCTCCTGGGTTCAAGCGATTCTCCTGCCTCAGCCTCCTGAGTAGCTGGGATTACAGGCGCCCGCCACGACGCCTGGCTAATTTTTTGTATGTTTAGTAGAGATGGGGTTTCGCCATGTTGGGCCGGCTAGTCTCAAATTCCTGACCTCAGGTGGTCCGCCCGCCTCGGCCTCCCAAAGTGCTGGGATTACAGGCATGAGCTACTGCGCCCGGCCACAGGCACCTCCTAGGATGAAATGGGAGAGGCAGGGCGGGTGGAGGAGGGGACCCAGGAGCAGTCCACGGAAACAGCTGCTCACAAGGGTCACATATGACCCAGCCTTTCATTCAACACATAAAAACACCTATTGGATGTGCCCACCACCACGCCCAGCTAATTTTTGTGTTTTTAGCAGAGAAGGGGTTTCACCATATTGGCCAGGATGGTCTTGATCTCTTGACCTTGTGATCCGCCCGCCTCGGACTCCCAAAGTGCTGGGATTACAGGCGTGAGCCACTACACCCAGCCAAAACACCTATTGTATACAGGCCTGGGCTAAAGGCTGAGATGGCCCCGCAAATAAGGTAAACAATGCCCCTGCCCTGGAGTTTAGTGCCCATGGCAGGTGTGGGTGGCACAGATCATTCAGAAACAAAGCTCTCACTGCCCGAGGCTGGGGTGGCAGTAAAGCAGGGTGGTTTAGGATGGATCCTGGAGAGCTGGTCTGTGAGGTCCTTCACTCCTAGCAATCTAGGCAGACCTTGCCGAGGTGACAGAGGTGACATTTGAGCTGTGACATGAATGGTGAGAAGGAGCCAGGCATGCAAAGGTCTTGGGGAAGAGCATTCTAGGCACAGGGAACATGCAAGGCAGGAGTGGGCTTGGAGTGTTCCGAGAACAGAGAGGAACAGAATGTGCCAAGGGGAGGAAGAGAGGAGATGAGGCTGGGGAGGTGGGCACATCATGTCGCGTCTCATAGGCCACGGTGAGGAGTTTGGAGCTTATTGTAGGAGCCATCAGAGGGTTTTTTATCAGGGGCAGGATGGGAACTGCTTTATAGCTGTTAAGATCACTGCAGCTGCTGAGAGACAAAGGGTGTAGAGGTTAGGGCTTCAACTGTGATGCCAGGAGGCCTGAGCTGATATCCCTGGTCTGACACTTTTGAGCTGTGTGACCTTAGGCAAGCCAGTTAACCTATCTGTGCCTCCATTTCCCCATCTGCAACATGTAGGAACAACAGTGCTACCTTGAAGGGTTCTGGTAGGATTACATGAGGCCAGGATGGGCCTGGCCTGAGATCTGTGCTACTTAAGTATTGACATTATAATTACACCAATGTGCTCACAAGATGTACACAGGGGCTCAGGGACATAGACACACACACTCCACCGACACACTCACCTGTGCCCACAGACTTCCTCATATACTTGGACACCCTCCCCTCCCTCCCTCCTGGCCCTCTCACCTGAAGTGGGTGCCATGGATGGCCTTGGTGCACTGGTCACCGGCTTCACCAGGGCCACGGCCTCTCTGGACACCTGTCCCACCCCAAAGAGACTGCTCAGGGGGCAACAGGCAGGCCCTGTGGAGGGGCAGTGGCAGGGCCACAGCTTATAGGGGTAGCTGGTTTCTGAGGATCCCTGAGGCCCCTCTTTGTCTTCTGTTCCACCTGGGCTCAGCCCCACCTTCCCCCCTCACCTGGGTGCCAGGTGCAGCTGCCAGGTGGGTCATCTGCCCTTTCAGGATCATCAGGGCCTCCTCATGAGGGTCTGGCCGCTTCATGAACACTTTCCCGCCATCCTTCCTGTGGGCATTGGAGTACTGTGGTGGGTTGACACTGAGTCTCCCTTTCCCATCACATAGTTTGACAGTAGGAAACTTCCTCCTCCTCCACCACCCCCTATCATTATAAATGAGAATCCAGGGAGAAGCAGAGACTGGCCTGAAGTCCTACAGCACAACCTAGACAACAGCAGGGCCTCATCTGGACTCATCAGTATAAAGAAACTCCCTCCCTAACAGGAGCTGGGCAGGGCGCTTCAACCCAGTAAGCTGGTGGGCCATGATGGACACTCAGGTACAGTGAGGGGGCTGGCGGGCTGGGGGCAGGGGCAGTGCTGACCTGAGGGCCTCAGGCCGGCCTCCCCGGAACGGCTGCTGGTACTGCCTGACAATATTCTTGATCTGCTGTGTGGGCTGTGGGAAGTGCTCAGAGTTGAGCGTAGAGTACCGGACCAGCTCTGGGGAGGGTGAAGCTGTGGGCAAGGGGCGCGGTGGGAACAGGGTGAGGCCACAAGGGGCACAACCACACCACCAGGCCTGTCCTGGGAAGCCCCAGAGGCTGGGATAGGGCACTCACTGGTTTCTGGAGAAGCCTGATCCTGAGCTAGAACAGGGGCAGCCACAGGCTTGATGGGGAGCCTTGGAGCCTTGGCCAGAGGGGCTGGGGCCAAGGGCTTTGGAGTGGCACGCAGGAGCACGGGTTTGGCAGGGGGACCGGTGCCTACAGACGTCGGCTGTGCCTCTGGTGCTGGGGGTTTCTGTGGAGAACAGGACGTGAGGGTGGGCTGCCTGGGATATACCAGGCTGCTCTCTGGGACTCCAGATCTCTGTCAGAGATGGGTTGTGGAGCTCCTGGGCTCAAAGAGGCACAATAGTGCCCTGGAGCAGCACAGCATTCCTCTTTACAGCTTGTGTCTCCAAGCAACCCCTGCACCCTGGGCAGGCCAGGCTCACCTCTGCGGGCAAGGATCTCAGGGCAGCACTCAGGGGCTGCTGCTGGAGTGCCGTGGCCTGCAGGGTCATCTCCCGGGCCTGGGGAGAGGTGGCAGTGGTGACCAGGCAGGTCCATTCTCCACCCCCCAGCAGTCCCTCCCTCACTCACCAGCAGCACGGCCTGTTTGTGGATGAAGGCTTGCTGCAGAGCCAATGTGGAGGCATCCAGGCCTGGGACTGAGGGGAGGGGGCAGAAGGCACAGATGGCACCGGAGATGCCCTCCTCCCTGTCCTCTCAGCCCCCATCATGCTGTGGCTGCCTCCATTCTAGCACACCAGCAAGTGGCTCTGGCCCTGCCCAACCCTGGAACCACCCTGGGGAGGCACTGACTTGGCTTTGGCTCTGGGGGTCTCCTGGGGGTGTCTTCAGTACCACTACTGCTGCCTCCACCGGGCTGGCCTCCCCCTTTCATGCGGTAGGCAATGGCTGTTGGCTTCTCCAGGTCCTGGGGGCAGTGGGTGGCTCAAGTGACCATCTCATTATTGTACTCCCAAGGTTCCATGGCAACAGGCACCTGACACTGGCCTCTTCCCCACCCTCTCGTGGGAGGGGGCAGCCTCCCACTGGCTCAGTGTCTGCTGTATGCTCAGCCTTTACCCCTATGGCATCCCAATCAGTCGTATCCATAACCATATGAGCTCCCAACCCATCCCCTCTTCCCCAGAGGAGTAAACTGAGGCTCAAGGAGGGGTTGTGCCCTGCTCAGGGCTGCATATCATGCCAGGGGCAGTGGGGGTGGGGTGGGTTCTGGAGTTTCCAGAGTGAGTAAGGGTACCTGAGGGGTCTCGTGAGATCTGGGGCTAGAAGACCCGGGGACCAAGGTCATTCAACTCCATCCAGATAGAGATATTTTAGTGGCCCCGGGGGGCTGGCTGCCACCAAAGGTGCACTTCTTCCCTTTCTTTTTTTTTTTTTTTTTTTTTGAGACAGGGTCTTGTTGTTGCCCAGGCTGGAGCACAGTGGTGCAATCACAGCTCACTGCAGCCTCAGACTCCTGGGCTCAAGTGATCCTCCCATCTCAGCCTCCTAAGTAGTTGGGACTACAGAGGCATGCCACCACACCTTGCTAGAGGTGCACTTCTAACTGTGGGTCCTTCCAGGATCAGCCAAGAGCATCTCTAGCTGTGAAGAGACCCTCATCCTTTGTCCAGCCTCCAGCAGACATCCAGATGGGACACACCACCCCATGACCCTGGCTGTGAGAAGCTCTCAGGTCACCCTGTACAAGTGTGTGACTTGGGTGTACATGCTGTGCCTGCTGTCTGCAAATGACCCACCCCACACCATCCCTACCGCATCCCCGTAGGACAGCACAGGGTCAAAGAGGCTATCCAGGTAGCAGTCCAGCCCCTTGTGGGGCACAGCAGGCTCTCCAAGACTGTCTGACTCTGGAGGGGAAGGCACAAAAATGTCAAGTTCTTTTTTCTTGATGATTTCCACCCCACACAGCCTCTAAGGCTCCCTCCCCACCAGAGACAGCAGCCATTGTTGGTTGACCTTGGTGGGTTGCTGTCCCTCTTTGGGCCTCAGTCTCCCCATTTGTACCGTCCTGATTGTGGCTGCTGTACCCATCAGAGTCAAGTACTTTGGGCATGTGCTCCTGGGGCTGGGGTCTAGTGGACATGTCCTCATCCGAGTCCCAGCTGTTCCCAAACACCCTGTGGAGAAAAGGAACATGGAGCTACTGACCCCCAGAGAGATCCCAGAATCCCCCAAATTTTCTTCTGCACCCTGGTATTCAGTGGCTTTCTCCATTTAAAAGCAGGATCCTTTGGTGAACTCTACCTCCTTAAGAACCTGAAGTCTAAGTTCAGGGCTCAGCCTGTCCCAGCAGCTGGGAGGGGCAGGCCTTCTGCCTGGGAGTGGCCGGCCTTCTGCCTGGGAGTGGCCATCTGTGAGGGGGTCCCCCATAGCTACCTACACTTTGGGGCCTCCCCTGCTGGCTGCAGGCCCCTCTGTGCCCACAATGAAGTAGGACTTCTGTCGAGGGAAGTCCCTGAGCAGCTCCAGGTCCGACACCAGGTCTAACACGTAGTCGTGGCCAGCCAGCTCTGCCCACTGGACACCATTCTTCATGGCCACGGTCCAGCCGCGCCAGCCATCTGCCAGCCCCCTGGTGATGGCATGCACAGGAATGGAAATGAGGGACAGAGTCATCAGGCACTACCTGGGGAGATCCTGGGTTATAAGCCAGACCCTAAACATGAACAGAATGGACCCTATGGGACCCTCTGGGGGATCTGACCTCCCCCCACAACATTCCAGGTACATAAGAGTGTGCTGGGAGGGCATCCTAGGAGCCAACCTGTGCCTCAGAATGTCTCCAGCCACCTCTTCCCCCGTACTCCAGGAGTGCACCGGGCAGGAGAACTGGTCACCTGGGGCGCAGCAGGTGCCGGGCTCAGGTTGGAGCATCTGAGTCCAGTTTGGCTGTGCCTCCCTGCTTGCTTCTTCCTTTCAGGCTTCCTGTATCTGTAGCCTCACTTCCCTGGCTCCCCTTTCCTGGGCCAGGTCCCACCCCCACACACAGACTTTCACGCAGAGCCACATCTGAGAAGGCCCCTCCCCAGCTCCAGAACATCCAGTGGCTTCTGCCATCCCCGGGGCTCACTGGGCCCTGCTGACTCCCACTGCCCTCACTGAGGTGGGGGAAGGCAGCTTACCATTGAAGCAGCCCACGTCCAGCGCCATGCTGGCCTTCTCATAGGTCGCTGTCCACTCGAGCTGGGTCGGGGGTAAGGTGCGGGCAGCCCCCGAGCCCTGCTGTTGGGCCCGGCCCATGGCCTGCATGAGGCGGTGCTGACACACAGCCTGGAAGCCATTCCGCCCATAATCAGACACAAACCTGATGGGTAGGAGTTGGAGCCAGGATCAAGAAGGATCTGAAGCTAGCTTGGGGCTGAGGGCTGCGGGGTGGGGGTAGGAAATTCTGAGGCTAGTCTGAGAAAGGCCCAGGCTACTCCAGAGCTCCAAGGTGAGGCTAAAAAGGCTCCAGGCTGGTTCACAAGGGTCCCAGGCTAGAGTCCAGTGCTCTGGGACTGCACTTAAGGGGTCCCAGGCTAGCCTACAAAAGATCTCAGGGTAGTTTAGAGTCCCACGGCTAAACTGAAAGGGTCCCAGGCTAGTCCAGAAGTATCTCAGGCCAGCCCAGAGGTCCAAGGATAGGCCAAAGAGGTACCAGCTTGTTGGAACAAAATGTCATTGACAGGCTGGGGTCTGCAGCTGGGTGTGGGCAACAACCAGAACTCTGTCTCCATTCTCTCACAGGGCAACCTTGGATGATTATCTGCCCTCTCTGAGCCTCTCCTCCAAGTTTTCACCTATAAAAGGGACAGCTGAGGGTTCAACTCAACCCAGGCCCAATGAGCCCAATCCCTACCAGCCATTCCTCATGCTTCCCTCACCCCCACATCCTACATCTCCTGCAGCTAAGCCTGGCCAAGAGCAGCACTGGTGCAGGCCCACAGTAGCTAGAGAGGGAACCTAGCACCATGCCCTCAGGAAAGCCCCAGGCAGGCAGACCAGCAACGGCCTTACCCTGCTGTCAGCTGCCACAGAGTCACAAGACTGGCCAGGTGATGTCCATTTGCTGCATGCTGGCCTAAGCAAGATTCTGTATACTCTAACTCACAGCCACCCTGTTAGGTGGGTTCTGTTGCCATCCCCAAATTATAGGGAAGAAACAGGTTCAGAGAGGGACAGTGACTTGTCTCAGGCCACACAGCAGGTAAGTATCAGAGCTGAGATTCACACCCAGGGCCTGCCTGAGCGATTTCCTTGCAAATCATCCTTCTCACCCAGCAGGGTGACATCATTGTGATGGTTATACCCACATAGCACCTACCATGTGCCCCTCTCTGTTCTAAGCACTTTACGTGTGTTTATATATTTTATCCACACAAGAGCCTATGAAGTAGGTATTATCATTATGCCATTTTTTTTTAACATCAGACAGGGTCTTGCTCTGTTGCCCAGGCTGAAGTGTAAGTGGCATGATCTTGGCTCACTGCATCCTCAACCTCCTGGGTTCAAGCAATGCTCTTGCCTCAACCTCTTGAGTAGCTGGGACTACATGCGTGTGCCACTATGCCTAGCTAATTTTTAAATTTTTTGCAGAGACAAGGTCTCAATACATTGTCCAGGCTGGTCTTCAACTCCTGGGCTCAAGCGATCCTCCCATCTTGGCCTCCCAAAGTGCTGGGATTACAGGCCTGAGCCACTGCGTCTGGTCTTGTGCTGATGTTTTAGCAAGGTTTGAGGGTGACACATCTCATGCCTGAGCATGAAAACTCAATCATCACACTTATAAACTATAAAAGAATAACCCCCATTTGATATGTAAGGAAACTAAAGCCCAGAGAGGTTAAGTAACTTACCCAAGGTCACACAGCTCATATATGGCTGAGCTGGGATTTGAACCCTGATTGTCTGAGTCCCGTATCCATGCTCCTAACCACCCCATTAAACTCTCATGCTGTGAGAGGTCAATGCTCTTTTCCAAATTCTCCACATGCTGGTCTTGTCCCACTCTGAGTTCTGGAAGTCCCTCATCCAGTCTGACCTAACTCCTAGCCCCTGCAGTGAAGGCCTGCCCTCCTTTCTTGCTCTGAGCCCAGTAGAAATGCAGAGCAGCCCTGGCCAGCCTCCATGCCTGAGCTTCCCAGCATAGAGATCTGACTCCTGGCCTGACCTTTAAGACCCTGCCTTGGGCTCCACTGCTGGTGCCACCGTCCCTCGTGTCCCAGCCCCTATCCAGTCCCACTCACTTGAGAAGGTACTTGTTGAAGCACGGGGAAGGTGCAAAGCCACTGAGGCAGGCGGCCAGCAGCAGCCAGCCCCGCTCAGCATTGTGGGCATTGTGATTGTGCCACACCTGATTGGCCAGCTGTGCCAGGATCTCATCCCGCAGCTCAGGCACCGCCAGCCCCTTCTGCACGATGTAGTTCCCGAAGATGTTCTCCCGGGCACCATGCAGGTGGGGGTCGCCCATGAAGCGCAGGATCTGGGCCACGAACAGAGTCTCCTGGGCATCTCAGAAAGTTGTTCCTTCCAGTCCCCACCCCACAACATGCATCCCTCTCATGTCCCTCCCATGTGTGCCCCTGCCCATATAAATGTCCCTTATATTACAATATAACTGCTATATATATAGAATATTTTTTTGAGATGGAGTCTCTGTCACCCAGACTGGAGTGCAGTGGTGGGATCTCAGCTCACTGCAGCCTCAACTTCCCCGGGCCTAAGTGATCCTCCCACCTCAGCCCCTCAGGTAGCTAGGATTACAGGCACATGCAGCCACACCCAGCTAATTTTTGTATTTTTAGTAGAGACAGCGTTTCACCATGTTGCCCAGGCTGGTCTCAAACTCCTGGACTCAAGGGATCTGCCTGCCTTGGCCTCCCAAAGTGCTGGGATTACAAGTGTGCGCCACCGTGCTTGGCCTACAACTGCCATATTCTATGCCGAATGACCAGGCAGTTTACCTCAACTATGGGAAAACTAAAGATCCAAAGTATGTGTCATCTTTCCTGTTCATGAACCTTCTAGAGCTCCCCATGCAGCCCTAGCCCCCTCCCTGCACCCCTGGCCCTCCAGCCAGCCCCCACCTCCTGCTCTATCTAGGCCGCAGAGGGTTCTTTTTAACATTCAGATATGACCACAACCCTCCCATGGAAGCACCTGCCTTGGCTCCCTAGGTGCCTTGGGATGAAATCTAAGCTCTGGGTACTGTAATCAAGGCCTCACTGGCCAGTCTCACCCTTGCCCTCTTGACTCTGTTCTGACCACACCAATTTCCTCTTCTCTGTGTACTTTCTCCACTCTCCCTGCCTGGCAAATTCCCCTCCAGCTCAAATGCCTTCTCCTCCAGGAAGCCCTCTCTGGCCCTGCCCAGGGCTGAATTAGTGGCCCCATCAGACTCCCCAGACTTGGTGCTTCCCTCTGTCCATACTGGTGGTCACTGGCTGGGTCAACTCTGCCTCCCCCTTCAGACTGAGAAGTCCTTAAGGAGATCTGGGTCTCTTCTTGGTGTCCTTGAGAGGCTCCAAGGCAGAATTTTTTTTTTTTTTTTTTTGCCAGGAAGATGGCTGGGAGAAGAAAAGCCACCAGTCCTCAGAGAGGAAGCCAGATTTCCCCCTCTGACATAAAAGTCTGTCCTTTGGGGAAGAGGTGTGGGGCTCATGGGTTGGGCTTGGGGAGGGCTGGGAAGACTGGGAGCCTCATGGCCCAGTTTCAGGGCCAGGGGCTAAGAATTAGAAGGTGGGCTGGGGCAGACCCCATACCAGCTTGAAGATGCTCACGGCTTCTGCATGGTGCTCGGCTGGCAGCTGCGTGAGGGGTGTCCTCAGGGGCACTGTCAGCATCCCAAAGGCAGGTTCCTAAGACACAGGGCAGGCACATGAGCAGACAGAGCTGGACTGACAGGCACATCTGGACCCACTGCTCTGTGCCACATGGGGCTCCAAGGCCTATGAGGCAGGGGCTTTGGTCCTCAGTGTATGGATGGGGAAACTGAGGCTGGTGAGGGGCCACCACAGTGGCCCTCAGCAAGTCGGTGGTAGGGACAGGATAAACCTTCATCTCAAGGGGAGGAAATCAGAGCTGGGCTGACATGCTATGGCTCCACCAGTTGTTCAATTTCTGAAATATTTCCAGACTGGTTGGTGGTAAACAGCCCTGCCCGAGCCCCTGAGGGCTCTCCACTGCTATCCAGACCTCAGGGATCTCCCAGATTCCCTATGATCCAGCAACTAAAAGGCTCATACCCAACACCACAGGGCACAGCCAGGAGCCTGCCCCAGGGCAAGGACAATGTCCATTCTAATTGGTCAGCGCCTATCAGCCAGGGAGCCTTGGACTTCAGCTAGCCCTTACCTTGAAGTGGCACTGGACAAACTTGGCCATAGGATAGTTGTTGATGTCCAGGGGCAGTGTGACACGGGGCTCAGCCTGGAGTCGAGGAGTCCTCACAGGGGCCACCTGAGGCACCTGGGCCAGCCCGAGGCCTGTGGAAAGAGGAGGGAATGCGGTGCCTGCTCTGATCTGCCTGGGCCCTCCCCCCGCCTGGTGCTGACCCACCTGCCACTGCTTGCAAGAGCCCAGCCAGCTCAGCCGGTACCTCCAGGTGCCCCACAGCGACTACCTCCCGCTTGCTCAGCTCCTAGAGGGACAGTGCATGGGACAGGGACAGGCCTGCCACATCCCCACCTGCCAGCCTCCCTCCTTGGCCCTGCTGCCACCCAGACCCACACCCACCTCCTGCTCCCACAGCAGCGCCCCCTCCACCTGGCACCTCCACTCTGCCCTCAGCTTCAGAAGAGAAGATGTCAGGTTGGGGAGTGGCAGGCAGAGGTGACGACCGGCACCCAGGCAGGCCAGGCCAGCTTACGCAAGGCGGCCACACTCAAGCAAGGGGGGCAGCTTGCCTGTTGTGTGGAGGTGACTGCCCCACTCCACAGGTGGGGCGGGAGGCTGAGGTTGGCCAGAGAAAAGGGGAGGGAAAAGGAGAGAGCAAGAGAGAAACAGAGGCAAGCGGAGGGAGAAAAACGCTGGGGAAAGAGACACACAAGGAGGATTTCTGGGAGGTGGCTGAGCACTGTGTCATGGGAAGCCCTCCTCTGTAGCGCCACCTTCAGTAAAGGCTACCTACTGCTTCATTGCTTTGGGAACTGCATTTGTCTTTCTGGTGGCTAGTTTGCATGACAGTGGGTCAAGACATGAAGGTAAGAGCAAAACCATACCCAGTGACATTCAGGTCACCAAATTCTAATGGCCCTCAATTCCCGAAGACCCCACTGTGAACCCAGCACCAGGCCAAATCCTTCAATGCAACATCTCATTTAACCCTCTCCACAATCCCAAGGGGTAGATGGGAAAATCGAGGATAGACAATGGCCAAAGTTAAAGAGCTAGTGGGTGGCAGAGGCAGAATTTGAACCCAAGACTGCCTGAGGCCAGTAGTCTCCTCTTGGGTGCTAAGTGCCCTTTCCCCTTCTCTGCTGTCCCCTTGGACCCAGATAGGGTAGGGCCTATACCTTGAGATAGCGTCGGCGGCTCACGTATGCGTGTACCAGGGACCGGAACTTCACCAGACTCCTCCTCATCTGCTGATAGCGTTGCCTGGGTTGGGGTAGTGGGGAGGTCAGGGATTGGGGCCACAGGGTGACAGGGTGACCAAAAGGTAGAGAGGCCCTTGCCAGCCTGGCCTGGGAGCCAGTGCCCACATCTCACTTTTGGGGTCCTTTGGCTCAAAGGGAAACTGGAGCTCAGAGAGGGGCAGTGACTTTGCCAAGGTCACACAGCATATTAAGTAGCAAGGCCTGGATTAAACCTGCCTGAATAATTTATTTCCCAACAGCTTATAATCTCAGGTCCCTGAAATGCAGGGTAAGGCCCCTCTTGGCTGAATGGATTCCCACCCACCAGTCACAAGGGCCTGGGGTTGGCTGGGAAGGGCATTCAAAAGCAGAGACACAGAGAATCTGATCATTCTCCTGCAGAGGCCTCCACCCTCAGCTTGCATGCCTCCAGGGATAGGGAGCTCACCACCTAAGTTCAGGCGTGACCTCTCCCGAGCCTGACCATAGGTCTCCTAGGAATCCTGCCTTTTCTGTGCCTCACCTGGCAAGGTAGCCACGGGCCCGGCTTTGCAGCAGGATGATCTTGTGGCGCAGAGAGCGGAATCGCCGCTTAATGAAGAAGCCACGGAGGCAGCGCTGCAGAGTGAGGGCTGCCAGATTCAGGACATGCTCTCGCATACTCTCCAGCAGCTGGTATAGGTGTTCCTTAAGGAACAGCTAAGGACAGGAGGAAGGCACTGAGGCAGATAGGAGCCAGGAGGCTGGACTAAGGGCCCCTCCCTCTCTAGAAGTCCGTGGAGACAGAATAGGCAGGGCAGCCTCCTGGAGCGGGGCTGGAGGGATGGGGTGGACTTGGAGAGGTTGAAGAGAGGATGCTGGTGAATCAGGTAGTTAGCATTCCATATCCCAAGCTCATCTGGGTTGCTCCTGGGATGGCAGTCTCTAGCTTGGACATTTCTGACTCAGTAGTTGTGGACCCCCCCAAACTTGGGGTCTCCAAGGGCTGACTGTCGGGCAGGACTCACCTTGCTGACCCCAACACGGTACATGTTTGGCATGACTTTGCACAGGCGACTCAGCACTGACACACACATGTCCCCATTAGCCGGCAGGTCATGCTTGAGGGCCACTAGACAGCAGTACCTGGTAGGGGGCCCAAAGTTAGTCTGGGGCTATGAGACCTACCCGAGGTGTCTGCTAGACCATGGGGTTACTGCCCCCAGCCAGGTGTCCAAAAAGCCTGGTCCCAGTGGTGGCTCCACAAATAGTTTATTCTAATCTGAAAAAAGGCACTCCATCCTCAAGACTCTTTACTTCTGGGTGTCAGACAATTGTTATAATAGATGATTTCAGTACAACAGGACACTTGACTGCCACCTGCTGGAAACTTGTCATTATAACTACTAAAACCATTCTAATAACGCGGAGCGTTGATTAGACATATTATACGTTATACAACATATAACTACAAAAAAAGGCAAAACAATAAATGTATCTACCACATTAACAGTTAGCATGTGGTAGCCTTGTGAAGTGTACAACCTGAGCAACTGTGCATGGCAAGCCCTGTACTGCCTGGGTTGTGTATTCCTGGGGCCATGGGGAGTTGGGCAGGGATTTGTAGAGCTCAGGAACTACCGTAACCAAGATACCTGTCGATGAACCCCTGGAAAGGCAGGCGCACTGGAAATCCCTCCTTGCGGATCCTCACGGTCTCCAGCACCCCTGAATAGCGTAATTGTGCCATTACCACATCTGGCTCAAAGAGACCTGGCTCCTGTAGGGATGCCCAGAGAGGGAGTCTGCACATTGGCTCAGCCATGTGCAAAAGGCATTATCATGGTGAATATTCCCAGTGCTAGGCTGGGCAGATGCAGGTCCTGAGAGGCCAAGCCACTTGCCCAAGGTCACACAGCATGGGCAGGAGGATTTGGCTCTCTCAGAGGCCTCAGCTCTCACTCACCTTCTTGTGGTTGGGCTTCAGGCAACGCATGAACAAGGGGTTGCACCTGGCAGTGGCAGGAAGAGGACAGCATGAGGCCTCAGAAAAAGAAGGCGCTCAACCTCTGAGGGTCATGAGGTGGGTTAAGGATGAGGCTGGGTGCTCCGCCCACCTGCCCCCCACCCCACCTCTCCATCTTTTCCACCAGATCCAGGAGTGACTGCTGGAACTTGGCGGCCACAGTGTGCGCCTTGTAGAGCCGAGTGACGGAGCTGCTCTTGCCCAGGCGCTGAGGGGCAGCCTGTGGGGCATGGCTGGAGAAGAGGTGTGCCACCACCTGGGCAGGGGTCGGGGCAGGGAAAACAGACAGGCAGGGTCCGGGAGACCGAAATGAGGAGGAAGAGAGAGCAGGAGTAAATCTCCGGACCAGGGGGATCTGAAGACTAACTGGACCCCTGTTCTCTCTGCAAGGCCTCTGTCATCCTGGCTTGCATGCTTCTCAAAACAGGTGGGGCTCAGCATCTTCCAAGGGATCCATCCCATAACTGGCTTTTTCCCCTTCAGTCTAAGGAACACACAGTTACTGACTGTGTGCCTGGCCCCAGGGTGGCCTGTTAGATACATGGTTGTGAACTCTGGCTATGACCTCATGAGGAGGTTGCCCAGTTGACAGGAGGAAGCGGAGGGCCAGATAGGGGAGGTGATGTTACCAGGCCTGTGCTCTGTCATAGGGCCATCTGCTGGCCGTAGTGTAGCTGGGATGCAGGGCCTCCCCAAGCCTTCAAGGAACCCAAAGTTGGTCCCCCAAGCTCTTCCCCGGGGCCTTATGGGTGGGGTGGGAGAAACTGAGAACACCAGGAGGTGGGACTGGGGGAACAGGTCTGGCAAGAAGCCAGGAAAGAATGGGCCAGGGAATGGGGTGGGGCCCAGAGTGGGGTAAGTACAGGGCAAGGCCACAGCTGGTGGGGTACAGGGTTAGAACTGGGAGCGGGGCCAGAGTCTAGCCACTGGGGCTGTGGGGAGCCAGAGGACAGGATCAGGATGAGGCGCTAGGTTTAGGGCGGAGCCAAGCTAGGTGGGAACAGGCCAGGAACAGGGTGTCCAGGCCACCCTTGTCTTTGTCTGGCCAAAGCTAAGCGGAGCCAGGACGTGGCAACACGGTCCCAGGCCTGAAGGCAGGCTGGGTGTGGGGGTGGGGACATGCCTGGGGGCAGGGCCAGAGCGGTGGGAGGCGAGGCTTACCCGTGTCCGGCTCCGTACGAACAGGTCCAGCACATCCTGGCGCACTTGGTCGTGGTTCTTGTCCAGGAACTTGTGCACCTGAAAAGGGGAACAATGGCCTGGGTAATCCTGGCCTCTGTCTCTCTGTCTATCCTAGGAGGGACTGGATCCTCCTCACTTCTATGGTCCCCACCCCTCCAGCCCCCACCATTCTCCCTACTCCTGGGGGAGGGGAGCATTCGCCATGGCTTCTCATGACCAACCTGGGTCTTGGCCTCACCCTCAGTGAAGGACATTGTCCTGTGCCCATTCTACAGATGAGAAAAGTAAGGCCCGGATGGGGACAGAGGCATGGAATCCTAGCCTGAGACACCTCCAGGGCAGGAATGTGCCTCAGATAATAGTGATGAGGGTGACCATAGTGATGTCACTATTGATGAGCTACTCTTTATCAAACCCACCCTACATTTTTCACACCTGCCCCATGAGTTGGGCACTATTATTACCCCATTTTCCAAGTGAGAGAACTGAGGCTCAGACTGGCTAAGCAATTTGCTCAAGGTCACAGAGCTGGGGCACAGCAGAGCCAGAATTGGACCTGGCTGTGAATGTCTGGGGCCAGTGTTGTGCTTCTGTGTCTCCAACAGCTAGCAGCACTGCAGCACCAGCGTCCAGGCCGACTGTCTTAGGGCTCACCTGGTAGGTGACCTTGCCTGCATAGTGCTTGATGGTGAACTCAGGCAGCGGCATCTTGGGTTTGGAATAGAGCGGGTTGGCGCCATGATGGTAGTGGCACTTCTGTAGGAAGGTGTGGTCTGTAGCCTGGGGGCAATTTAGGGATCAGTGGGTGGGCAGGAGGCCTGGACACCCTGTTCCTGGCCTGGTGGCAACCTCACTATCCCCGACTGCTCCCAACTGAGCACCAGAGAGGAACAACTCACAGCTTCCCATGGCTGCCCATCTCCCTGGGTCAGAAGGCGAGTGCCTTAGCTAGGCACTGGAGGCCTGAGTGGTCCCTTGAAGATAGGTGTAGCTGGGTGAGCTCCTAACTGCCTCCCCTCCAGGCCAACTGCCTTTGCACTCTATTGATCTCACTGCCATTCCACCCTTGTGTTTTGCAATCAGGATTTGAGGCCCAATTCCAAGGTTACCTACTCCAGGAAACCTTCTGTGGCTTTCCAGACTGGTGTAGCCTCTCTTCTGAACACCCACAGCGGCCCATCTGGCCTCAATCACCCCAGGTTGTGAATAGTAGGTCGGGTGTCCCAACCCCCCACTGCCTGACTCAGGCCAGAGCAGAGAGGAATGAAGGAGTCAGGGTGGGATGAGGACATGAGGCTGAGAGATCTGTGACCTGACTAGGCTCACACAGTGCCTGCGGCTCACCTGGGGAAAGCAACACTGGTCGTCAAGGATCCGCAGGATGCCATAAGGCTTCAGTGAGATGAGGTTGATGCAGGGCTGGTTGTCAGCAAAGGTGATCTCCTGCCAGTCTATCTGCTCACGGATGTACTCCTCCTGCAGGCAGTGGGCAGCAGGAGCTCAACCTCCCATCCCTGTCCAGGGCCCACCCACCCTCCCTCCCATGTTGAATCTGAAGGAGCCTGGCCAGCAGCACCTCTGCTTGCATACCTCCCAGAACAGGGAGCTCACCCCCTAATAAGGCAGCATGAGCCAACTCAGGGTCCTGCTGCTCCCTCTGCCTGGGACAGCCCAGTAGAGGAGAAGAAGGACCCCCACCAAGGGGACTCCTCTCTGAGCACAGCACCTCAGCACCTTTCCCTCCAGAACAGAGGCCTTCCCATGGGCTGGTCCCCAGCTTAGAATGCCTTTCCCTCTACTGTCTACTGATGTCAGAATTGCCCTTAAACAACCAGTATATCCTCATCTGTCTCCAAGGAGGTCCACTGGCCAGTCAAGACAGGGACAGGAGTATTAATGGGGCCCACACACCTGCTCCTCCTGGAAGACGATCTTGTTGAAAAGGTACTGAAGGTTCTCGTTTGCGTAGTTAATACACAGCTGCTCAAAGCTGTTGAAGCTCAGGTCCTGCCAGGTGGATGGGGGTGCTGGGACTGGTCCTTCCTTGGCCACCAGCCTGTTTGCCCCTACCTTCCCTGGTGGCAACTTCAAAAAGCTGGAGCTCAGCCACAGGCCCTCAGCTCACAACCCTCCACAGCTCCTGCTGCACCCAGGACAGAATCTGACAGGCTCTGTCCTGACAGCACAGGCAGTGCCTGAAGGCCAAGGCTCTGGGGCCTTCTGCCTGGGTTCAAATGCTGGCTCTGCCATTTTCTAGCTACATAACCTTGAATAACAGCCCCATGCCTCAGTTTCCCCATCTGTAAAATGAGGATACTGACAGTACCTGCCTCATAGGGTTGCTGTAAGGATGAAGTGAATTAACAAAGTGCTTTAAACAGCACCTGGCACATAACAGGTGCCACGTGAGTGCCTGTGATGGCTGCATGGTGATCTTGCCCTGTCCCTCACCACTTCCTTTGCTGTGCACTCACAAAACAGTCACCCCCCAACACACGAAGTCCAGTCCCAGACCTCATGACCCGCCACCCCTCCCAGCCCTTGCATATTCTGTTCCCTGCACCTACAGTGCCTTTGCTGGGTCTCAGGAGTGTCTCATCCTCATCCAGGAAGCCTTCCCCACCCAGCCTCACCTGGAAGCTCCCCAAGGGCAGGGCCCTGGCTGGTCCTTTCTGGGCAGCTGGTATTGCCCAGCACAGGGCCTGGCCCAGAGGCCTTGGGAGTACTTGTGGTGAGTAAAGAAAATGGAAGGAGACAAGGGAGATGGTGACAGGGAGGGGTCCATGAAGGGAGGATGGCACCTGCTGCAGGCACAGAAAGGGATGGGAAGGGCAGCCCGAGACGCCTGAGGGAGGCGAGACCTTGCCTATGTCCCCCGCCCCTCAGCCTCCTACACGGCCCCACCTCGAAACCATAGATGTCCAGGATGGCGATGGACAGTGTGTCCTGCCTTGGGGACACCAGCGCGTTGACCCTGGTGATGAGCCAGCTGAACAGCAGTGCATACAAGACCTTGGCGATGGCGTCCCTGGAGCAGAGGTGGTGCTGGTGTGAGCAGGACACCGTGGTGGGGTGCTGGGCCTCGGGGCTCAGGCAGGGGAGGGCGTGGCCTCACCTGGCATCCACAGCGCTCTCCACAGTTAGGGGCGTGAAGATCTTCTCTCGCATTGTCTCCTAGGGACGGGCACAGCCCTTGAGTGACATCAGGCTGGCCACTCTGCCTCCGGAAAGCCCCCAGGGGACTAAGGGAGTGGGATCATGGAGAAGGGAGGCTGGAGGGATGTTGTGACTGTGCACACAGAGACTAGGCAGGACCACCCCTGCCCCCACTCTGACTCTGCCTGGAAATGCTGGTAGTAGTGGGGACTGCAGGTCTAATGGGGGAGACAGAGGCATCAGCAGATACAATGAGATCAACCCTGGGAAGGGAGAATGGGCCTAGGACTGTGAAAGACCAGAGGAGGCACTGACCCGTCCAAAGATTAGGGAAGGCTTCTTAGAGGAGGGGATACCTGGATAGGGTCTTAAAGGATGAGTAGGTGTGAAAAGAGGAAGAGCATTCCGGGTAGAGGAAACAGCCTATGCAACAGTCTGAGACTGGAATCTGAAATGTCTCTGGGGTCTGAAATTACTCCCCTCCATGCCTGACCCAGGGACAGAGAGAGCAGGAGAGAGGGAGAGGCTGCCCACAAAGGATCGGCACAAGCAGCTCTGTCCAGGCCCTGGTAGAAAGCTTTGTTCGAAGGCCAGATGCCCACAGACTCACGGTCACTTTGAAGGTGATGGCCTTCTGCAGGCCCTCAGGGGAGATCTGCAGCAGCTCTGCCACGGCCTGGATCTCTCGGGCACTCACCACTGAGGCCACCTCCTGTGCATCCGTCTATGCAAAATACCAACAGGAATGTGCTTTGAACTAGATAGGCTAAATTTAAAGTTCATATGAAAAACAGGGCCGGGCACTGTGGCTCATGCCAGTAGTCCCAGCACTTTGGGAGGCTGAGGCGGGTGGATCACCTGAGGCCAGGAGTTCGAGACCAACCTGACCAACATGGAGAAACCCCGTCTCTACTAAAAATACAAAATTAGCCAGGTGTGGTGGCGTATGCCTGTAATCCCAGCTACTCAGGAGGCTGAGGCAGGAGAATTGCTTGAACCCGGGAGGTGGAGGTTGTGGCGAGCCGAAACCGTGCCATTGCACTCCAGCCTGGGCAACAAGAGCGAAACTCCATCTCAAAAAACTTAAAAAAACAAAAATAGCCACGCGTGGTGGCGGGTGCCTGTAATCCCAGCTACTTGGGAGGCTGAGGCAGGAGAATCGTTTGAACCCAGGAGGCGGAGGTTGCAGTGAGCTGAGATCGCACCATTACACTCCAGCCTGGGCGACAAGAGTGAAACTCCGTCTCGAAAAAATAAAAAACAGAAACAGGCTGGGCACGGTGGCTCATGTCTGTAATCCCAGCACTTTGGGAGGCTGAGGTGGGAGGATCGAATGAGGCAGGGAGTTCAAGACCAGCCTGGCAACATAGTGAGACCCTGTCTAAAAAATGTGCTGGGCATGGGACCTAGACCTGTAGTCCCAGCTACTCAGGAGCTGAGGCAGGAGGATTGCTTGGGCCTAGGAGGTTGAGGCTGCAGTGAGCTATGAAAGTGCCACTGTACTCCAGCCTGAGCCATAAAGTGAGACCCTGTCTCAAAAAATAAAAAGAAAAAAAAGCCGATTAAAAGAAAAAAACCAGTGTAGTCATAGACACAGTACATAAATAGATTAACAAAGCACAATAGAACGTCTGGAATTAGACATAAATGTATATATAAACTTAGCACATGACAAAGATGTATTTTTCTTTCTTTTTTAAAAATAATTTTTTTTTGTAGAGATGAGGTCTTGCTATGTTGCCTAGGCTGGTCTCCAGCTCCTGGGCTCGAGCAATCCACCTGCCTTGGCCTCCCAAAATGTTGGGATTACAGGCATGAGCCACCATACCCAGCTAATAAAGATGTATTTTTCAAATCAAGAGATTAGGACAATTGAGTAACCACCTGGGAAAAAAGTTGGATTCCTACGTCACACCTTACTGGGATAAATTTGGATGGATCAAAGATTTAAGTGTTTTTTAAAACTCACAAAATCCATAAAAGGTCTTAGAAAAAGTTATGGAAGAAGGCTGTTACAATTTTAGGAAGTTTCTCCAAAAATGAAAAAGTTTAAAATTTCAAATATAAAATTTAAATGTACTAGAAAATATTGATAAATGAACTATCTAAAAATAATTTTAAAACAATTTGCATAAAAAACCCAACAGGCCGGGGCACGGTGGCTCACGGCTATAATCCCAGCACTTTGGGAGGCCGAGGTGGGCGGATCACGAGGTCAAGAGAGCGAGACCATCCTGGCCAACATGATGAAACCCCATCTCTACTAAAAATACAAAAATTAGCTGGATGTGGTGGCACACACCTGTAGTCCCAGCTACTCAGGAGGTTGAGGCAGGGGAATCGCTTGAACCTGGGAGGCAGAGGTTGCAATGAGCCGAGATTGCGCCACTGCACTCCAGCCTGGCGACAGGGCGAGACTCCATCTCAAAGAAAAAATAAATAAATAAAAATAAAATAAAATAAAATAAACACCAAAGGGCTGGGCGCGGTGGCTCATGCCTATAATCCCAGCATTTTGGGAGGCCGAGGCCGGTGGATCATTTGAGGTCAGGAGTTCAAGACCAGCCTGGCCAACATGGTGAAACCCCGTCTCTACTAAAAATACAAAAATTAGTGGGGCGGTAGTGGTGTGTGCCTGTAATCCCAGGCAGTCGGGAGGCTGAGGCAGGAGAATCACTTGAGCCTGGGAGGCGGTGGTTGCAGTGAGCCAACAGGAGTGAGCCAAGACTGCGCCATTGCACTCCAGCCTGGGTGACAGAGTGAGACCCCTCCCCGCCAATAAAAACCCACCAAAAAACATTGTAAACAAAGTTAAAACATAAATGACAAACTGGAATATATATTTGCAATTCATATCAGACACAAAGGGCTGATTTCCTTAATATATATAAGGAGGAAAAAGATGAACAACCCCAAAGGAAAAAAGAAAAAAACAGGAACAAGTGATATGTGCATAGTGTAATCTGAAAGGGAAACAGAGAAGGCCTTGGAAAAGACGGCCAAGTCCAGAGGGTGCGGGCCCCATGGCAGGCTGTGGCGTCCCCTCACCTCATACTTCTCAAAGTAGACGTTGCCCAGGTGCAGGATGGAGGCCAGGATGCGGAAGATGCTGTCCTGGTCCTCACTGCTGAAGCCCAACACCTCCATGGCAGCCAGGAGCCGGCGAAAGTCATCTGCATCGCTCTTTCCTGCTATCTCACAGTTCCCACCCTGCATGAGGGCAGAGGCTGAGGGTCAGGGAGCTTGGGTGGGGCTGGGGAGCCCTCCAGGTCCTGCTCTGCCCTGACCAGTAGTGTGGTGGCCTGAGTTGGTCACTCAAGCTGTCATTTCACTCTCATGGGCACGGAGGCTCTGAGCACGGCTGAGGACGGAGTTCATAGATTCTAAGTGCAATGTGTGGCAGGGGTTGTCACCTGTTGACCTTTGCAGCTGCCCAGTGATAGTAATGAAAAGAGTAGCAAGTGTTTACTGAGCATGTACTGCATGCCAGGCCCTGTGCTAAGCTCTTTACATGCGTTTCCTCATCTAAGCCTCACTACATCCCTGCAAAGTGGTACTATGTTGTCCCCATTTTACAGGTGAGGAAACTGAGGCACAGAGAGGGGAAGTGTAGAAACTCTAGACTGGTTGGTTCTGTTCCAGGTTCCAGAGAAATGAAGTCAGGTAGGCCTTTCCTGCTTCCGCTTTGGACCCAGAAGACTCCTGGTCCCCCTCACTGCCATGAGATGTCTTAAATCCAAACTCACCCTCCCCAAATCTCCTTCACCTTCACACTCCATCACTCACAACTCGGCTCCCAAGGCCCAGCCAGGGGCGTCGGGGTGGGAGGACCAGGGCCAGGGGCCTTCAGATGCCTGCTGGCACTCACCTGGTTCAGATAGTAGTAGGTCTCAGCCTCTTGCAGGCTAAAGGCCTGCCTGAGCTGGGCAGGCAACCCGGCCAGCAACTCGTAGAAGATGTGGTAATTCCTCTCGTTTTTGGCCTGTAGAGTGGGTAGGTGGGCACAGAGAAGGGAGCCACCTACCTAGGTGACCCCCAGGCACACATACAAGCCCAAGCCTGCCCACAAGTGCACATGCACACAGTGGGCTGCAGATGAGAACACGCGCCTCTGTGATGGGTGAGGCTCCCAGCCTGGTGCCAGCTGCGGGTGAGGGCAGAAGCAGAGGTGCCCTGGTATGATTGAAGTTTGAGAGGGTTCTGGTGGGATTTTATTTGGTTAGGAGAAATAAGAGAAAAGGGACCCGTCTTCTCTTATGTGTACCGGCCACACACACCTGCATACATGTGTGTCCATAGCCCACATGTGCACACACAGAGCTTCTTGATGGCTGAGCACTTCCTGTGCACCAAGCCCTGTCCTAGGCCCTTGGGACATAGTGGGGAACAACGTAGAGAGAAGCCCCTGACCTGATGGAGCCCACCTGCTAGCTAGGGAGACAGACACTCAGCAAATAACTGCTTAAAACATAAAATATATGAGACAGGGAAAAGTACACTGGAGAGAAATAAAGCAGTGGACGGGGTAGGGGCTCTGATGGGATGGAGAGGGGCTGCGTTTTTAAATGGGGAGCTTCCTGAGTGGGTGAAATTGTAGGGGAGACTTGGAGGAGGTGAGGGGTTTGGCCAAGCAGGTGCCTGAAGGATAAGTGCTCCTGAGGGAAGGAACAGAAGGTGCAAAGGCCCTGGCAGGAGCGTGCCTGTGTGCTGCGGGGCAGGGAGGAGCCACCGTGGCTGGAGGAGGGTCGGGGAGGGGAGGTCCTGGGCTCACATGTACACATGTACGCATGTATTCGTTCATTAATTTGACGTCTACCTAGCCCTACCAGGGGCCAGGCTCTGAGTATCTGTACCTCCCACCCCGACCCTGCCCAACACAGAGGCCTGGGAGGGGGTGGCCCACCTGAAACACGATCCTGGATTTCTCAAGCAGGTACTGGGAGGTTATGGCACCAGAGATCACGCCCCTGGGGTGGGGAGCACAGTCAGCTCTCAGTGAGGGTAGGAGGGCTGGTGTTGGCTCCGAGGGGCTGTGGCAGGACATGGAAGACACTGCAAGGCTTTTGGGAGGCCCTCCACTGTCCCAACTCACCCTTCCAGAAAGATTTCCACAAACTTCCCAAAGCGGCTGGAGTTGTCGTTCCTGACGGTTTTGGCATTACCGAAGGACTCCAAGAGGGGTGTTGCCTCCAGGATCTGGACTCCAGAAGGAGATGTGGGAATTGAGGGGCTAGGCACTGTTCTGGGGGCCTGGGTGGGGGGCATAGCTGGGGACACCCAGACATGAGCCTTCCCAAGGACCTCCCTTTATGAGAGATGACCAGAGGTGGGCTCCCTAGAGAATCCTGAGGTCTCTCCAGTGCCCCCCAGTGTTTCCCACCCCATGCTGCCCAACTCCCACACAGCAAGCCCCATGCTTCCCCATTCCAGCCTCCATGGCCCCCCACAGCAGCCCCTGACCACAAGCCCCAGCCCTGCCTAGGACAGGCCTTTGGATGTCCTTTCCTGCCTGTCCCTCCACCCACACAGGAGCAGGCACATCCACACGCATTTTCCTGGACAGACACACACACACACACACACACACACACACACACACACACACACACACACACACTGAGTACCTTTATCTTCAAGAGCGTCCAGGAGGGAGGACAAAGAGACAGACAAGAACAGAATGGAGTCACTAGCAGGACCGACCACCACTCTCTCCAGGAGACTAGGAGCCTCAGACCAGGGAGGGACTAGTAAAAACCTGTGAGGCTCAGAGACCCCAGGGGTCCAGGCTTGGGGACTGCCATGGGGTCTCCAAGGTATGAAAATATGCTGAGTTTGCCTTCCAAACAGCTCTGGGGATGTCCTCTTCTCCCCACCCCCATGGCTACCACCAGCCAAGGATCCTCCCTGGCCTTCCTCACTGTTCCCTGACACCCAGGCCCACTCCTGCCTCTGACCATTGGCATCTCCTGTTCCCTCTGCTTGGAAGTCACTGCTCCCACGCACCTGCATGCCCCACCCCCCAACCCCTTACCTCTCACAGGAAGGCCACCAGAATTCTCTCTCCAGTAGCCCTCAGCCCCATTGGCAAACTCTCTATTTTCTTGGGTATTATTGTCTGTCTCCCCACTAGAATGTCAAATCCTACAGGCACGGATCTACTGTTTGCACATCTCTGAGTCCCCAGCGTCTACACAGACCTGGTGCTTAATAGGCTCTCAAAAATATCTGCTAAAGGGATGGAAAAAGGAATAGCATCGGCTGGGCATGGTGGCTCACGCCTGTAATTTCAGGAGTTTGGGAGGCCGAGGTGGGCAGATCACGAGGCCCGGAGATCCAGACTATCCTGACCAACATGGTGAAACACTGTCTGTACTAAAAATACAAAAAATTAGCCGGGCGTGGTCGTGGGCGCCTGTAGTCCCAGCTACTTGGGAGGCTGAGGCAGGAGAACTGCTTGAACCTGGGAGGCAGACATTGCAGTGAGCCAAGATGGCACCACTGCACTCCAGCCTGGTGACAGAGTGAGACTGTCTAAAAAAAAACAAAAACAAAAACAAAAAACAAAAGGAATACCATCTCACGGGCAGAGCTGCCCAGGGGTGACCATGGCTGATCACAAGCTCCCACCTATTTAAGCACCTACTGTGTGCCAGACACATTGCCCTGATAATGCCGTTGTTAACAATCCCATGAGGTAGGTACTAATATCACCCCTGTTTTGCAGATTAGGAAACTGAAGCTTAGAGAGGTGAAATGACATGCCCAGGGACTCCAGAGTCCACTCGAGTGATGAGCATGGGCCTAGTGTGTACGTGGCACTTTCTTCAGCTGAGGCACTTCCTCAGGATAATCTTTTAGGGAAGAAGCAAAGGAGGTCCAGTCACCACAGAAACAATACCTGTAATTTTGGGGATGGGGCCAGTTCCCTCCATCTGTCCCATTTAGTCCAGGAAATACTGCACCCATTGCATAAAGGAGTAAACTGAGGTCCAGAGAGGGATGGGGCTGGCCTGTGATTGCTCAATAAGTCAAGGTCTGCCTGGGCTTTCCTGTGTACTATCCCTTAGTCTGGGAAGCCCTTGAGGACAGGTTGGCTGCTTCTCTGTTCCCGGTGCCCAGCATACAGCAGGGCATAAAGCCAGCGGATGGAGTGGGTAAACACCAGAAGGGTGGAACCTGTGGTCCAGGCCTTAGCCAGTCAGGGCAGAGCATTCCCTGTGCTACGTGGTTGGCTCCAGTGAGGACATATGACCAAAACTTGCCCAGTGAGACGGAGCTCTGAATGTTTCATTTCTGAAATGTTGGGAGGGTTGATCATTATGGTGCCAGCTTGCTGACCAATAGGAGACAGATTGAGGATGATGCCTATACATGGGGGAGGGTGGAGCCAAGACAAGAAACATTGTTTAAGATTCTGGATCCAGCCATGCCTAAAACTGAACTGGACTGTTTGATTATCTGAGGAGGGAAGAGCCATGTCTAGGAAAGGAGCCCCATGGTCATCACAGCTGGCAGGCACATCCTCACACATTCTGTGTGCCTGGCACACACAAACTCCCAGACTCAGCCACATCCACAGCTCCATCCGTCCTCCCTGACAGCTCTCTGCCATGGACTGCAAATCTCAGCTCCTGCACCACCTCACTCCTCCCTTCTTAGGCCTCAGTGTTCCCATCTATAAATGGATACAAGTGTACCTACCTCCCAGGGTTGCCGTAAAGCTCCGGTGTGACGATAACTGAAGGAACCCAGCACTGTGCCTGGCCACAGGAGGTGCACGAGGTACACTTACTTCTTTCCCTGCCTACCTACCTAGTCATTCCACAAGTCTGACCTGAAAGGTTTTGAAAACTCTGGAGCAAGGGATGATCTGTTTGGTCATCAGGAGGCCTGGGCTGGGATGGGAGACCCTGGCAGGCCAAGGCAGGCATCAGAGGGGGCCAGGCCAGGCTGGAACCTGACTGCAAAGCCTGAGCAGCCTCCACCTACGCCCCCAGGATCACCTTGCTGGGCTCGCCCCTGGCTAGGACATTGTGCCATGTGCAAACCTTTGTGGGCCCCAGGGTTGGGGAAGTCTGGGTCTGTGGTTCTGGAGTCTGAGCTGGCAGGCCAGTCCCACCTTCTCCTGAGCTCCAGGCTGGTGGTGCATCCATCACCTCCCTGCCATCTCTGTGTAGATGCCTAGCAGACACCTCTTCTCAACAAACCTGCTCCTCCTCCACTGCCCAGCCTGCCTCCATGCTGCCTGTGGCTCAGACCGAATGTCTGGGGTCACCCTCCGACAGTTCTCCCTCTCACACCCCAGTCTGTCTTCTCTGTAGGTTGCTGGCTGGCTTTGACCTGCACCTGGACCCAATCTGCTTGCACCTCAAAGTGCAGGCGCTCCTCCCTCTGCCTCTTCACTGTTCCCCTAGACTTTCCTAGAGCCCACTCTCTTGTCTTCTCAGTACAGCCTACCCTGACCACCACACTTACGATTGCAACCCCCAACACTCGCCACCCTTCTCTTCACTTTTTTCCTCCACAACTCACCACCTACCCTTTCACATACACATAATTTACTTATATAAGTGTATATATATATATATATATATATATATCTTTTTTTTTCTTCCCACCTCCACCACTAGAATGAAGTTCCCATAAGGGTGTGAACATTTGCCTGAGTTGCCGCTACCCCTCCCCAGTGCCTAGCCTGGGACTGGCACACAGTAGGTCTTCAGTAGATCTTTACTGAGGGAACGGATGCAGTTCTACCATTCTCAGGCTCAGAGGGCTTAGCACTGTCTTTGTCAGCAAAGCTCCAATCCTTCAGACTCTGGCCTGGCATCTACTGCCTCCCCCACCCCACCCCTAACCCACACTCAGGCCTGCCCTGCCTCTTGACCGCTGGGGGCTGCATAGCTTCTGGGTGTGAGAATATGGTGGCCCCAGGGCCATGACCAGGAAGGTGAGGCCAGGTGGGAGAGATGGGATGACTCCCCTTCCCTATGTGGACTCCCCTTCCCTATGTGGTCTCCACTCTGAACTGGACCCGGAGGGCTGGAAGCAGGAGCTGCCACAGAAACACAGACAGGCAGGAACTCTCACCCCTCAGGCACACCCCTGGGAAGGGTGGCAGAAAAAGCAGCCCTGGGCAAGGCCCCCTTCTGGAACTCAGCCTCCTCATCTTCCTGGTGGGCCAAGGAGCCTTGCCTCTTCGGGAGTACATGAGGTGTGCTTATCAAAGGGTGTTCAGCCTAGGGTCCTGGGGAGACAGGTAGACTCACCTGCTGCATGACCTCCCGTTTCTGGTTCATGGCGGCCAGGTAGCGCAGAATCAGCTTGGTGGCCTCAGTTTTGCCAGAGCCGCTCTCTCCACTGACCGAGCAAAGGGGCAGAGTGAGCTCCAACCTTTCGCTGCCTCTTCTGGGGCACCCTGACTCCCATCATGAAGCAAGAGGATATGTACGGTGGGCCAACCCAGAGGTACCAGGCAATCTTCCAAGGTCCCACAGCAGTTCTGGCCAGATGCAGGCCTGCTACCTAAGGTCCCCCATTTATCCCCCACATAAAGGCAGCCCACTCACCTAATGATTATGCACTGGTTCTGTTTGGCATCGAGCATTTTGGCGAAGGCGAGATTTGCAACAGCAAAGAGGTGCCTGGGGAGACAGGTCATTAGAGCTGGCCCCTGCCTCTAAGCTCCCACACCTCCCAGGGATTGGGCAGGGAGCATCCGTATCCAGCCAAACAGCCAATCCTGCCCACCCCTCACCCTGTTGGGGGAATGCTCCCACCCCCATCCTGGTCTGAACGACAGTGGCCTCCAACCTGTAGCTTCGGCCCTGCCTGGGGAGAGACTGTCAGATTGAGTAGGTGGGCTGCCTTTCCCCATTACCTCTGACTCATGGCTCAGGTGCAGCCGGGATCCAGGCTCCCAGAGCAGGGGAAAGAGGGGCCCAAGAGACCCCAGGGCAGCGCCCCCGAGACACTCACGGGGGATTCTCTCCCAGGGCCCGTCCGTTGTACTGCTGCACCTGCTCCGGCCCATAGATTCCAAACATTTGGTATGGGTTCACCGACACCAGGATGCTCCCAATGTATGTCTGCTGGGCAGACGGTGGCCTCAGCGTCGTGGCTCCTTGCAGACCTCTATGTCCCTCCCTCCCCTATGCTGGGAGCCTGGCTCCCTGTTTCCATCCGGACAGATATCTGGCTGCCTGGACTCGGGATTCCCATCTAGAGCCCTCTACCAGCTAGCTGGGCTACGTGCTCTAACAGTGGAATCTCAGGCACTGCACCAGGCTGAGCTGAGAGGAGTCTGGAGTGAGCAAACCCCACAGCCACGATCCTGGGTGGGCTCCTGCCTACTTCATTTGTTCAAGGTTGGGCCCAGGCTCCAGGAACTTCTGGCTCCTGTTGAGGGCAAACCTCCACTGCCTAGAGTGAGGAGTTGGGGAACTCAGGGGATCCTGATGTGGCCAGAGCCCTTCTGGGTGTCCTTGTCTTCCACACTGGCACTGAGCCCCTGGCCCTCTGTTCTGTCATTCTCAGGTCAGAGGCTCCCCTCTGACCCCTCTGGCCATCCCCACTCTGGGGTCCAGGTCTATGGATTCTAGGACTCTGGAAGTTCTATCTGTCAGGTCCCAGATGGTGGGGGTGTCACATATTTCTGGATTCTCTGTCTCCAGCTTTCTGCCTCTGGCATCCACCATTCTTTTTTTTTTTTTTTTTTTTTTTTTTTGAGATGGAGTCTCGCTCTGTCTGTCACCCAGGCTGGAGTGCAGTGGCGCGATCTCCGCTCACTGCAAGCTCTGCCTCCTGGGGTTCACGCCATTCTCCTGCCTCAGCCTCCCAAGTAGCTGGGACTACAGGCATGCACCACCTACACCTGGCTAATTTTTTTTTTTTTTTGTATTTTTAGTAGAGAGGGGGTTTCACCGTGTTAACCAGGATGGTCTCGATCTCTTGACCTCGTGATCCACCTGCCTCGGTCTCCCAAAGTGCTGGGATTACAGGGTGAGCCACTGTGCCCGGCCTCTGGCATCCACCATTCTAAGACTGTGTTTTAAGACTTCAGATTTTAGTTCTAGGCTCTGGCATTCTAGGCAGAGGCCACAGGGGCTAGGGCCCACAAGAGAAATCTGTGCGTCCCACCCGGCCCCAGGAGGCAGCTGCCTTCCTGACCTAGGCCCAGGGCAGGGCCAGCCCCAGGCCTTACGTAGATGAGGTTCCGTTCAAATCTAATCTTGAGGTTGGACAGCACAGTGGTTTCCTGGAGGTCTCTAGAAGGACACAGAGAGAAGCCGTCAGTGCCCCCAGGGCTGGTTCTGGCATGGGTCTCCCTCCCCAACTCAGTGCAGTGCCTTGATCAGATAGGCCTGAATTCAAGTCCTGTTTCTGACACCAACCAGCTAGGAGACCTTGGACAAATTACTTCCCTATTCTGTGCCTTTTTCTTCATTTGTCCAATGGGTATGATAATCATTGTACCTACTTCATTGGGGGTTTGGGGGACACTCTTACGTAATCACTGTGATTAGATAATGATGCTGACCAACACGGCCCTCATGTTTTGAGTACCTCCAATGTGCTGGCATCCTCACAACAGCCATCCCACTCCCATTTTGTGGATGAGAAACTGAGGTGCAGAGAAACAAAGCGATTTGTGCAACGTCTGCCAGCTGGTGAGTGGTGGGGCTAGGATTTGAACCAAAGTCCGTCTAACTCACAAAGCACACCACATTTAGTCTTTGTGACACTTCATGACTGAGGCTCTGAAAATGTCCTGGGAGGTGAGAGGCAACTGCAGGAGGAGCTGCTCTGGCTGGGAGGGTGGGGACCCCATGGTGACCCCTTGCTGACCCCGCCGGCCCTGCCCACTCACTCCAGCTGTGTCATGTCCTCCACACCATCCTCCCCGTGCTGCTCACGGAACCGCATGGATGGCAGGTTGCGGATGGAGTGCATCTGTGTGAGAGAGAGAGGCTGTGTCTGCAGGTTGAAGGGCACCCCCCTCCCCCACTGACCCCTGGCTTGGTCATACCTGGGGCCTGCTACCATTGTTGGGGAGGGAACCCCAAGGCCAGGTGGGTCCTGCAGGTCTCCTCATTACAGAATGCTGTGGCCCCCAGAACCTGCATGCGACCCTCACACATGAGACACACGCATACCCTCAGTGCCCAGGCAGGCCCTCCCATGAGCTCCCAAGTGTCCTGCCCTAGGGGGTGAACAAAGGCATATGCAGGTACATGGGCGCATGGGCCAGCTCCCTCCCAACCGCAACTCTTCCAGCACCAGCAGACCCCATATGTTGGCTTGTGTGACAACTCAAAGGACACTTGTGACCTGGTGCATGGGGCCTCTAGGAGGGCAGAGATGGAGACTGTCTTAGCACCACAACCCCATGCTCATCCTGGGGAAAATGCGTGGACACCTGCATATGGACCCACACTCAATGGCATTTACAGCTCATACAACTCCCAGGCACACAGGTGTTCCTGTAGGCCTGTGGGCACATACGCAGGCCTGTGGGGCCCGGCTGGAGGCACACGGTGTGCAGGCACATGCTCTACCTGTCCACTTGGCACATACATGTGGGCGCACAGCTGGGTCCCTCCCTATGCTGGGGGTCTGGTGAATGGAAGTCCTGATGCCACCTTTGGGCTGCAGGGTCTCCTCTGTGAGCACACGTCTGTGCACATGGGCAGAGGGTGGGCAAACAACCCTGACCCCCAGGGATGCCACATCTGCTCAGACCCCATACACTAGCTTTCGTCATTTGGCTGTGGTACACACTTGCACACATGCTCAGGCATGCAGGCCTGCGCAGGATCCACATGACTGGGAGCACACACGTGTACACCCTCAGCCTTTCCAATCCCAGCTGCACCCTGAGCAGGCGAGGAAAGAGGACACCAGGAAGGAACCCTGCATGCCTGTCGCTGGACTGCTAAGTAGGGCACAGCGAGTATCACCCTTTCGGCCCTGGCCTCCGGCCCACCCATCTGCCCACGTGCTTGCCAGCAGCCGCAGACCCTGAATAATTCAGCCACTCACGTATTCCAGGGTAAGGAGGACCCAGGCATCCTTGCCCCTCACCCCTAGACGCCCTGCGCCCCGCTCCCGCAACGCTGCAGCCCACACAGCGCGGGGCATCCGCCGCCGGGGCCAGGGCCCCCTCAGCAGCCAGGCTGCCCCGGTTGCCATTGTTGGGCCCGGCTGGCTGCCTGCTCCGCCAGGCATGGTCTGCAGAGGCTGAGACGCACCTGCTGCCCCTGCTTGCCCCGCCCACCACCCCGGCATCCTGAGAGAGGCTCCGGTGACCACGCACCTCAGCCAAGGGCCACCCAGCATCAGGCTCGAGTTCCACCTTGAGTGTGGCAGCCAGGCATGGGCTGGGCACCCATCCGAAGGGCTGCCTACCCTGCACCCCTCATGGGGTTCCAGAAGGACTCCTGGTTCAGTTTTCCCTCTGTGCAATGAGGAGTCTGGAAGTTTGGATCCTGAGCCCCTCACCCTGACCTATTCCAGAATCCTGCAGCCCAGGGGACTTCAAAGGGCAGCAAAAACCCTGAGGAAACAGGAGGCTTTAATTTGGGGGAGGGTCAGTAGGAGGCAGGAGGAACTGCAGAGACCTGGATGTGCGGTGGAACAGGATGGATAGGCATGTCCGGCAGTTTCACATCTGGCTTGGCCAAAATCTCTGAGGGGAAGTTAGGGGCCAGACCTGTCATCCAGATTGGATCAGGGCAGGGCTGCCCAGGGCCCAAGCCGAATATGAACAAAGATCCTTCCCCAGAGTGACCTGGAAGCAGTTTCCCACGTCTCTGTCCTGGGCCTGCCTGTGCTGGGCATCCCCTTGTTCAACCCTCCAGAGGTTCTGGGAGGTCCAGGCTGTTCTCCCCAACTTACAGACCCAGAGACTGAGGCCCCAGCAAGCAGCCTCTCTCCAAGGTTGCACAGGGCTCCTCAGGCTGTCTCTCTTGCCCTGTTTCCTAGGCCAGAACCCTCAAACCCTCCGTGTAATCTGTGCCTCCATACCTTGTTCCGCCAGCTTGGCGGGCCGACCTCCTCCCAGGAGCCCCTAAGGGACAGGCAGGCAGCTCCAGGGCCCAGGTGGCAGGACTGGGGATGGGTGTGTACTCGTGGCCAGGGTCCATAGGCATCTGCCCGAAGCCAGAGGCAGGACCAGCGAAGACTACAGGCTCTTGGCTTGGGGTCCTGAATGGGCTGGACTTGAGGCTTCAGGGTTGCAGGCCCAACTCGCTGGAAAGAGCTCAGCTTCTGCACACGAGGCATGACCACAGCAAAACGCCCAGGGGCTGCCTGGCGCCGTTCACCCCCCTTGGGCAGGGGCTCTGGGGCCCTGATGGGCGCCAAGGGGGCTGCGGCTTGGGGCAGTGTTCCCCAGCGGTGCCATGGTGGCCATGTGGCCCTGGTCTGGTCACACGCAGCCAGTGGGTATGAGAGGCTGGGCCTTAATGTCTTTTGCTCTGGGAGGACATCCTTGGGGGGAGTGATATCCTTGGGGGGAGTGACATCCTTGGGAGGTGCTGGGGTTGGAGGCTTGGTCTCTGCTGGCAGCTGGGGGTCCCCCAGGGTGGCCTCTTCTTCAGGCTTCTCAGGGGTTGGGCCAGCTGATTTGGTGAGCTGTCCAGGCCCCGGCTCATGGTGTCTGCCCAGGAAGACCCTGGTCATATCAGCAGCTGGATCCTCAGGCTGGAGGGTGGGGGATGGCACAGGGCCCAGGAGCTGGAGAAAGGGGTTTTCCGGCACAGGGGGTGGCCTGGAAAAGCCTCGGCGGCTGCCTGCACCTCCTGGCCAGGGGGAGGGTGGGCGTTGGGTGGGAGGCATGTCCACGTCCCAGCTGGGGGCCAGTGGGGGCACAGTCCAGGGCGTCTCTGAGTCCTCGGGTTCTCGCGGGCTCTCCCGGTGTTCCAGGGGCGCCCGCCAGGCCCCGGCCCTGGGCGGTCGGTGGAAGGGCAGGCGCACTTGCGGCTTCACAGCCCGAGTGGGTGGCTCGCTGAGGCGCCGCCACGTGTGCGGGAGGCGCGAGGGCAGATTCAGGGAGCTGCGCCGCGGGCTGTGGCAGAGCCCCAGGGGCGGCGAGGGCGGCCTGGGTGAGCCCGGCAGCGGCGAGCCGGGTGGGCCCAGGCGCCCAGCGGCTCGGCGTGGGGCTGGGGACTCCTGCAGCGAGCGGGGCCGGCGGGCCGGGGGCAGGAAGGGCGGCTGGAAGGGGCCCGTGCGCAAGGACAGCTGAGGCGACGGGGGCGCCAAGGGTGAGCAGTAGCCGAGGCCCGGCGAGCTCCTCAGCGAGGGCTGGGGCGAGGCCAGCGGTGACCAAGCTCGCCTCCGCGACGCCCGTGGAGAGGCCCCGGGGAAGCCGAAAGCCGCCCCTCTCCGGCGGGAGCCCCTGAACGAGGGTCGGGGCCCTGGGAAGGCTAGTAGGTCGGGGGGCACCTCCGGGCTCACGGCAGG
The DNA here is from genome assembly GCF_000001405.40 of Homo sapiens. Classification (NCBI taxonomy): domain Eukaryota; kingdom Metazoa; phylum Chordata; class Mammalia; order Primates; family Hominidae; genus Homo; species Homo sapiens. Next base: position 18,120,972 of record NC_000017.11, on the reverse strand, counting down.
GGGCTCCACGAAGGCCCACCAGCTGGCCTGCGGCGCCGGTGGCACGTGCGCTGGGGCGGCCCAGGGCGGCGGGTGGCGGCGGAGGGAGCCGTAGGGCGAGGCCGGCCGGGGCAGGCCCGAGAGCGCCGGGGAGAGCGGCGGCGCGGGCGGGGGCCCGGAGCTTGGGGGCCGCGGGGGCACGGGCGGAGACAGGAGCGCGCTCCAGTGGGAGAGGGTCCTGGGCGCGGGCTGTGGCGCGGGCGGGCGGCGCGCGTCGTTGCTGCTGCGAGCGCGTGGCTGGGCCCTCCTCAGCACGATGGGCGTGCCGGGCTTCTCGGGGTCCATGCCAGCCAGCTTGTAGCCGAAGCGTTTGTAGGCCGCCTCCCTGACAGCAGGGCCGCCCGCCCGGGCCTTCTGGCTGCCCCTGAGCCGCGCGATGGGCTTCTTCTCCGACAGCGTCTTCTTGAGGAACCGCGCAAGCGAGGTGGCAGGGCGAGGCACGGGGCGGCCAAACTCAGGGCCGAAGCCCAGGCCCCGGTGGGCGCCGAAGGCCGACAGCGCGCGCTGGAGGTTGCGCTGGCGCGGCGTGAGGAAGCCCCAGAAAGGGTGGCCGTAGGGCACAGCGGAAACCGGGGGCAGCTCCTCCTCGTCCTCTTCTTCGTCCGCATCCCCCAAGGGGAGAGGAATGTCCAGAGAGGGTGGCAGGGGCACCTCCAGCTTCTCCTTCCCAAACAGCTTCACCTGGGGTCGCGGGAAGAGGCGGAACTTGCGGATGAGGGACAGCTTGGACCTGGCGGGCTTATCCATGCCTTGCTGCTCGAAGAAGGCGGCGCTGGGCAGGCGGAAGGAGGTCCCCTGACGCTCTACGCCCGCGTCCTCTGGTTCCTCCAGCTCGGCGATGTCATCCATGGCGTGGGCATACGGGTTGTGGGGCGACGGGATGGGCGGTGGTACCCAGGGGTACACAAAGGCCGAAGCCGACTCCTCCGGGTAAAAATAGGGCACCTCGGGGGGGTAGATGGCCTCGTCCCCACCGCCATAGACGCCTTCGGCATAGGGGACGGTGTAGTGGACTCCGTAGGGATCAAAGTAGGGTACATCGTAGGGAGTGTGGTATGGGAGGTCATAGGGTGGGTATGGCGCGTCGTACGGCGCATAGGGATCCAGGTAGTAGCCATAAGGGTGCGCCTCGCCCTCGTACCCATCGTGGTAGCTGTAAGGAGACGAGTACCCCGACGGGGGCGCATATGGGGGTTCGTAATCGTCGTAGCCGTAGCCGTAGGTGTACCCCGGATCAAAGGGGCCACCGTAATAGTCGGGGTGGTAGTAGTCGTAGGGATCCTCGGGCGGGTACCCGTAGTAGTGGTCGCCGTAGGGTGGCCAGGCCGGGCTGTAGGGGCCGAGGCCCGCCAGGTAGGGTTCCTGCTCCTCGTAGCGGTGGAGTGACTGCCGGTCGTAGTAGTCGTCGCCGTCGCGGTGATAGTCATAATACTCGCCCAGGTCCTGGAAGCCCTCAAGCCCGTACAGCGACTTGCGGGAGCCCGAGTGATGGAATGGGGCCTCGTCCTCGAAGGGCAGGAAGCCCAGGGGCTCGCCTGACGCGTAGATGCTGCGGCTGCGGGGGAACCTCCGGAGCCGGCCCCCAGGCCGCAGGATCTCGGCACCCGACGGGAAGGGGAGTTTGCGGGAGCCCATGCGGGAGCTCGAGCGCTGCAGCCAGGCGTCCACTGTGGCCTGTTCGCTGCCCGACTCCTCGGCCTTCTTGAGGAGGAACTTTTTTGTGAGCCAGTTGATGGCCGTGGACGCTTTGCTGAGTGACCGGGCGCGCGGCCGCAGGCGGCCGTAGCCACGGCGGCCTGGGAAGCGGATCACCATGAAGGACGGCTTCTTGCCCTTCATCGCCCGCTTCTTCTTGCCCATGCGCATCTGCGTCATGAGCTTTGACGTGGACTTGAGCACGGTGCGGGCCTTCCTCTTGCGCTTGGTCTTCTGGGGGCCGGTGTGGAGGCCCCAGAAGAAGGCCGAGGCGCTGCGGAACTGGCCCTTCTTGGAGATCTTGGGTGTACGGTCGCGGAAGCCCATGAACAGCCGCGACGTCCCCTTCAGGCTCCGTTTGGGCTTCTCCGGCTCCGGTGCCTTCTTCCCCTTCTTCCCTTTCTTGGCTTTCTTCTCCTCATCTTCCTCCTTCGCCATGGTGGCTGCCTGCTCTCTACAGGGCCTGGGGCCGGTGTCACGGGCTCAGGGACTTGGAGACACAGGGACCTGCTCTGTCTCTTGCCCGCGGCTGGACACGCGGCCTCCTCGGGCTGTGAGCAGACCCGACTGGCCCTGGGTGGCGTGGGGAGGGCCGAGCCAGGATTCCGGGAGGGCGGATCCATAATTCATCTCCTCTAGAGCGCCTTGGGTTTCACCCTAGAGCAGTAGTAGAAAGTGTGTGGGTGTTGTTTACCAGGATGGGGAAGCCTGCCTATGAGGCCTGTGCTGGGGGAGACATTCTGGCCTCGGAGTCGTCATGGCAACATCAGTGCTCATCCTGGTTAGGCCCTCCCTGGGCCACAGCTGGCTCAACCCCATGAAGGGAGCCCTTGGGTCACTTCGGCTTCACAGAGGAAGACATTGAGCCACAGAGATGGAATGCCACCTGCCCTAAATCACCAGCACACCTGCACTGGGCCAGAAGTGGGGCCTAGGGTGGGATGGCCAAAGCCCACCAAGTCATCTTGGAGGAGAACTTTGAACCCTCTAGGTCCTAGGCAAGGGAGGAGGGGAATGGGCAGAGCAGGTGCTGGGCTGCGGTCAGTGTAACAGGAGCTGGCTGGCTCTCAGGAGCTGAATAATACATGGGGTGGGGAGCCAGGCTGCCGGCTCAGAAGGCAGGGCAAGGAGGGGCGTTTCAGTGGAACTCCACTTGTGTGTGTGTGTGTGTTGGGGCGGGGGCAGGGGTAGAGAGGCAGAAATGGAGGTTGGGTCAGGCCTGGCTCAGACCCTAGGCTCTGTCACTGACTGGCTGTGTGGGTCCAGGAAAGTCCTTGTCCTCTCTGGGCCTCAGTTTCCTCTGAAGAATGGGAGTGATAAGCTATGCCCCATCTCCTTCACCAAAAGGAAGCAAGACCTGATGGAGCTGCTGGGTAACTGGAGATGCCTCCTGCTGGCTCCTTTCTGGGGTCCCTGCCTAGCCCTGTCCTCTCCTCTTACTTTCTGCCCTGGCTGAGTAGGCTGTGGCCATGTGGTTACTGCCTTCTCTGGGCATAGCTGATTGCTTCATATGGCCTGACCTAAGGCTGCATGTCCAAAGTCTGGTTGGTGGCCAGTCTAACTCACTTTTGAGAACCTGCACTAAAAGAGGTAGGGGGTGGGAAAAACTGGGCAGGCCAGCGGAGGTGGGGAGTGGCAGCTCTGAGACCTGAAGCCTCAGAACCAGCTCTCCTCCTCCTCTTCCTCCTCAAGATGGACCTCAACTCACTGAACTCTGGTTCACTCTTTTGGTCCCAGAGCTAATTCTTTGGTTGTTTAAGGTTTAGCATAGGAGACCCCAAAGCAGCAAGGTTCTGGCCCTGGTTCTGCCACTTGCCAGCTCCACGCCCTCAGATCAGTGGCTTCAGAGCCTCAACGTGCTCAGCTGTGAAACAGGGACAGGGTGAGGCCTTCCCAGGTAAGTGGCAGGAGCAGAGAGGGGACCATGCAGCAAGTGAGGTCTCCCCCTCTCTGTCTGCCTCTTCCCCCTGCTCACTTTCTCTGGCTCTTCACTTTCCTCTTCTTCCTGCTCCTCCTCCCCAAGATTCACCTGGAGCCAGTCAGTGCCCAGCCACTCAGAGGAGTTGCACCAGGGGCTGTTGGTGCCTGGTGCAGGCAGTCTCACAGGGATGGGGAGTGGGGCTTGATGGAAACCAGAGAAATTGGATGGAGGGCTTTTGGAGCGAGTTAGGGGATACGTGCAGGAAGTGGGCCTCCTGCACAGCAGGAGTTTGAGGGGCTGCCCACTCTCCCTTCTGTTTTTGGGCAGTGGCTCTTGCCCGCTTGAGGAAAAATGAAGGACAGGGGCAATGTTCTTTCTTTCTTTCTTTTTTTTTTTTTGAGACAGAGTCTCGCTCTGTTGCCCAGGCTGGAGGGCAGTGGTGCAATCTCGGCTCACTGCAACCTCCGCCTCCCGGGTTCAAGCAATTCTTGTGCCTCAGTCTCCCAAATATCTTGGATTACAGGCATGTGCCACCACGCCTGGCCAATTTTTGTATTTTTAGTAGAGACGGTTTTTACCATGTTGGCCGGGATGGTCTCAAACTCCTGATCTCAGGTGATCCACCAACCTTGGCCTCCCAAAGTGCTGACATTACAGATGTGAGCCACGGCGCCCAGCCGAGACATTCTTTCTGAGCCTGGAGATATCAACAACTGCCCCAGCTCCTCTTGGAGCCAGTTTCCAAAGTGAGGCCCCAGTCAGGTGTGTTGCACAGTGGTCTCATGGGACTCTCACAGCAGGTCTGTGAGATATGAGCTATTAGTATATCCATTCTCCGGATGAGGAAACTCAGACTCAAAAGATGAAGGGACTTGCTCGAGGCCACCTGGCTTGGGAAGGTAGAACCCAGGCCTGGCCGAGTCCAGAGCTACCTCCCTTACTAGGCCCTCCTGCCCGCTGAGCTCCTGGGTCATCACTGGGTTTAGAGTGGCTTAGGACACTGGGCAGAGCCAGGAGCATAGTCGTGCTAACCCCACAACCTGCTCCTGCCTGGAGGGGGAGGGCCCTGACCAAGCCACTGGGCAAACCAGAGCCCAGCTGGGCCTCCAACAGGCACCAAGGCCTCTCCAGTGCTTGCCCACCGCTACCCCAACCTGGATTCCTCAGTCAGCCTGGCCCCTTTCCCTAAGGGTCCTGAGCCAGCATTTACTCACTCACCCATTCATTCAAAAGCCTCTGTGGGAAGTGTGCTGCATGCTAGGCACCGTCTAAGTGCTGGGACACAGCTGTGAACAAAACAGAGAAAAACCCTGCCCTCATGCAGTTACCATATGTGGGTGGAGAGAAAGCCAATAAACATGGAAAATCAGTAACAGATAATGGGGCGTAAGTGCCGTGGAAGGGACAGCAAGAAGTGGGGTTGTGACATTAAACAGGAAGTCAGGGAAGGCCTAGTGGCTATGGGGCCATGGAGAGAGCCTGTGGGCAGTGCACAGTCCCAAGCAGGTGGAGGAGCAGACAGGCCAGGTGGCTGGAGGGCAGTGGGGGTGCACTGGGTGGTGAGGTCAGAGTTCAGGGGCACATGTGCAGGGCCTGTGGGCCACAATGAGGGCTTGGCTTCGACTGCCAGTGAGGCAGGAGCCGTGGGAGGAGGGTTTTGGCAGAGAAGGGATGGAATTCGACCTCAGTCTTTTTTTTTTGAGACAGAGTCTCGCTGTGCTGCTCAGGCTGGAGTGCGATGGTGCGATCTTGGCTCACGGCAACCTCTGCCTCCCAGGTTTAAGCAATTCTCCTGCCTCAGCTTCCCAAGAAACTGGGATTACAGACACACACCGCCACGCCCAGCTAATTTTGTATTTTTAGTAGAGACAGGGTTTCACCATGTTGGCCAGGCTGGTTTCGAACTCCTGACCTCAGGTGATCTGCCTGCCTCGACCTCCCAAAGTGTTGGGATTACATCCGTGAGCCACCAAGCCTAGCCTCGACCTCAGTCTTGATAGCAGCCTCTACTGCTATGGGAGAAGCGGCTGCAGGAGTGAGGGTGAAGGCAGGGAGGCCAGCATGGAAGCTTCTATGGAGGTCCTCCTGCACCAGGCTGCCAGCGGTTAAAGTGTGGAGAAGTGGTAGGATGCTGGGGACATGTGGCAGGTAGGACTGACAGGATTTGATGATGGGGATGAGGCAGGGTGCAGGAATGGCTCCCAAGTTTCCTTACTGAACATCAGGGAGAATGGAGAGGCCGTCAGGTCATTGGCCAGGATGAGGAAGGCTGCAGACAGAGCAAATTGAGGAAGTAGGGCCCAGGATCCAGCTTTGGGCACTGGGCACTGCTGGGGGGCCATCACAGCCACCAGGGCTGGTGACATCAGTTAGGGAGTCATTGGCATCTAGATGGCATTGAAGCCACAGCTCTGGAGGATGACACCAGGGAATGAGTATAGAGGGAAGAGAGGCCACGGAATGAGCCGCAGGGCTGCAGTGCTTAGGAGCCAAGGAGGCAGTGAGTGAGCACCACGAAGCCAGCCAGAGGAGGAGGTAGAGGCCCAGGAGGGAGTGGGGTCCTGGGGGCTGCACAGGAGGGCGGGACTGCTATGACAGATGGGACCGCTATGACAGATGAGCATGTTAGTCAAGAATGGAGAGCTGACTAATGGATGCAGCTCCTTAGAGCTCCAGGGGTGACTGTGACAAGAATGGTCCCAGTACAGTAGCAGGGGCAAGGGAAGTTACACCTGATGGAAGAGGTTTCAAGAAAGACAGGACCAGGGCCAGGTGCAGTGGCTCATGCCTGTAATCCCAGCACTCTGGGAGGCCAAGGCAGGTGGATCATATGTGGTCAAGAGTTCGAGACCAGCCTGACCAACATGGTAAAACCTCATTTCCACTAAAAATACAAAAATTAGCTGGGCGTGGTGGCGCATGCCTGTAATTGCAGCTACTCAGGAGGCTGAGGCAGGAGAATCACTTGAACCTGGGAGGCAGAGGTTGCAGTGAGCCAAGATGAAGCCATTGCACTCCAGCCTGGGCAACAAGAGCAAAAACTCCGTCTCAAAAAAAAAAAAAAAAAAAAAAAAAAGACAGGACTGTGGTGGTCACAAGGTGGGCACACTTGTGAGCATACTAAAACCACAGCATTGTACACTTTGATGGGTGAATTGTATGGAGTGCGGATTATATATTGATTGTTTTAAAAAAGAAAAAGGACAAGAGGGAGGGAAGGAAGGAAGGATGCAAGTAATCCACCCCTGGGGATCTCTCTTACACGTCCTTATGGGTAAGGACACACAAACAGAGCTGCTCATTGCTGCAGTACACCACAATGCATTCCAGGATGGAACACAACACAGCTATAACAAGGAATGTGGACGATCTCTGTGTCCTGATAGGGAGCGATCTCCAGGACCTGCTAGTGCAGGAAGCAGGCTGCAGATCAGCCTGTTGACTACAGTGTTTACTGAGGCCTTTCTGTAGGAAGAGTGTGTGTGTGTGTGTGTGTGTGTGTGTGTGTGTGTGTGTGTGTCAGGGGAGGTGCTAAGAATATAAGTTTGTATTCTTATGTTTGCCTTTTTTTTTTTTTTGAGACAGTCTCACTCCGTCAACCGGGCTGGAGAGCAGTGATGCGATCTCAGCTCACTGCAACCTCCACCTCCTAGGCCTCAGCTTCCTGAGTAGCTGGAATTACAGGCATGCACCACCATGCCTGACTAATTTTTGTATTTTTAGTAGGGACAGGGTTTTGCCATGTTGGCCGGGCTGGTCTTGAACTCCTGGCCTCAAGTGATCTGCCCACCTCATCCTCCCAAAGTGCTGGGATTATAGGCATGAGCCACTGAGCCACCATGCTCAGCTTGTGTTTGCTTTTTTATTTCCATATTAGAAATACTGCAGCCAGGAGCAGTGGCTCATGCCTGGGCACTTTGAAAAGCTGAGATGGGAGGAGCCCAGGAGTTTGAAACTAGCCCAGGCAATATAACGAGACCCTGTCCCTAGATAACAAACCGAAAAATTACAGGTGGCAAGCACCTGTAGGCCCAGCTACTCAGGAGGCTGAAGTGGGAGGATCGCTTGAGCCAGGATTTTGAGGCTGCAGTGAGTTGTGATCATGCCACTGCACTCCAGCCTCTGACACAGAGCAAGACTCTGTGTCAAAACAAACAAAAGAAATACAGCGCCAGGTGTGGTGGCTCACACCTGTAATCCTAGCACTTTGAGAGGCCAAGGTAGGCTGATTACCTGAGCTCAGGAGTTCGAGACCAGCCTGGGCAACACGGTGAAACCCCATCTCTACTAAAATACAAAAAAATTAGCTGGGTGTAGCAGCGTGTGCCTGTAGTCCTAGCTACTTGGGAGGCTGAGGCAGGAGAATTTCTTGAACCCGGGAGGCAGAGGTTGCAGTGAGCTGAGATCATGCTACTGCACTCCGGTCCAGGTGACAGAGTGAGACTCCGTTTCAAAAAAAAATAATAATAATACAGCAAAAGATACATAAGAAATTAATGAGAATAGTTATCTCACTGTAAATCTTTCTATATTAGTTTGATTTTTATCCATATGAATGCATTTCTGAGTCAAAAACCAAAAAAAATGTAACATTTAAAAGTGTAAATGTGGGCTAGGTGCGCTGGCTCACACCTGTAGTCCCAGCACTTCGGGAGGCCGAGGCAGGTGGATCACTCGAAGCTAGGAGTTCAAGACCAGCCCAGACAATATGGCAAAACCCTGTCTCTACTAAAAATACAAAAATCAGCCGAACATGGTGGTGCACACCTGTAATCCCAGCTACAGATATGCACAGTGTGGTGGCTGAGGCAGAAGAATCACTTGAACTCAGGATGTGGAGGTTGCAGTGAGCCAAGATTGCACCACTGCAATCCAGCCTGTGTGACGGTGCGAGACCCTGTCCCCCACGACCCCCCAAAAAAGTGTATATGTGAAAATGGAAAAAAAAAGGGATTGGAGACTGAGTGGAAACACCACTTTAGAGGGGCTCTCAGGAAGAATGTCAGGGACCTGAGATGTCACAGGTCCAACCCCACCCCCACCCCAGTGTCATGTAACATTTGTTACATTTGTTGAAAGTGAAGCAGAGAGAGGTCAGAGACTTGCTGGGGAGAAGCAGGGCAGGGCTGGCCCTTCAGGCCCAAGAGCACCTCCCAGAGCCATACCTTCTGTCTGCCCCAAGTAGGGGAGCCTTGTCTGTCTGTCCAGAAGAAAGGCTGAGAGGCCACCATTCTCTAGCGGGCTTGCCCAAGTCCTGCCTCAAAGCCTCAGGCAGGCATCTTTCCACTGCAAAGCCCCATTGTCCAGATGAAGAACCTGCCTCTCAGAGAGGCAAGCCCAGCTCTAGCCCAGGGGACGTGGAGCCCAGTGGCTCAGAGCTCTGGGTCAGGTCTCATTCCTCTCCTGGATCTGACCCATAGCAAGTCATGCAGCCTCAGCGTTGGAGTCTCCTCATCTGTGAGTGTAGATGCCTCCCTTACCAGGGCTGACCTGGGCATTACATGAGATAGCGGAGAGCTGGGCACAGTGGCTGGCCTGGGCAAGCAGCTGTTGTTATGACTGCCAACGTCATTGCTACAGGCTGCTGCCTGTCTGCTCTGAGTGAGGAGGTCTGGGTGACTGCTGGCAGCAAGTCCTGCCCACCTGATCCCTCCTGGTCTCTGGGTCCCAGGCTTGACCTCAGGATAGTAGTCAGCTGAGGCTGCCCCTTCTCTGGTAGGTTCCAGGTCCTGCCTTCCTCTCAGGGTCCCCATCCTCTGTGCAGGCACAGAGCGGGTGTCAGGGAGCAAGTCTCTCATTCATTCATTCCTTAAATATTACTTGTGCATTAGTTGTGCATCTATTATGTGCCAAGCACTGTGCAGGGCACTTGGGGTTCGCAGAGTTAAGTGGAACCAGACATGATCTCTGCTCTCATGGAGCTCCCTGTGTTGTAGGGGACACAGACTTTGTTTTTTTTTTTTTTTTTTTTTTTTTCTCTTTTGAGACAGGCTCTGGTTCCATCACTCAGGCTGGAGTGCAGTAACATAATCACAGCTCACTGCAGCCTCAAGCTCCCAGGCTCAAGCAATCCTCCCACCTCAGCTGCCCAAGCAGCTGAGACTACAGAGGTGGGCTACCACACCTGGCTAATGTTTTTTTGTAGAGACAGGGTCCCACTATGTTGCCCAGGATGGTCTTGAACTCCTTGCCCCCGGGCAATATTCCTGCCTCAGCCTCCCAAAGTGTTGGGTTTACAGGTATGATCCACTGTGCCCATCCTGGATGCAGACTTTAAGCAGAGTCACATCAACAAGAAGAGCTGTGAAGGTCAGGGCATGACCCACAGATGCCCAAACACTGCACTGGAGGTCCAGGAAGATTCTGCTGACAACGCAACCCTGAGCCAAGATCTGAAGGATAAGAGGGAGCTTATAACATGGAAGAAGGAACAGTATTCCTGGCAAGTGGAACAGCATGTGCAAAGGTCAGGTGGTAAGAGGGGCTTCAAGGACAGTCCTATGGCTGGAGCAGAGTGATTGAGGGCATGTGAAATGAGAGGTGGCCAGGGTGGCAGGCAGGGACTAGCCCAATGGCCGTGAAAGGGATGGGACTTTGGTCACTGTTTCGCATTTCCAGATGTTTACTATGTGCCAGGCTTGGTACTAAATGCTTTTCTGGAATATCTCACTAGATTCTCACATAGATGAAGGGCTTGATCTTAGAGAGGTTAGATCCCTCAGCCGAGAGCCCACAGTGAGGAAGCCATGGGGCCTGTGTCCCTGACTGCAAGACCTGTGCTCAGAACGGCCAGGCCACACAGACCTCAACTCTCACTACAACCTCCTGAAGTCGGTGTGGTTACTCTTCCCACTTTACAGATGAGGACATGGGCCCAGAGAGGTTATGTGAGTGACACAGCTTGAAGGTGGAGTTAAGCCTGGGCAGTCTGGCTTCAGAGTGTCCACAGTCTCAACCACTGCCTCACATGGCTTCTTAGAAAATATTATAAAAAGAAGCTCGGGCTGCCATGTGGAAAAGAATGGAGAGGGGACAATGACACAGCTGGGAGCATGCTGTGATGGTGTACAGCGGACACATTCAGGATGAGGTGAAACAGGCTGGCCCTGGTGAGAGGCTAGATGGGGCTGGGATGAGGGTGGAGACAAGTAGTCTTGGGGTTGGCTTGGTGCAGCTGGGGGGTGCGGGGAGTGTCTCTGAGGTGAGGCCGGGGGTATGGGAACGCCATGTTTGGTCTGGGACACGGTGGGCTTGGGATGGCTACAGGACAGTGCAGTGGAGAGTCAAAAAGGCTGCTCGGACCCAGGTCTGGCGAGATGGAAGCTGGAGGTCAGGTGAGCTGTCTAGGAGAGGGACAGAGTGGGAAGGAGAGGGTCTCGACTCGGCTTTCTTGCCAAAGGAGGGTTCCGAAATGAGAAACTGTGGAATCTAAGCTGGAGAGGAAGAAAGACGGAGAATGAGTGAACGCACACGTGTGGGACAGATAGATGAATATTCATGTCTTTGGCTCCTATGTACCTGAGTCTTCTAAAGCTGCAGGCCATACTACCCCCGGGAGGCTGCAGGGATGCCAGCTGGGAGATGAATGCAACTCTGCTGCCTGGGCATGGGCCTGAGTGAGGGTGCAGACCCCTGCCTGTGATCATCAGGGAGGGTGATGAGAACAAGGTGGCTGACAGGGTGAGGCCCAAGCCTGGAGCTTACCCAGGTGCGGGGATGGGAGGGTCAGAGACCTTTGGGGGGTCTTAGGGAGCTTCCCCAGCCCTAAAGGCACCGCAAGCTGCCACTTCACACTGACCTGGGCATACGCAGCTGCAGGATCCCTTGCTCGCTCTCTCACAAGCAAATGTAGACTGCGCAACCATCCTGACCACAGATCCAGAAAGCCCAGGACATAACAGAGCCGCAGTGCCTGCCCTGATCCACGCGCACACAGATCTAGCCCAGGAACAAGCCCATCCACGGTGAGGAACTTGTGGCCCAGTGGCTGGAGCCTCTCACCTGAGCCCTCACTGCCTGAGGACCCCCAGCCTCTGGCCTCATTTCCCACCCTTTGCCAGCCAGCCTTGGGGACAAAACAGGTCTGGATCTAATCCAAGGTCTGGACTCACCCTGACACCCTGTGAACTCAAGGCCTTCCCTACCTCACCCTGGGCCCAGAGCCCCTACCTGTAAAGTGGAAGTGGGAATGGCCACCAGCCAGGCAGAAACCCTCACTTAGGGCCTCATGGCCAGGCATCAGGACAGTCAGGAGAGGGGCCGAGGTAAGCCACAGAGGCCCTGCCTGTCTTGGTATCCCACCATCGCCAGGAGGGGACTGCATGGGCATCACACCCCTCACAGATGAACAAAGTGAGGCAGAGAAGGGCCTCAAGATGAGTTAGGGGCGAGGCCCCAGCTCTGCTGCTGCCCCTTCCCTTATCACCCCTGCAGCCTGGGATGCGAGGGTGGCCAGTGACAGACCCCAAGGACTCTAGGCTAAGGTCTCCTTACCTGCGTTCTGTGGCCTGCTCCCCGCCTGCATGCCGCCTCATGGGGGTCCTCTGGCTGGCCCAGGAGCACGGTTGGCCCAGCAGAGCAGCTCAGTGTTATGGGGAAGGGAGGCCCAGCCCACCACGCCGACCGCCTGGGGCCCTATGTATATTTAATGATGTCTATTATTCCTGTTTTGTCTCTGGAAAGGAGTGAGCAGCTGACAGGGGAGCCACGAACAGCCTGGAGAGCTGAGCATGGGCCTGCTCCACACTCCAGCGGGGCCCGAGGCCCCCGGGAACTCTACCCCTCCTGGCAGCCTCACAGAACCTGCTGCATCCATCTCAAAAGGCATACCTCCTCCAGGAAGCCTTCCCCGCTGCTCAGAGGTCTTAAATCCGGGGTCTGCACTCACAAACTGTGCAGCCTACACCAGCTTCTGGGGGACAGCAGAACACTGTGGGGGGCCTGGCACAGTCCCTGGCACACGGTAGGCACTCATCGAGCCCCTGCCAGCCCCTCTACTCCTGACTTCTGAGGCAACAGGAAATGACCCGCCACCTTGTTCTCACAGAGCCTCCCTGCCAGCCCAGATGGTCACAAGGGCCTCCTGGGATGCTGCCCACCTTGGCAGCCAGGCCCCTCCGGAGGGGCCAGTCTGGGCCTGACACCCCCGAACACCAACCCCCTGGGCAGAGCCTGCCTGTGCCTGGGTGAGGAACCCTGCAGTCTCCTTGCCACACAAGGCCTGGGTCTGCCTTGGGGCCCAGGCTGCACCCTCTCCGACCCCCAGGCCCAATGTCTGACCTGTGCCCACCTGACTCAACCTGGCTACTGTTCAGCAAGTTTACAAAGTGTTCTCAGTCTGAACAGGAACCGTTTTCAATCCTTTATTTCAGAAAGGAGAGCCAGGAGAACTGGGGACTTAGAAAATACAGATCCTAAACTCAAAAGTCCCTGCCCCAGGCGTGCAGAGCCAGGGTCCTGGGGTTTTGTGCTGGGCAGGGGCTGCCCTGGGAGGGGGAATACAGGGGGAGGCACTTTAGGACACCCCTTAGGCTGTGGAGGGTGTCAGCTGGGCCTTTGAAGCCACTAACCACTGGTTCCCATCATGGAGAGCCCTGTGTGGGGCACCCAAGGGGGTTTCCTCCTGGAAGGGCCCCCAACCCAAGTGTCAGAGAAGCTGGCAAGAGCTGAGGGAGTGAGGTGCCATGACAGCAGCCACAGCCTCCAGGGACCCAAACAGGCCCAGCTACCAGCCTGGCACTGAGCATGCCATCTGCTTTAGGCCCTGGCTGGCGGGCATGTGGGCAACTTGCTCCCTCAGTGCAGGGGGCTGGGAGGCACAGATGCAGGCTCAGCACTACAAACTCAAAACCCCCATGAGAGGGCTCAGTCTTATGGGAAATGCCTCCAACCGAGCCCCTTTGCCCCAACACACTCTTCGTCTGCCTACTGAAGAAACTTCTGTAAATAGCAGAGACTTGAGGGACCCCTTCCTGGGGTACGTGTATTTGTATTTTTCTGTTTGGGTGTTTGTGTGTCCCAGTGGGACCACCTCCCCAGGGAGACGAGGCAGGTGGGCGGGAGGCCCGGCAGGCGCCGTTACTTCTTCACGATCTGGATGACGTCCTCATGCTCCATGGTGTGGGTCAGGCCCACCCGCTGCGGACTGTACTTGGTGCTGGTGCCCTGGGTGAGGAATGGGGGCAGAGGGGTCACCTCAGCCTGGACTGGCCAAGGTCAAGGAAGATATCCCTGGGCGTGTGTGTCCTGAAGGGTAAATGCCATGGCATAAGGTGGGGGCCTCAGGCAGCAGGATGTCCGCAGTTGTCTGACCATCCCTGATCTCAAAGGTTGGGGAGGGCCAGGCACAGTGGCTAATGCCTGTAATCCCAGCACTTCTGGAGGTCAAGGTGGGAGGATCACTTGAGCTCAGGTGTTTGAGACAGCCTGGGCCAGATAGCGAAACCTTGTCTCCATGAAAAATTAGCCAGGCATGGTGGTGTGTGCCTGTAGTCCCAGCTACTTGTGATGCTGAGGTGGGAGGATCGCTTTTGCACAGATGTCGAGGCTGCACTGGGCCATGATCGTGCCACTGCACTCCAGCGTGGGAGACAGAGCCAGACCCTGTCTCAAAAAAAAAAAAAAAAAAAAACCAGAAAAAAAAAAGGGTGGGGAAGGCCCATGTCTACCCTGGGTTGGCATGTACATTCTATGGAGGACAGACACACAGACATGCCAATCCCCACAGGAAGGACAGGAACACCACGCAGAGAGTGTGAATGCCTTGCTTCATGCCTAACCCAGGGGCTGTCCTGGGTCTACCCCCCTGGTTGCTTTCCACCCAGAGACTCACCCACACCAGGGCGTACTTGAACTGGCTGGCGAGTGACCGGTGGATGCGGTGGCACTGGAGGACAGGAGAGAGTCAGGTAGAGAGGTGAGGCTTCACCTAACCCCATCCCAAGCTTGGCTGCACACCCAAAGCTCAGGACACAGGCCAAGAGGCAGGAGTTCCCGCGGCAGGTGCCCACACAGTCTGGGCCTTGTGTGGAGGACTGACGTGCTCAATTCGCACATAGCCACCCAATCACAGCTGCAGGTGGCCCTGCCATTCCCACTCCTGATCTGCCAGCTGTGGTGCATAGTTAGGAATGTTCCCAAAGCCACCAGGGGAAGGTCAGGGGCCTGGCTGCTAGTGGCCCTCTGCTTGCCTTGCCTGAACAGATGCTCCTTTAGAATGGGACAGGGTGATAGCTTGGAGTCCCCCCTGCTTGGTCACCATCTCTCACTCCTCCTGGCCCCACCTGTGGCCTGAAGCTTCCCACACATCACATCACCCCCAACTCCCAGGGCAGTGTATAAACTTCAGTGCTCCTTGGTAGGGGTGAAGATCCCAGGGGTCCCAGATGTCATATAAAACTGGAAGGAGACCCTGGAGGAGGCAGCCAGCAATTGCCCTGAGAGTGTAGACCTCTGGTTGCCACGCTGATGGTGGCACAGTGGAGGGCGGTGGGGAGGGGACTCTGCAATTGTGCAATGTGACTCCTCCTCCCACATGCCCACAGGTCTTCCAGGCCCTGGTGGGAGACCCAACACCTCAGCCCAGCGTCCCTGGGGCGGAGGCCGGCGCCAGGCCTGCAGGAACACTTCCTTGACACAGATGGGAAGGTGGCTGACTCTGGTCTGCAGATGGGTTTTGTTTTACTCAGCTTGCCCAGCATTGCCACTTGTGAGTGACTGAAGGGATTCAGGAGGGTAATCGTGAGTCTCCTTGGCTCCTCCTGCTGTGATCTCAAGCCTAGGCCCTGAGGGAGATGGGACTTTGCCTGGCCTCCTTTGTTTAACACCTCTAGGGTGGCACTCAGAGACCTGGGGCTGGGCTTGCGGAATGAATGAATGCATGAGACCAGATTACAGGCCCTGCCACCACTGTCCTAAGGGGCTGCAGGGACAGCTGGGTCTACAGCATCCCTTGCCTCCAGGATACAGATCCCAAGAAGAAATGAGCTAGAGGAAAACAACACCAGGAAAGCATCAGCCCAGGAGGACGGCCATGTGACCTGAAGGTTGGCCACCATCTGTGCCTGCAGGGTCATGTTCAGGTGACAGAATCCTGGACAGGGAAAGGCAGCCTCTTGCTCCCTGAGCCCAGACCACCTCCCCTGGGGCCTGTGCATGCCTGCTCCCCTACCTGGGATGCTCCCCACCCCAACTCTTCACTGCCAGACCCACTAGTCCTATAAGCCGGCTCAGGTTGCCTCCTTGAAGCCGCTGTCCTGACCTCTGTGTTAAGCTGGTGCCACTCCCTACTCTCCTTGACTGATGCCTGAATGGCATGGAAGCAGGGTTACTGGCATCTCTGCAAAGCCAGGCAGCATGCTGAGTGCCCTACACACTGGACCTCATTCAACGTGTCCTCCTGACTATCCAGGGGGCAGGCAGCACACCCCCCTCACAGTAGAGGTCAGAGCCTCGGCACATGGCTAAGAAGGGGTGCTGCAGACGCAGCCCCAGGCTGTCCAACTCCAGAGCCTGCGTTGACATCTGAGAGTGAGACCAGCAGAGCCCACCCCCAGCCCAGGGCACCTCAGGCAGAACAGAGCCCCAAAGGGCATGCAGAGCTCCCACCCCTTGTCACGGCAGGTCTTGTCAACTCACCACGTGCTCCACTGAGGCCCCTTTCCGGAGAATGATGGCGTCTGTGAAGTCTGGCCTCTCTGCAGGGCAGGATGGGGAGAACGTCAGCCACACATCAGGGCCCACACTGCCATCTTGTGATTCTGCGCGAGGGAAGAGCTGGCCACAGAGGCCCTTTCGGTCTCCTTGCCTTGGCCTAACCTCCCCCTGACATCCAGCACACCCTCCACATAGATCCCTGTACCATCTTCTACGACCTTGATCTTAACACAGTGACTCAAAATAAATCACGTCTAGGATTCACAGTGCCTGCCACCCATCTGCTGTGACAGCACTGACAGAGACCAGGACCTGGACTGAACGGGCAGGGCGCAAAGGGATGCTGGAGTCTAGTGAGGGAAGCTGTAGCTCACTCCTTGCCAAAGTCAGGGTTGATGCAAACTGCTCCGAATTCAGCTGTTGGGACCCCAGGGCATGTGTGTGTGCGCACCAGGAGGATGGGCAGGAGTTAGACATGGGGATGGCTCCTGTGGATTCAGGTCCCTAATGCTCCTGCGGTAGGGCCTGTCACTGTGAGGGGAGGTCAGGAGGGCACTGACTGCTACAGCCAGTGGGGACCCCAAGGTAGCCTTGCCCCACCAGGGTACCCTCAAAACCAGCAGTGCCCAGTGCTGAGAAGGGAAAAGAGCTGAGGTGTGTCTAGACAAGCCAGGCCAGAGCCGGTGCTGGGGTCTCTGGGCACCACACACCGGCCTGGCAGCCTTCTAGGGATGAAGCTCAGCCTGTTTTTCAGCTACGCGCAGTGCAACTCACGTCCTCTCTTCTTGGTGTAGATGCAGGTCAGGGCCAAGTACTCCCAAAGCATCTCCAGCAGATAGTCCAGGTTCAGCTTCATGCCGCAGCTGCAAAGAGGGAGGCGGCCAGTCAGGCAGGGGCCCCTGTGAATTCAGAGGCTGGGGTCTCCACTTCTCACTATTGGAGCGGATAACCTCCACTGGCCAGGTGGCCCGCTGGTACCCACAGGGAAACAAGCCCATTACTATGATGGCAGCCTGATGTTTCTGCTGCCAGTGCCTCTGGGCACCAATCATGGTCACACTCAACCAGGGTCAGCATCTCTCCTAGGGGCTGGCAAGCCTGTGCTCTGTGGAGGGTTGCAGCATGTGTGATTAGTGAAGGGCTGCCATGGCGAGATGGCCGGGGGCTGTGACGGGACCATGGGCAAAGGCTAGGAACCCTGACACCCAGAGTTCACTCCTTGAGAGGAGCAAGGGACTGCCAGGAAGTCCAGCAGGGATTTCAGCAAGAAGAGGGGAGAACCAAGGCTCTGGAGACACCAGAGCCTTTACATGTAGAACAGGCATGAACCCAGTCCCTACCTCGCAGGACTGCAGAGGGATTAAAAAGATAAGGCCCGGGATGTGCCTTGCTCCAAATACTGGGTGGACCGTGGCTTGAAGGTTTGCGCCGTGACCCCGAGCTGTGTCCTGACCTCTGTAGAGCTATTCTGAGCACAAGCAGGTAAAGGTGTAGAAGCTCTCACGCCCTGAGGATGGCAGCCCCTCAAAGGCCTGGGACACAGCAGGAGGAGAGGACCTGAGGCTGTGCTGTAGAACTGACACTGCTCTTTGTGGTGGCTACAACCACCACAAAATGGTCCTTGTGCTCAGGCCGGGACCCTCATCCATCATTTGCGCTGTCCAGCCTCTTGGTCCCTGAGCTCTCAGTACTGTTGGCCAAGCTTCACTGTGAAGCTGTGGAGTGCCTGCCTCAAGTCAGGAAACCAGCAAAGTGGAGCACCTGAATCAGTCTGCCCCAAAGAGGAGCCTGCCAGGCTGTGGTGGCAAGTGAACAAACATCCAGAGTGCAGGCGGTACCCCAGGGACCCACCCTGCAAAGGAGGGCAGGAAGTGAGTGGCCAGGGCCTGAGAACATTAGTTCCCTTTTTCCCTTTGAGCTGTGATCAGACAGAAGCCACACCTTCCAGAGCACCAGGAGAGGTAGGCTCACACCCAGGGCTTCTTGGGGGGACCTTGGTTCACTACTAAGTTAAGAAGCCTCTTTTTTTTTTTTTTTTTTTTTGAGATGGAGTCTTGCTCTGTCGCCCAGGCTGGAGTGCAGTGGCATGATCTCGGCTCACTGCAACCTCCACCTCCCGGGTTCAAGTGATCCTCCTGCCTCAGCCTCCTGAGTAGCTGGGATTATAGGCACACGCCACCACGCCCAGCTAATTTTTGTATTTTTAGTAGAGACAGGGTTTCACCATGTTGGCCAGGATAGTCTCGATCTCCTGACCTCATGATCCACCCGCCACAGCCCCCCAAAGTGCTGGGATTACAGGCATGAGCCACCACGCCTGGCCTAAGTTAAGAAGCCTCTTAGCCATTCAACCTTGGTTGATGAAATCCTTCTGTTTTCTTAACCAGAGCCCACAAGACGTCACCCACCCTGCCCACGGCAATTCAGAACTGGAATGGGCCAATGCCTCCAGCAGCTATGAAGGGGACCCTCCTGCAGTGTCTCCTTGGCCTCATGGACAAAGTGCTCTGCCCTGGGCAGGAAGTCCTGGGCTCCGTGACGGCTGTGTGCTGCTGGAGGCTGTGCTGGCTTTTCCTCCTCCACAGCCAAAGTGGCTGGGAGGCCTGACGACTGGGGTCAGAACCCACAGCAAGGACAGCAGAGTGGCAGGATGCCAGTGGCCTCACCTGATGACCACACTGTTGGGTTTTCGGGCCAGGCGGTCCACCTCTTCCATGGAGATCTGGTCGATTTTGTTATAAACCTGAGATTGAGAAGGTGGAGGCCGGTGCTGAGGACAGGAGCAAGGCATCCAGGAAAGGGCCCTCCATCGCCCTGTGCCGGCTGCAGCCCTTCCTTGGAGAGCTGAGTCTACGCCCTTCCTCCCCTTGCTGCCTCAGGGTTGGGAAGGCTGGGCTGGAACCCTGGTTTCAAGCT
This sequence comes from Homo sapiens, assembly GCF_000001405.40. NCBI lineage: Eukaryota > Metazoa > Chordata > Mammalia > Primates > Hominidae > Homo > Homo sapiens. The sequence continues at coordinate 18,101,747 of NC_000017.11, read as the reverse complement.
CTCTATGTCTGCAAGATCCAAGCAGCCACTGAGGTGAGGTGAGGTGAGGGGAGAGCCTCAGACTCTTTCTGCTTCTCTCACAAGGTTCCGGGAGCTGAGGAAATGCATGTGGTAGAAAGGCCGAGTGGCCAGGCCAGGGCTCCCCTCCTGCACTTACATACAGGCAGGGCATGTACACCCGGTTGCCCACGATCACATCGATGAACTCGTCCGGGGAGCAGTCTTCTCGGAAAAGCACTTCTGCATTGAAGATCTCTGAGGGGCTCCGATTAAGGGCAACCTGTGCACCAGCTGCCCCTGTCCCCCATCAGCGGAGGGCCCCAAAAAGCCAAGCAGGAAATATGCTGGCCGTGTGGGACCGTGGCGGTATCTGCTTGTGAGGTTTTGCAAGATTGTAATGCTTTGGAAGCCCTCTGTTCTCTTCCCCAGAGGGACCACAATATATAAAAGTTTCAATCAACACAGAGTTTTAATCTTGACAGCTAGGCAGGGAGAAAAACGTACCTGCTAGAATCCCCAAAGCCCCTCAGGGGAAGCCTGGGTTTTAGCACCAGGAGCATCTGAAAGCTGGTCGAACCCAGCTTCTTCCATGCAGGACTCCACTGGGGGCCATCCTGCCTCTGCTTGCACACCTCTGGCAACGAGGGGCTCACAGCTGACTCTAAGAGTTCTCTATATGCCAGGCATAACTCTGCCCAAGGCCCTGCCCTATCCCCAGGGCCCCAGAACACAACCAGCCCCCGACACTACTTTAGAGGCACCACCCATTCCCCAGCTCTCCCTGGGGCTTCTCCAGGCTAGGAACCCCCCGTCCTCAGAGGCTGTTTCCCATGACATCTTTTTCTTCCGGATGTCATCTGGCTACCACAGTGCCCAGTACTTGGTGAGGAGCCAGGAAGCCATTGTCAAGTGCACGGCTGCAGACCTGGCAGTCTGGAGCTTGCCCAGAGGCTACTTGAATGGACAGCAGGGGCAGTGGGGGTGACCTGCTGCCACCCTGCTCCATGAGGCCTCCTGTCTTAGTCAGTCCCCCCGCTGCGCTGACGGTGGTGGCTGCCCTCCTTCACGTGTCTTTCAGGGAAGGATACTGTATTCGTGCAGGATGAGCTGCACCAGCTTTTCCGAGCACTGGGTCAGCGTGACTGTCGAGTTAAAGGAGATGCCACCACCTTTCTTGGGCTGAAAGAGGAGAAAGGGATGGGGAGAACTGCTGACCGAGGGGTCACAGCAATGGTCCCACAGCCTCAGCCGCCAGCCAATGCAGTCTCAAAACTGCCACACCCCTGGCCTGAAGGCCAGAGAGGTGCCTCACCTTGAAGTAGATGTTAGGCTTGTGCTTGTTGAGGCGGATGCCCACAGACTCCAGCTCCTTCTCCAGCAGAGACCTAGGAAGAGTACCCCTTAAGCCCCTCACAGGCTGTCCACAGAGCCAGATGCACAGCTTCCCTGTTACGCAGGATGTCACTGCCCACCCAGAGACTGACTCTCTCCTCCACCCCCTTCCCCAGCAACCCAGAGAACACTCCTTCCCAATGCCCTAGAGCTGCAGGGAACTTCTAAACTCTGCCACAGTCCCAGAGGGGACTGGCCCGGTTTACGGTCGGCATGCACAGGCAAGTGGTGGAGCCCCCGCGAGGTGACCACATGAGGGTACTCCTTCTGGTCCCGAGGAGGCAGGCCTGGTGTACCCCTCTGCCAGGATGTGGATGAACAATGCTTCTGTGCCTGGGGCTGGGCTCCTGGCAGGTTCTGGGCAGTGATGAGGCACCTGTGCCTCTGAACAGGAAGCAGGGCCAGGCCAAGCCCCTCGGCCCCCAGTCCCAAGATACCTCTGTGCTGGCTGGACACAAGCCTTGAGGAGAAGACGCCATAGGCTGGGTGGTGTTGGGTTTAGTCTGTGACAAGTCCTACCACTACTCTCACGTGTGAGAGAGCCAAACACCCACAGGCCGCCTAGTACGAGCTCAGGGACACATTGGCCCTCCCCAGACATGTGAGCCTGCCCCATGCCCCACCCTGCGGACCTCTGCACCTCTCCCTTGGTGGCATCCAGCATCATGATGATGACGTCAGCCGTGCGCGCCACAGCGATCACCTGCCGGCCACGGCCTTTTCCTGGATGGGTGTGAGGGATGCAGTTACATATGTGGACCCATGTGACTGCTACCCAGCCCACGGCGCCCTGGACTCCTGTCCTTTACAGACCTACCACAGCCTCTGCCACATACTAGCACAAGCTTGGCATTTTTCTTTAATCCACATGTTTTACTGACGGAGACTTATTTCAGAAGAAAATCCGACACCACCATCATAAAAGGAGTAACAGGATAATAACGGCTGTCCTACGCCCACCCCTACCATGTGGCAGGGCCCAGGCTAAATGCTTCCTGAACATTTCCTCACTTAATCCTCAAAACTATGCTGTAAATTATGTATTATTATGCCCATTCTACAGCTGAGGAAACTGAGGCTTGGCTTAGAGATACCCAATCACTTGCCCAAGATCACAAGGCTAGTTTGGTGCCAAGGATTTGAACTGGAACCTGTCTTTTCTGGAAAGCGGGATAATGGACCAGGGATCCAGAGTGATCTCCATGACAGCCACACCCAATTTCAACGATCAGTAACAGAGCTCCAGTCTGCTTCCCACACACCTGCCCTGCCTCCCACCTTGGGCTGCGCCTTCAATGATTCCAGGAAGGTCCAGGAGCTGGATGTTGGCACCTTTGTACTAGGATGCAGAAGAGAAGAAAGGTAAGGCAAGGCTGGGCCTCCACTGGAAAGGTCCTGTCTGGATCTGGGACATCTGGAATGGCCCCGGGGCTCAGGGGCTGAGGGAAACCCAGATGCCAACCTGTGGCCAAGTCTGAGCCTTGTCACCACCCCAGCCCAGTGCAGACCACAGCCTATGAGCTGAGTAGCCGCCTAGGGAGGGCTCAAGATCTTCCAATCCCACAACACTCATCACTGATGATACCAGCACTTTACAAATAAATTGTTTCACCATGGGAACTTAAGGCCATACCACTCAGCTGCCCAAAGCAAACACAGCCCAAGGCAGTGAAGCTTCATGGGGAGGCAGAAGGATCCAGCCAAGCAGCAATTAGTGACCAGAGCTGTGGTGGTGTTGGGGAGGAGAGCACAGGGGGCGCCAGGCAAAGTAGCCACATGCTGGCCTGACCTCCTAGTTCCAGGCCCCACCAGGCATCTCTGGGGTCCAGCAGCTAGGATCCCCAGAAGTGTCAGTGCTGGAGGGCAAAGCAGCTCAGTCCAGAGCCTGTCCTGACATGGGGACATCCACCCAGACTCACACACAGGGTGGGCACAGGCACAAGTCCAAACACAAGCATGCGCCCCTTCTCCTTCTGGGCCCAGCACACCCACTTACTTCAATGACCCCAGGAATACACGTCAGAGTGGTGAACTCATAGGACGCTGCCTCGCTGGCCGTGGAGGTCATCAGACTCAAGAATGTGGACTAGGAGAAAAGGAGATCATTGCACTGAGGAGCCTTGTCCCTGGCCTTCTGGGAGAGGCCCCAGGGGCTGGGGGCCTGCAGGTGCAGGCAGCAGGAGGAGACCCTCTCACCCTCGGCTTGGTGACCTAGGTGGCTGTGAAGAGACCTCCCAGCCAGAGGGCTCACCTCTGGCCCTGTCCTGGATGGGTCAGACACCAGAGGCCCATCTGTTCCTTGGAGGCCTCAGGACTGTCTCAGGTAGAGGCAGGGATCTGGATTCTGATGGGGTTCCCCATATACATCAGGAGCCTCTCCTAACCCCACACAATCCTCCAGGCCCTCTTGGCCCCAGAGAACTTTAAGCAGGTGGCAGTCCCACGGCACTCGTGGAACCAGTACCCAGACATGCTGTGCACCCAGGGAGGGTGTAAGGAGGTGTGCAAGGAGATGTCAACCTCCTGGGCTGAGGCAGAGACAGCTGACAGGAGAGGTGTCGCAGGGAGGGAGTGGGGAACTGGGAAGATGTGGATGTGACCACTCAGACCACCGTTCACTGTGGCTGGGAGTTGGAGAAACCTGGCTTTGAATCCTGCCTCTGCCGGGGTGTCCTGGGATTGGGCAGGAAACTCCATACTCTCAGTTCAGGGTCTTTACATGTAGAATGGGCATGAACCCGGTCCCTACCTCACAGGACTGCACAGGGATTAAAAAGATAAGGCCCGGGATGTGCCTCACTCCAAACACTGTAACATCAGTGATAGATGCTGTGGCTGAGGCCAGCCAAGCAGTGGGCAGACCCAGGGAGGGAAGAAACCCAGCCCCATGCCTCCTGCCCCATCCTAATCAGCAGGGCCCCAGGAACGAGAAGCCTGAGACTCTGAGTTGCAGGGCCAGCTATCCAGACCCTGCCTCCTGGCTGACTGGCAGGAAGACTGGGGGCACCCTCCCCAAGGCACCCTTAGACCTCTCAAGTCCAGAATGTGGCATGTGATGGAAATACATCGAGTTCCCAAATCCAGAAACCCTCAGCCTTGGGGATCTCCTGGAAACTCAAGAAATGAGAAAAACCTGGTGGAGTGGACAGGTATAGGGATAGACACGGTGGCCCCAAGAGCAATGGCTGTTGAGACAGCCAGCAACCAACCTCGGGGCCACTCCCTGATTCTGTCTGGCCCCTGTAAGACCTGGGCCCTCCCACGGTGGGAGAGCCTATACTCCCAATAAGGCAGGTGGGATCTGCCATGGGCCCAGACTTCAAGGGTCACGGCTCTTGGTAACTAGAGCGGCTTCTCTATCAATCTCTCTCTCTCTGATACATATACCAATCATATAGGCAGACAGTACAACAAATAAAACTAAACACTGCCCAGCCTGCAGCAAGCACTCAAGAAAAGGTAGCTGTTAACCACCATCCCCTGTGCCTGGCCCAGAGCAATGGAAACTGGGTGTGGGCTCAAATTGTTCAGCTGAACTGAGTTAGAAGCTGCTCCCCAGCACCTGTCCAGAGCTTTGGTTGTTGCTCACTTGGCCTATATTCTAGCAACCTCTCCACTGTCCCACTTCACTTTGCCCTGCTATAACCTGCTATCTACACAACAGCCAGAGTGATTCTGTAAAAAAGTAAGTCAGCGCCCAGATGGTAGTTTCTAATGCTATTCTCCAATCAAAGGAACCAGGGCTCCTTAGAGAAATGGCAGATTCTAGGCCAGGGCAGGGAATATACAAAATGAGCCTGAGGCATCTTGCAGTGTCAGAAAGTGAGGAAGTGCTGGAAAAACACAATGGTGGAAGTACATCAAAGAAGCCAACTAAAATAGCTCCAAAGCTAAAAAGATTTGAGCAGCAAAAGAACATGGTATGGGTTTAGACCCCAAAGCACAAAATAACCCCCCACGAATCCATACGGATATCAATAAATGATTGAATAAAACAAATGAATGGGAGAAGAGAGACAAATCTCCCATGCAGAAGAATTCCAAACAGTTTCTGTAGATGCTCCCCTCAAGGAGGCGATGGAATTGGACTGCACACAGTCACCTCCCTCCCCAAAGCGGCATGGCAAGGGGAGAAGAGAGCGTCTCCACGGTGGAGAAACCTGACACACCTCAGCCAGGTGGTCAAGATCAACATCAGCAGGGGTAAGTCATGTTGACAGTATGTGGCCTTCATGCGATGTGATAAAAATGGCACTTTACCTCTGTGGCCTTCCTTGCTAACTATAACCCCAGATTAACCACGAGAAAAACATTGGACACACCCCAACTGAAGGACTTTCTACAAAATATGGGAATGGTACTCCTTAAAACCGTCAAGGTTATCAAATCAAGGCAAGTCTAAGGAACTGTCTAGAAGAGCCTAAGGAGACATAACAACTGAACTGTGATGTGGGATCTCAGGACAGAAAAAGGACAGTGGGGAGGAGCTAAGGAAATCTGCATAAAGCCAGACTTGAGGCAAGAACAGATCAATATTCATTGGTGTAAAATGTTAACTGCCAGGGAAAATGGGTGTGGGGTATATGGGAACTCTGTATTACCTTTGCAATTTTTCTGTAAATCTAAGACTATTCTAAAATAAAAAGTTTACTTTAGGCCGGGCGCGGTGGCTCACGCCTGTAATCCCAGCACTTTGGGAGGCCAAGGGCGGGTGGATCACCTGAGGTCAGGAGTTCAAAACCAGCCTTGCCAACATGGTGAAACCCTGTCTCTACTAAAAAAGGATACAAAAAATTAGCCGGGCGGGGTGGTGCATGCCTGTAATCCCAGCTACTTGGGAGACTGAGGCAGGAGAATTGCTTGAACCTGGGAGGCGGAGGTTGTAGTGAGCTGAGATCGTGCCATTGTACTCCAGCTTGGGCAACAAGAGTGAAACTATACCTCCAAAAAAAAAAAAAAAAAAAAAAAGAGCCGATCAGACATCTCTTTTCTGCTCAAAACCCTGCAATGATGTTTATTTTATTCCTCACATAAAAGTAAATCACGCCGGGAACGGTGGCTCATACCTGTAATCCCAGCACTTTGGGAGGCCAAGGTGGGCGGATCACCTGAGGTCAGAAGTTCGAGACCAGCCTGGCGAACGTGGTGAAACCCCACCTCTACTAAAAATGCAAAAATTAGCCAGGGGTGGTGGCGGATGCCTGTAATCCCAGCTACTCGGGAGGCTGATTGATAACTGCTTGAACCCAGGAGACAGAGGTTGCAGTGAGCCGAGCAAGACTCCATCTCAAAAAAAAAAGTAAACCAATATAGATTATACGCTAAACAGAGCAACTTCCAGAAGAAACCTTCTTTTTTTTTTTTTTTTTTTTTTTTTTTTTGAGATGGAGTTTTGCTCTTGTTGCCCAGGCTAGAGTGCAATGGTGCAATCTCGGCTCACCGCAACCTCTGCTTCCCAGGTTCAAGCGATTCTCCTGCCTCAGCCTCCCGAGTAACTGAGATTACAGGCATGCGCCACCACCCCTGGCTAATTTTGTATTTTTAGTAGAGACAGGGTTTCTCCATGTTGGTCAGGCTGGTCTTGAACTCCCAACCTCAGGTGATCCACCCACCTTGGCCTCCCAAAGTGCTGGGTTTACAGGTGTGAGCCACCGCGCCCGGCCGAAGAAACCTTCTAAAAACTCTGCAGTTTCATTCTTCAATCCAAGCCAGGGTCCTTTCGGCCGCCCATATGCCGCTATCCTCTCTGTCTTCTGCCCTCCTTGTGCTCCTCAGAGAGCCACCTGGGCCTCCCTGGACACACCAAGCGAGCACCTGCCTAAGGGCCTGTGCTCACTGTTCCCTCTGTCTGGAAGGTTCTCACCCAGGACTCTGCAAGCTCACTCACTTCCTTCAGGCCCCTGCCCAAATACTCACTCACCAGAGAAACCTGCCGGGACCTGTCGTAACTAGCAGACCTTCACCCTGTCACTCACCAGCCCCCACTCCTCACCACTGGATGCACCTTATTACTTATTTACTGTCCTTTCTCTTCAAGAATGGGAGATCTATGTGGGCAGGGACAGAGCTCTGTCTCATTCATGCTATGTCTCTAGTCCCTGGCACAGTGCCCAGCACATGACACCGCTAGAGATACACACTCGAGAAGTATTTGTGTGTGATGACTGAGTCGGAAGACCAAGTAGGGCTCCATCTGCTGGCAAGAGGAAAGAGCGTCCTCCATGTTAGGATGATAAAGGGCTGGGATCTGACCCTGGGGGAGGCCAGGTCTTCTGTGTCCCTGGAGCTAAGCAGAAAGGCAGCGAGGGGAGCCTGGATGGTCACCTGTTTGAAAGATGACTTCTTGCTTTCCTCCCCGAGGCCCACACTGACCATCACTGACCTTACCCACAGAGGGAAATCCAATCAGCGCCACACGGGCATCACCCGACTTCATGACATCAAAGCCCTCTCCTTTGGACGAGGCCGATTTGGACGGTTCCAGGAGCTGGGCCCGATACTTGGCGAGCTTAGCTTTCAGCAGGCCCAGATGATACTCAGTGGCTAAAGGATGGAAAGCAAGACAGAAGATGAGTGGCCAGGGTGTCCAAGCCCAGGGGTCAGGCAGGGCCCACATGTCGCCAAGTGCTGGCTGGGAAGCAACTGCTGTCAAGGAGATCAGGAGAAAAAAAAAAAATCTCTCTGCTTAAAAGGCCCCCTTGGCTTCTCACTTCATTTAAGATAAAATCCAGTCTCTTAGACCGGGCGCAGTGGCTGACGCCTGTAATCCCAGCACTTTGGGAGGCCGAGGCGGGTGGATCACCTGAGGTCAGGAGTTCGAGACCAGCCTGACCAACATGGAGAAACCCTGTCTCTACTAAAAATACAAAATTAGCTGGGCATGGTCGTTCATGCCTGTAATCCCAACTATTTGGGAGGCTGAGGCAGAAGAATCACTTGACCCAGGAGGCAGAGGTTGTGGTGAGCCGAGATCACGTCATTGCACTCCAGCTTGGGCAACAACAGTGAAACTCCATCTCAAAAAAAAAAAAAAAAATCCCGCCTCTTTGTTGAGACTTCACCAAATGGTTCTCACCAATGGTTCTCAACAGAGGGGGCACCGCTTCCTGGGGGGCATTCTGGAAATTCTGGGAGATGTTTTCTGTTCACTTTGATGGTGAAGTACGCATTGGCATCTATTGGGCAGGGGGCAGGGAAACCAGCTGCCCTATTAGGTGAGTCAGTCCTATGTAGCTGAGGAGAATTATCCCAAGTCCATGACTTGTCACATCCCAAAGGCATCCACAGAGGGAAAACCTGGGTTAGGATCGCCAGGCCTAGAACCTAGCTCTGTTTACATATAAACACAGGACATTTTGTACAGTGTTAATATACACTGAAATTCCCAGGAATGCAACTATTATGTATATGAAGGGAAGACTATGTCATGCTTTGTCTGAAACTTTACCTAGAGCTGCTCACCATTCTGGGATCCCACGCTGCCATGGCAGCCCCTCTTGGGGTGTAACTCAGTGGCCAATACAACACACCTGCATCGTGGCTGTCACATCCCCAGTGATTCTACCTAGAGGCATGAGCATTCTACTGCTTCAGGGTAACTTCGTTAGATCCTGGCAGCACTCCAGCATTTATGTATTTAAATAAATACCATTTTCATTATAAATTACTTTCCTTTTTCTTCTTCTCCTTTATATTACTATTAGGGTATTATATTGGTTTTTTTCAAATTCAAGTTATATTACTGATGGGGAATTTCATTTCAGGACTGTAAATGGTGTTACAAACTCTTTGCTCTAAAAGGAGGCCGTCGTTGAGACTGAGAACCAGGACCCTATGTTACCTGGCTCCTGGCTACTTCAACACACTCTGCTACATTCCAGACACAGTTGCTTTCTCCTCTTTTTTTAAAGAGATGGGGGTCTCATTCTGTCACTCAGACTAGAGTTCAGTGGCACGATTATAGCTCACTAGTCTTGAACTCCTGCCTCAGCCTCCTGAATAACTAGGACTACAGGCATATACCACCAGGACTGCCTAATTAAAAAAATTGTTTTTGTAGAGATGAGATGTTGCTATGTTACCCAGGCTGGTCTTGAACTCCTGGCTGTAAGCAATCCTCCTGCCTCAGCCTCTCAAAGTGCTGGGATTACAGGTTGAGCCACTGGGCCTGGCCTTTCTTTTTTTCCTTTTCTAGAATATGCTGACATCATTCCTTCCTTGGGACCTTCACACTGGCGATTCTCTCCATTTCAACGAGATCTTCCTGGAACTGGCTCCTTACCATCATTTGAGGTGCAGCTCAAATGTCACTTCTTCAAAGAGGCCTCCCCTGCCCAGTCTCAGAGGGCAGTGAGAGCTTGTGTCAGAACTCCACCCTGCCATTAGTGGGGCCATTTTACTTTGGAAAAGTTAGTCTTCTTGTGCATCAGTTTCTTAATCTGCAAATAGGGTTATTAACAGTAGTAACTTCTTAGGCAGATTTCTTTTTTTTTCTTTTTGAGATGGAGTCTCACTGTATCGCCCAGGCTGGAGTGCTGTGGTGTGATCTCAGCTCATTGCAACCTCTGCCACCAGGGTTCAAGAGATTCTCCTACCTCAGCCTCCCAAGTAGCTGGGACTACAGGCACACGCCACCATGCCCAGCTAATTTTTTGTATTTTTAATGGAGATGGGGTTTCTCCATGTTGGTCAGTCTGGTCTCGAACTCTCGACGTCAGGTGATCCGCCCGCCTTGGCCTCCCAAAATGCTGGAATTACAGGTGTGAGCCACCAACAAAGTCTCACTGGTGTCACCCCGGTTGGAGTGCAGTGGTGCGATCTCAGCTCACTACAACCTCCACCTCCTGGGTTCAAGAGATTCTCCTGCCTCCGCCTCCCGAGTAGCTGGGACTACAGGCTGGTGCCACCATGCCTGGCTAATTTTTGTATTTTTAGTAGAGACGGGGTTTCACCGTGTCGCCCAGGTTGGTCTCAAACTCCTGACCTCAAGTGATCCACCCACCTCGGCCTCCCAAAGTGCTGGGATTACAGGCGTGAGCCACTGTGCCTGACCATACTTCAGCAGATTTTTGATGGTGGAATAATGGAGAAGTCTTACAGAAAGCACTAAGAACATCGCTTAGCATACAGTAAGCACCCAATAAAAGTTGGCTATAATCTACAGTAAATTCCGCCCTTCCCCAGACTGCTTCCTGCCTCATGAGCAGGTTTACTGTCTTCTCGACTCTGAAAATGATCTTATTTCTTTACTTCCCTGACTCCGATAGGTCAGGAAATGGGACTGGATCCCCAGCCTCCAGCACAGGGCCCAGGCACACAGGAAATATTTTACCAAGTGAATCAGTGAATTGATAGCAGTAAGAAATGGTCAAGAATGGGTTCTGCAGCTGGGCATGGTGGCTCATGCCTGTAATCCCAGCACTTTGGGGAAGCTGAGAAGGGAGGACTGCTTGAGGCTGGGAGTTCAAGACTACCCTGGGCAACATAGTGAGACCGTGCCTCTACAAAAAACATAAAAATTGGCCGGGTGGGGTGGCTCACACCTGTAATCCCAACACTTTGGGGAAGCTGAGAAGGGAGGACTGCTTGAGGCTGGGAGTTCAAGACTACCCTGGGCAACATAGTGAGACCGTGCCTCTACAAAAAACATAAAAATTGGCCGGGTGGGGTGGCTCACGCCTGTAATCCCAGCACTTTGGGAAGCCGAGGTGGGCGGATCAACTGAGGTCCGGAGTCCGAAACCAGCCTGACCAACATGGAGAAACCTTGTCTCTACTAAAGACACAAAATTAGCTGGGCGTTGTGGCACACACCTGGGAGACTGAGGCAGGAGAATCCCTTGAACCTGGGAGGCGGAGGTTGCGGTGAGCCGAGATTGCACCATTGCACTCCAGCCTGGGCAACAAGAGTGAAACTCCATCTCAAAAAAAAAAAAAAAAAAAAAAAAAAATATATATATATATATATATATATATATATATATATATAAATTAGCCCGGTGTGGTGGTGCACACCTGTAGTCCCAGCTACTCAAGAGGTGGAGGTGGAAGGATTGCTCGAATGCAGGAGTTTGAAGTTACAGTGAGCTATGATCACACCACTGCACTCCAGCACTCCAGCCTGGGCAACAGAGCAAGACTGTCTCAAAAAAAAAAAAAAAAAAAAAAAAGGATTCAGTGTCAGTCAGGTACACATGGCCCTTCCTGTCATCCCAGCTCCTAAAATTCTGAGCATCTCTGAAGGGAGGGACTAGGTCTTAATCACCTTTATATCTCCTTTGTCTACTACTGCCAAAGTGGCAGCATCTCTAGCCTCCCTGTGACTTTCCTTGGGTCTTATGGGTAATATGGAATATTACAGCAGCCAGAGGGAACTTTCAAGACAGAAGTCAGAATAGCCCCTCCCCTGCTTAACACCCTGCACCAGCTCCCACTGCCTTAGAACACAACCCAGAGTCTTTCCCATGACCTATGGCTCTGCATGATCAACCCCCTCCTGTCCCATCACTGCACCCCAGCCCCAGTCCTGTTGACCTGTAAACAGCCAAGTTTGTTCCTGCCTCAGGGCCTTTGCACTAGCTGCTCTTTCTGCCAGGAACCCTCTTCCCCCAGATGTTTGCGTGACCGGTTCCTTCTTTTCAATCAGGTCTTAGTTCAAATGCCCCATCCTCATGGTGGTCTTCTCTATCACTCCACCTAAGCAGACCCAATCCCCAGTCCCTCCCCACCCCCAATATTCTGCTGTATCACCCTGGTTTGTCTTCATAGCACATATTGCTGGCTGACATTATCTTATTTATTTGATTTCTAGTTTTCAGACCGTCAACTAGAAGATCAGATCCAAGGGCTGGGATATGCCTGCTGTGTTCACTGCTTTAACCACAGTGCCTAGCACATAGTAAAGGCTCAGGAAAGATCGGCCAGGCACGGTGGCTCATGCCTGTAATCCCAGCACTTTGGGAGGCCGAGGCGGGTGGATCACCTGAGGTCAGGAGTTTGAGACCAGCCTGGACGACATGGCAAAACCCCCTCTCTACTAAAAAAATACAAAAATTAGCCGGGTGTGGTGGCACGTGCCTGTAATCCCAGCTATTTGGAGGCTGAGGCAGGAGAATCGCTTGAACCTGGGAGGCAGAGGTTGCAGTGAGCCCAGATGGCACCACTGCACTCTAGCCTGGGTGACAGAACAAGACTGTCTCAAACAAACAAACAAAAAAGATTTACAGAAGGAATGAGTCATAGAGGGCCCTCAACTCCTTGGCCTTCAAACCTAAATGGAACCAAGGGAGGGCAGACACTGGGACCAGCTATCTAGTGTTGCTTGCTTCCTGCTCCCACAAGCCTGAATGGCTAGCCACTAGCCTGGCCAATTGCATCTCCCATTACTCTTCCATAACCCCCTTCTGATCTAGATTGTTCTCACTGTCCCATGAACATACCATGCTCACTCCCATGTCTTTGTCTCAGCAGTGGCCCCCACCTGGGATACCCTTCCAACAACCAGCTCAAGTCCCACTTTGTCCTGGTGTCATCGTTCTCTCCTCACCTCTCTTCTGTGAGCTCCTCCAGCCCTTACATTCTAAAGTCCAGATTTGAGGCTTCATTATGTATTATCTATGTTGGGGTGTTTACTTTAAATACTGAGTGCTCACCATGTGCCCAGTGCTTTGTAAAGGCCATCTAATTTAACTCAGCTGTGTACTAAGATGGAGCAGGGGAGTATTACCCCATTTACAGATGAGGACACTGAGACTCCAAGAAATGAAGTGACTTTCCAATGTTTTACAGAAGGTACGTGGTGGACCTGGGGCTCAAACCCAGGCCTTCCAGACTCCAGAGTCCTGATTCCCTTGCTCCAATGGGCTCTCAGCTGCTGGGTGAGGCTGTTCCTGAGAGGTCTCCTCTTGCACTTCCCAAAACAACAGAGTAGACCCAGGCCCCAGGCCCAGCCATCAGGAGACTGAGGTTTGAACCCCAGCTCCGCCTCTCTCTGGGTCAGATGCTTGCTCTGTGAGCTGGGACTACTCTACTCGGGCACACGGTCTGGGACTGACCAGATCTCTTGGGGTACGTTTGCAGTCAGACCTGGGCGTGAGACCCGCTCCCGCCTGGCCCTGCCTTGGGCGCGCAGGGCGGCCTCGGCACTTGTCTGGCAACTTCTCCGCGGCCTCGGATCTTGCCCCAGCATTACTGCTGGAGTTGTTCCCCCATTTTACAGACAGGAAAACTGAGGCAGGCAGAAAGGAAGGCCCCGCCCGGCCGGCCCTCACCCTTGTTCTTCTGTGTCCGAGCGATCTCCTTCTCGATCTCCGAGATCTTCTCTAAGATCCCCATGGTAGCAGCAGAGGTGGGCGCACAGACAGCGGTGGCGGCGGCACCGGCAATTCCGGTCTGACGGCGGCGACAGAGTAGCGTGCGCCCGGAAGCCAAAGAGAACAGCGTTCTCGTGGGCGCCTGGTGCTCCAGGATTCAGAGTCCGGGCGAGCCAAGTGCCAGACACTATCGGTTCCGCCCGCTGGGCCGGCCAGGCTGCGGACCTCTGGAAAGAGCCGGGGCGGGGCCGGGCCATGCTGTACTGGCCCACGGCTGCGGCTGGCAGGAGCAAGCAAGGAAGAGAGGGAATCTGCCCGTGTTGAACTCTGAACTGCGGGTCCCTGAGCGCAGCTGACTGGCAGTGTAAGGAAAAGGGGCTGAGCCGAAAGCCTAGTGGCTTTCATTTTATACTATAAATGGAGGTGTCCAATCTTTTGGCTTCTCTGGGCCACATTGGAAGAATTGTCTTGGGCCACACGTAAAATACACCAACACTAACGATAGCTGATGAGCTTAAAAAAAAATCGCCAAAAAAACCCTCAATGTTTTGGCCGGGCGCGGTGGCTCACGCCTGTAATCCCAGCACTTTGGAAGGCCGAGACGGGCGGATCACCTGAGGTTGGGAGTTCGAGACCAGCCTGACCAACATGGAGAAACCCATGTCTACTAAAAATACAAAATTAGCCGGGCGTGGTGGCGCGCGCCTATAATCCCAGCTACTGGGAAGGCTGAGGCAGGAGAATTGCTTGAACCCGGGAGGCGGAGGTTGCGGTGAGTGGAGATTGCGCGCCATTGCACTCCAGCCTGGGCAACAAGAGCGAAACTCCATCTCAAAAAACAAACAAACAAAAAACCTCAGTTTTTTTTTCTTTGTTTTAGTTTTGTTTTTTTGAGACGGAGTCTCACTTTGTCATCCAGGCTGTAGTTCAGTGGTGTGATCTTGGCTCACCGCAACCTCCGACTCCTGGGTTCAAGTGATTCTCCTGCCTCAGCCTCCCAAGTAGTTGGGATTACAGGCGCGTGCCACCACACTCGGCTAATTTTTGTATTTTTAGTAGAGACGAGGTTTCACCATGTTGGCCAGGCTGGTCACGAACTCCTGACCTCAAGTGATCTGCCTGCCTCAGCCTCACAAAGTGCTGGGATTACAGGCGTGAGCCGCTGTGCCCTGCCTAAATTTCATAATGTTTTAAGAAAGTTTACGAATTTGTGTTTGGCCACATTCAAAGTGGTCCTGGGCCACATGTGGCTGCAGACCTCAGGTGGGACAAGCTTGAAGAGGTTCAAAATGGATCCCCAAGATGCTGCCACTGCACTCCAGCATGGGCAACAGAGCGAGAACCTGTCTCAAGAAAAAAAAAGTGGATCCCCATACCACCTTTTTTTTTTTTTTTTTTTTTTTGAGACAGGGTCTCACTTGATCACCCAGGCTGGTGTGCAGTGGCGTGATCACAGCTCACTGCAGCCTCGACCTCCCAGGCTCAGGTGATCCTCCCTCCTCAGTCTGGGAGAAAATCAGCCACCGCGCCTGGCTGATTTTTGTATTATGTTGTAGAGATGGAGTTTCACCATTGTTGCCCAGTCTGGTCTTGAACTTCTGAGCTCAAGGAATCTGCCAGCCTTGGCCTCCCAGAGTTCTGAGATTACAGGCATGAGCCACTGCACCTGCCCCCCATACCACCTTAACGCAGTACTCCAACTCAGGATCACCTACCATCAGATGCCTCCTGATACGAAGCAGTGTAAAGTAGACAGCATCTCGTGACATTTTTTCTTAGACAGGCTCTCCCTCTATTGCCTAGGCTAGAGTGCAGTGGCGTGACTACAGCTCACTGCAACCTCAACCTTCCAGGCTCAAGTGATCCTCCCACCTCAGCCTCCTGAGTAATTGTGACTATAGGCCCGAACCATCATGCCTGGCTAATTAAAAAAAATTTTTTTTTGTAGAGATGGGGTTTCACTATGTTGCCCAGGCTGCTCCTGAACTCCTGGTCTCAAGCAGTCCTCCCACCTCGGCCTCCCAAGGTGCTAGGATTACAGGCATGAGCCACCTCATCTGGCTGACAGCATCTCTTATGTAGAATTCTTGCCAAAAATACTGTAACTGAGTTTAGGCATGAGGAAACATCAGATAAATGTAGAAAGTGGAACATTTTATAAGGCAATTGGCCTTGGTTCATCAAAATTGTCAATGACAGTGGCCAGGGGGTAAGTAGGGAGATTGTTCTAAATGAAAAAATGTTACGTGTGTGGAACTTGTCCAGATTCTGGTTGAAATTTTTATTTTATTTAAATTTATATATTTTTTTCTTTTTTTTTTTTTTTGAGACGGAGTCTCTCTCTGTTGCCCAGGCTGGAGTGCAGTGGCGCGATCTTGGCTCACTGCAAGCTCCATCTCCCGGGTTCACGCCATTCTCCTGCCTCAGCCTCCCGAGTAGCTGGGACTACAGGCGCCCGCCACCACACCCGGCTAATTTTTTGTATTTTTAGTAGAGACGGGGTTTCACCGTGCTAGCCAGGATGGTGTCGATCTCCTGACCTCGTGATCCGTCCGCCTTGGCCTCCCAAAGTGCTGGGATTACAGGCGTGAGCCACCGCGCCTGGCTATCTTTTTTTCTTTTTTTGAGACGCAGTCTCACTCCGTCGCCCAGGCTGGAGTGCAGTGGCACAATCTCGGCTCACTGCAAACCTCCGCCTCCCGGGTTCGAGCGATTCTCCTGCCTCAGCCTCCTGAGTTGCTGGGACTACAGGCGCCTGCCACCATGCCCGGCTAATTTTTTGTATTTTTAGTAGAGATGGGGTTTCACCATGTTAGCCAGGATGGTCTCAATCTCCTGACCTCGTGATCCGCCCGCCTCGGCCTCCCAAAGTGCTGGGATTACAGGCTATTTTTCTTTTTTTAGAGATGGGGTGTCTCTCTATCACCCAGGCTGGAGTGTAGTGTTATGATCATGGCTGACTGCAGCCTTGAACTCCTGGGCTCAAGTGATCCTCCAGCCTCAACCTCCCAAGTAGCTAGGACTACAGGCACATGCTACCATGGCCAGTTAATTCTGGTTGAAAAATTTAAAAGCACCTATAAAAAGACATTCTGGGCCAGGCGCAGAGGCTCACACCTGTAATCCTATCATTTTGGGAGGCCCAGGTGGGTGGATCACCTGAGGTCAGGAGTTCAAGACCAGCCTGGCCAATATGGCGAAACCCCATCTCTATTAAAAGTACAAAATTAGAGGCCGGGTGCAGTGGCTCACGCCTGTAATCCCAGCACTTTGGGAGGCCAAGGCGGGTGGATCACGAGGTCAGGAGATCGAGACCATCCTGGCTAACACGGTGAAACCCCATCTCTACCAAAAATACAAAAAATTAGCTGGGCGTGGTGGCGCACGCCTGTAGTCCCAGCTACTTGGGGGGCTGAGGCAGGAGAATCGCTTGAACCCGGGAGGCAGAGGTTGCAATGAGCCAAGATTGTGCCACTGCATTCCAGCCTGTGCAATAAGAGAGAAACTCCATCTCAAAAAAAAAAAAAAAAAAAGACATTCCAAGCTGGGTGTGGTGGTGTGTACCTGTAGTCCTGATTACTGAGAAGGCTGAGGCAAGAGGATCACGTGAGCCCAGAAGGTAAAGGCTGCAGTGAGCCATAATCACACCACTGCACACCAGCCTGGGCCATAGAGTGAGATGCTGTCTCTAAAATAAATTAAATAAATAAACAAAAATTTTGAATAAATAGAAAACATTCTGAGGACAATTTGGAAGAAATCTAACTACGAATTGGATATTGAATATTCTGGAGCTTACCAATTTTCTTGGTGTGATGATGTAAGCGAATGTCTTTATTCTTAGCAGATGTACATGCAGTATTTAGGGGTTGTCTTAGTCGGCTCAGGCTGCCATAGAATACCATGGACTTGGGCCAGGCGCGGTGGCTCACGCCTTTAATCCCAGCACTTTGGGAGGCTGAGGCGGGCAGATCACGAGGTCAGGAGATCGACACCATCCTGGCTAACACGGTGAAACCCTGTCTCTACTAAAAAATACAAAAAAAGAAAAAAATAGCCAGGCGTGGTGGCAGGCGCCTGTAGTCCCAGCTACTCAGGAGGTTGAGGCAGGAGAATGGTGTGAACCTGGGAAGCGGAGCTTGCAGTGAGCCGAGATCGAGCCACTGCACTCCAGCCTGTGTGACATACCATGGACTTAGTGGCATAAACAACAGACATTTATTTTCTCACATTCTGGATGCTGGAAGTCTGAGATCAGGATGCCAACATAGTTGCACTCCGGTGAGGGCTCTCTTCCTGTTTTGCAGAGGGCTACTTTGCCACTGTGTCCTCAAATGCCCTTTCCTTAGTGCATGCTCTCAGAGAGACAAGCTCTCTGGTGTCCCTTCTTACAAGGGCACCATGTCCATCATAAGCAGTATCTTACCCCATGAACTCATCCAACTCTAATTACCCCCATAGGCCCCAACTCCAAATACCATCACATCACAAACATTCAGTCCATAGTAGGTGTGACATCTGTACCTTACTCAACTAGTTCAAAGTATGTATATATGGGGCTGGGGACGGTGGCTCACGCCTGTAATCTCAGCACTTTGGGAGGCTGAGGCGGGTGGATCACCTGAGATCAGGAGTTCAAGACCAGCCTGGCCAACATGGAGAAACCCCGTCTCTACTAAAAATACAAAAATTAGCCAGGCATGGTGGCTCATGCCTGTAATCCCAGCTACTCCAGAGGCTGAGACAGGAGAATCGCTTGAAACTGGGAGGCAGGGGTTGCAGTGAGCCGAGATTGCGCCACTGCACTCCAGCCTGGGCAACAGAGAGAGGCTCTGTCTCAAAAAAAAAAAAAACCAAAGTAGGGCTGCTGCGGTGGCTCACATCTGTAATCCCAGCACTTTGGGTGGCTGAGGCGAGCGGATCACTTGAGGTCAGGAGTTCAAGACCAGCCTGGCCAACATGGTGAGACCCCGTCTCTACTAAAAATATGAAAATTAGCCGGTTGTGGTGGTGGGCACCTGTAATCCCAGCTACTCGGGAGGCTGAGGCACAAGAATTGCTTGAACCTGGGAGGTGGAGGTTGCAGTGAGCCGAGATTGTGCCACCACACTCCAGCCTGGGAGACAGAGCAAGACTCTGTATCAAAAACAAAACAAAACAACAAACAAACAAACAAACAAACAAAGAATGTATATATTTAGAGATAGCAGGGTAAAGTAAATGTGCCAATATGTTAACAATTGTTGAAACTGGGGGGAGGGTATGTGGGTGTTTATTAAATCATTCTTCCAACTTTTCTGTATGTTATTAATAAAAAGTTGGGGGGAGGAAACATGTCCTTGAAAATCATACCGCCTGTGTTCACATTCCAGGTTCCTAACTGTATGAGATTGGCTAAATTTCTTTCTTTCTTTTTTTTAAATGAGAAAGAGTCTTGCTCTGTTGCCCAGGCTGGAATGCAGTGGAGCAATCTCGGCTCACTGCAAGCTCCGCCTCCTGGGTTCACGCCATTCTCCTGCCTCAGCCTCCCGAGTAGCTGGGACTACAGGCGCCCACCACCATGCCCAGCTAATTTTTTGTATTATTTTTTTTAGTAGGAACGGGGTTTCACCGTGTTAGCCAGGATGGTCTTGATCTCCTGACCTCGTGATCCGCCCACCTCAGCCTCCCAAAGTGCTGGGATTACAGGCGTGAGCCACCGTGCCTGGCCTAGCTTGGCTAAATGTCTTAACCTCTCTGAGCCTGTTTCTACATCCTAAAAGTGGGAATAATGTGGTTGTTATAAAAATGAAGTAAGAGGCCAGGTGTGGTGGCTCACTCCTGTAATCCCAGCACTTTGGGAGGCCAAGATGGGTGGATCACCTGAGGTCAGGAGTTAGAGACCAACTTGACCAACATGGCAAAACCCCGTCTCTACTAAAAGTACAAAAATTAGCCGGGCGTGGTGGCAGGCGCCTGTGATCCCAGCCACTCAGGAGGCTGAGGTAGGAGAAGCTTGAACCCGGGAGGCGGGGGTTGCAGTGAGCTGAGATTGCGCCACTGCACTCTAGGCTGGGTCACAAGAGCGAGACTCTGTCTCAGAAAAAAAAAAAAAAAGAAGAAGATAATGGCTGTAGAGCACCTGGCATGTAGTTTGCTTGCTGATAAGTTGTTGTTGAATGCCAGAACCATTGGAAATTGTTTCTTCTCTCTGGATGTCATGGAATTTCTCAGATTTAACCCCTATTTATCAAGCATCTACTATGCACCAGGCTCTGGGCTAGACAGGAGCTTTTGCAAACTTTGAGCTTACCACTCTCATCTGCATTTTACAAAGTGAAGTCTTGAGCTATGCAAAGTGCCTGGCCCAGTGCTCAAGCCATTCAATGGCAGGACTGAGATGATAATCCAGGGCTTTCAATTCCAAGTCCTGTGACTCCAAAGTAACATGGTAGGCTGTAGGTGGAAATAAATGTATGATGTTTCTGTAAGGTTTAAAGAAGATTATAGTGGTGAGAACAACTTGGGTGGCCCATGAAGATGTGGAGGCCTGAAGAACCCTGACCCAGGTTGGGGGCCTGTAAGTCCTCTCTCTGCCTCCACCTTCTACATCAGTGGCTCTCGGAGCCTCCTTCACCACCACCTTTGTGCCCACAAAGGCAGGTTCACTTCCAGTTTTTAGTTGGGGAAACAGAAGAGTTTTGGAAAATGACTCACCTTCTGAGAATCCTGGCATCTTTGCTGTTGTATCTGCTTCCATGAAATCCCTGTGGGCCTCAGTTCTTCTCAGGTAACGTTAGAATCATGCCTACTTCAAGGGTCAAGGGAGATGACCGCACATCAGACTTGCTCTAGGCAACCGGCTCTCCTGCTTGGAAGGTCTGGGCCCTCCAAACCCTAACCCGGAAGGCCACCTACAAGCCTTTGTGTGCATGCTGTGCAATGAGCCCTTGAGGTGGAGTTTAAATGCTTCTGGAGAGGCTGCTACCGGAACCGTAGAAACATTTGGCTTGTGCATCAAAAGACACTATCAGCCTGGCACGGTGGCTCATGCCTGTAATCCCAGCACTTTGGGAGGCTGAGGTGGACGGATCACCTGAGGTCAGGAGTTTGAGACCAGCCTGGCCAACATGGTGAAACCCCGTCTCTACTAAAAATACAAAAAAAAAAGAGCTGGGCGTGGTGGTGCATGCCTGTAGTCTCAGCTACTTGGGAGGCTGAGGCAGGAGAATCACTTGAACCCGAGAGGTGGAGGTTGCAGTGAGCCAAGATTGCATCACTGCACTCCAGCCTGGGCAACAGAACGAGACTGTCTCAAAAAAAAAAAAAAAAAAAAAAAAAAAGACACTATCAACACAGTGAAAAGGCAACCCACAGAGTGGGAGAAAATATTTGCAAATCACATATCTGAAAACAACCCAATTAAAAAATGGGCAAAGGGCTTGAATTGAAATTTCTCTAAGGAAAATATACCTGGGGAGTGAGTGTTTAATGGGTGCAGAGTTTCAGTTTGGGAAGATGAAAAAGTTCTGGAGACAAAGGGTGGTGATTGTTGTGCAACAATGCGAATGTACTTAATACCACTGAACTATATCCTTAAAAGTGGGTATAATGGCCCGGGCACAGTGGCTCATGCCTATAATCCCAGCACTTTGGGAGGCTGAGGTGGGCGGATCACCTGAGGTCGGGAGTTTGAGACCAGCCTGACCAACATGGAGAAACCCCATCTCTACTAAAAATACAAAATTAGCTGGACACGGTGGCACATGCCTGTAATCCCAGCTACTCAGGAGGCTGAGGCAGGAGAATCCCTTGAACCCGGGAAGCAGAGGTTATGGTGAGCTGAGATTGCGCCATTGCACTCCAGCCTGGGCAAAATTTCGTCTCAAAAAAAAAAAAAGGTTAAAATGGTAAATTTCATGTATATTTATATCTATTTTACCACAACAAAAGTAAATAAATAAGTAAAGCATTTCAGAAGAAATTCTGGCAAAGTAACTAGGGGCAAATCTGGACTTCACTTATAATCACAGTTATCTAACCGGGACAGTATTCCTTGTTCAAATTTGTTCATTTATTTAACAGTACTGACTCCATGTTAGAGAAAAGTTTGTTTGCCTGATATAATTATGCTTTGTTTGAGTTTGTAGATTTTTCATTAAAAACAGCCTCAGGAAAACAGGACCTTCGATAGACATAAAAGAAAATACGCTGACCAACAACTCTAGGAACAGGCTGACCAGCCTGATAAGAACAGCTTGATGGTGCCTGCAGATGGCCACAAGACATTGACCAAGGAATTAACACTTAACTGCCAGCCTGAGACTGCGCGTTTCATAAGAATGCCTTGATCATCATTTGTACTCCCCTAATTTCCCTTAAAACTCTTCATCCAGAGATAGAACTTGGAGAGGTAGTCTTCAAACAAGTTCACTGCCTCCCTCCCCAAGGTTTCACCAAAGCTTGTCTCTTGACTTTTGTTTGTTTCTTTTCCTTTTTTTCTTTTCTTTTCTTTTTTTTCTTTCTTTTGAGACAGCATCTCACATAGTCCCCCAAGCTGGAGTGCAGTGGTGCGATCTTGGCTCACTGCAACATCCACCTCTCCAGCTCAAGGGATCCTTCCACCTCAGCCTCCCGAGTAGCTGGGACCCAATACTGGTGCACAGTAGTGTGCACCAATCTGCTCAAATCGAATTGGCTAATGGAACTGTTTGGCTGCTCAGCTGGTGTCAGGTGAGCACAACTCGTGTGTCCTCTGGATAGAGAAATGAATGGGACAGCAGCCCTGCCCTCAGGAAGCTCAGAGCTTGGCTGGAGAGCTAGATAAGTGAACAAAAAGACAGGAAGTCAGCAAAAGATAGAATGAGTATGTGAGAATCATCACATTATTATTATTATTACTTATTTGGAGCTTGGGTCTTGCTATGTTGGCCAGGCTAGCCTCAAACTCCTGGGCTCAAGGGATCCTCCTAATTCAGCCTCCAGAGTAGCTGGGACTGCAAGCACAAGCCCAAGCCACTGTGCCAGGCTCTTTTTTTTTTGGAGACAGAGTTTCGCTCTGTTGCCCAGTCTGGAGTGCAGTGTTGCGATCTCCGCTCACTGCAACCTCCACCTCCCGGGTTCAAGCAATTCTCCTGCCTCAGCCTCCAAGTAGCTAGGATTACAGGCATGCGCCACCATGCCTGGCTAATTTTTGTATTTTTAGTAGAGAGGGGTTTCACCATGTTGGCCAGGCTGCTCTCGAACTCCTGACCTCAAGCAGTCTACCTGCCTCAGCCTCCCAAAGTGCTGGAATTATAGGTGTGAGCCACTGTGCCATTGACACCCCTTTTCCCCAAGCCTGGACATTCACCAAAGGTACAGGCTACCATGTTGGGACAGGCTGTGGGGGAGCATGTTGCACCTGTGATGAAAACATTCATTTTTGCTGGACACAGTGGCTGATACTGTAATCCCAGCACTTTGGGAGGCCCAGGCGGGTGGATCACTTGAGGTCAGGAGTTGGAGACCAGCCTGACCAACATGGTGAAACCCCATCTCTACTAAAAATACAAAATTAGCCGGGCATGGTGGTGCACGCCTGTGACCCCAGCTACTTGGGAAGCTGAGACAAGAAAATTGCTTGAACCCAGGAGGTGGCGGTTGCAGTGAGCCGAGATTGCGCCATTGCACTTCAGCCTGGGCAACAAGGAGCAAAACTCCGTCTTAAAAAAAAAAAAGAAAAGAAAAAGAAGAAAGAAGATATTTATTTTTACCCAGCATGGGGTGTTCTCTGAAGGTTGACTCTGACCCAGGAAAAAGAGCTTTTTGGAGACAGGGTCTCGCTCTGTCACCCAGACTGGAGTGCAGTGGCACGATCTGCAGCCTCGACCTCCTGGGCTCAAGTAATACTCCTACCTCAGCCACCTGAGTAGCTGGGAATACAGGTATGCACCACCACACTTGGCTAATTTTTGTATTTTTAGTAGAGACTGGGTTTTGTTTGTTTGTTTTGTTTGTTTTTTGAGATGGAGTCTCACTCTGTCACCCAGGCTGGAGTGCAGTGGCGCGATCTCGGCTCACTGCAACCTCTGCCTCCTGGGTTCAAGCGATTCTCCTGCCTCACCCTCCCAAGTAGCTGGGACTACAGGCACGTGCCACCACGCCCAAATAATTGTTTTTTATTTTTTTTATTTTTAGTAGAGATGGGGTTTCACCGTGTTAGCCAGGATGGTCTTGATCTCCTGACCTTGTGATCCACCTGCCTCAGTCTCCCAAAGTGCTAGGATTACAGGCGTGAGCCACAGCACCCAGTTGTTTATTTGTTTTAAATAGAGACAGGGTCTCACTACATTGCCCATGCTGGTCTCAAACTCCTGGGCTCAAGTTATCCTCCTGCCTCGGCCTCCCAAAGTGCTAGGATTTGTATATTTTTTTTCTTTTTTCTTTTTTTAGAGAGTCTTGCTCTGTCGCCCAGGCTGGAGTGCAGTGGCGCAATCTCAGGTCACTGCAACCTCCGCCTCCTGGGTTCAAGCGATTCTCCTGCCTCAGCCTCCTGAGTAGCTGGGATTACAGGCGTGCGCCACCATGCCCGGCTATTGTGTATTTCTGGTAGAGATGGAGTTTTATCATGTTGGCCAGGCTGGTCTTGAATTCCTGACCTCAAGAGATCCACCCGCCTTGGCCTCTCAAAGTGCTGGGATTATAGGCTTGAGCCACGGCACCTGGTCCTAAAGTGCTAGGATTATAGGCACGAGCTACTGCACATGGCCGAGACCGGGTTTTGCCATGTGACCCAGGATGGAAAAAGGAGCATTTTAATTCTAATTGATGCACACTTTATTGAAGCTGCAGTAACCTCAGACGTCTGGAGTTGGGGTAGTGTGTAGGGCTGTTTGTCCTTTTGAACCTAGTCGTGTCTTCTGTGATGAGTTAACATCTGAGGGTTTTAGAGAAAACTTCTGGGCTGAAATCCAGAAAACAAAGCCAGTAGACCTCCTAAATGCTGTCTTCATTCTTACAGGAAGCTTCAGGCCCCAGCCCTTATGGAACACGGTTAGGCAGAGACAATTGCACGGGGGCCCTCTCTAGGTGCATTGGAGGGATGATTGGCCTCAGGTGGCAGCAGGGAATGGCTCTGTGGTACACCCAGGGTGACCAGGCCCCAGAGTTCCTAGTCTTTTTGTTTGTTTGTTTGTTTTGGTTTTTTGAGACAGAGTCTTGCTCTGTCCCCCAGGCTGGAGTGCAGTGATCTCAGCTCACTGCAAGCTCTGCCTCCTAGGTTCACTTCATTCTCCTCCCTCAGCCTGCCGAGTAGCTGGGACTACAGGTGCCCACCACCACACCTGGCTAATTTTTTGTATTTTTAGTAGAGACGGAGTTTCACTGTGTTAGCCACGATGGTCTCGATCTCCTGACCTCGTGATCCGCCCACCTTGGCCTCCCAAAGTGTTGGGATTACAGGCATGAGCCACCGCGCCCGGCCAGGAGTTCCTAGTCTTGGGAAATGGCAAATATTCTTGGCCCCCAAGAGTGGTAGAAGTTGCCATTTAGATGGGAAAGGAAAGGGGTCTGGGCAAGGGGCCCTTGCATGGTAACTGGAGAGACTAAAGATGAGAAGGATCTCTCCAGAGCTTCAGCACCTACAGCCTGAGACACTGACACGAGGCCCTTTTGTGACCAGGTGAAGGGAGAGTCCCAATAAGAAACACTCAGGTGTCATTTTCTGCAACCTTGGCACGATGCAGGCTGTTAATCTGATTTGAGATAAGGAAAATAAAGTTAATGGAGTAAGATTCCTCCCCACTAAAGAGATGAGCAGCATGGGGTCCAGGAGCATGCATGGTGGACCCTAATACAGAGTGGATGGTGCAGGCAGAAACATCAGGAAAAATGTTCTGGGGAAGATGGTTCCCTTAGAGAGTAAGTCAGGCCAAGGTCAAAAAGTGGGAATGAGCAGGGCTGGGGGGATTTCCTGTGGGCTCTGCCTGGGGGCTCTGCAGGTCTGGCAGCATCTCCAGCAAGCCAGATGGATGCTGGACAGGTCACAGAGGACTGGTCACACCTGAGGTTCTCCTGAGGGGTCTGGATTTGATCTTGTGGGCAATAGGAACACTTTTAAGGTAAAGAGAGGTCTGACCAAATTTGAATGTGAAAGCTTCTCCCTTTCCAACTTTCTATTTTTATTTATTATTTTGTTGTTGTTGTTGAGACAGGGTCTCACTCTGTCACCCAGGCTGGAGTGCAGTGGTGTGATCTCAGCTCACTGCAACCTCCACCTCCTGGGCTCAAGAGGTCCTCCCGCCTCAGCCTCCCTGGTAGCTGTGACTACAGGCATGCACCACCATGCCTCGCTAATTTTTGTATTTTTTGTAGAGATGGGTTTTTGCCATGTTGCCCAGGCTGGTCTCCAACTTCTGGGCTCAAGTGATCCTCCCACCTTGGCCTCTCAAAGTGCTAGTATTATAGATGTGTGAGCCACCAAGTTCAGCCCCAATTTTCTAGAATTCTGATTCCATCCATCCTTTGAGCCCACCAAGATCTCCAATCCATTGGTGCTACCACCTTCATCCCCTTGAAGTCCTCTCTCCCTCCGTATCCAGCTTGAATTCCATGGTCTTCACTTACTTCACTCCCTTGCACACACAACAACTCCCTGACTCTTCACTCACCTGTACTTGCAAAACCACAGGCCTCTTCCTACTCTGCACCTGCACCTGGGTTGGGAACATCCCCATGCTTGCTTGGGGCATGCTTGACTTCCGCATCCATCCACTCTTCCTCTCCTGGACAACCATCTCGTGCCTTCTTTCTCCTCAAAGGCCCAATACCTCTCCCCCTATCCTCATCCTCAGGAGGGTTGTCTACCTTGCTCTCAAGCTCACTAAGAACCATTGAAGAAATGAGACAAGAACTTCCACAAACTTCCAACTTGCCAGCATTGGCATGGCTGCTTGTTCCCAGAAACAAACTCTCAGTGCTTCTACCTGAGCCATCCCTGTCCTACAGCTTGAACTTTGCATTCTGCTGTGTCATTTTCAACAGCATACAAATATGCTGTCACACCTCCCTTCGGAAAAGTAAGCAAAACTCCTTCTCTTGCTGGTCTGAATTTTCTAGTTTTGTACAATGCATCCCTACTGTTTCTGAATTAATGGATGGTTTTTAAAAATATTTTTGATTCAACTTTTTTTTAAGCATAATTTACTTGCAATAAAACACACCATTCTCCAGTGCATAATTCAATGAGTTCTGACAAATGCATAGGGCGATGCAGCCACCCCCACATTTGACACACAGAACATCTCTATCACTCCAGAAACCACCACCCCCCCGCACTCAGTCCTCACCCCAACTCAGCCCCAGGCTGCCACCCATCTGCTTTCTATCACTACCAGTTAGACTCATCTTTTCTACAACTTCATCTGAACGGAATCACACAGCATATCGTCTTCTGTGTCTAGATTCCTCTGCTCAGCATAATGTTTCCAGATTCATCTGTGTTGTATCGCTATAGTACATTTCTTTTTATAAGAAATGCTGAGAGGTGTTTCATTATATAGCTGTACTATAATTTATAATAAATGGTTACCTAGAAATTCATTAAAATTTGGCAATGGTTCCTTGGATATGACACCAAAAGTACAGGCAACAAAATGAAAAAAAAAATAGATAAATGGGATTATATCAAAAAGAAAAACTTTTGCCAGGCGCGGTGGCTCACGCCTGTAATCCTAACACTTTGGGAGGCTGAGGTGGGCGGATCACGAGGTCAGGAGATCGAGACCGTCCTGGCTAACACGGTGAAACCCCGTCTCTACTAAAAATACAAAAAAAAAAAAAATTACCCAGGAGTGGTGGAGGGCGCCTGTAGTCCCAGCTACTGGGAGGCTGAAGCAGGAGAATGGTGTGAACCCAGGAGGCAGAGCTTGCAGTGAGCTGAGATAGCACTGCACTCCAGCCTGGGCGACCGAGCGAGACTCCGTCTCAAAAAAAAAAAAAAAAAAAAAAAAAACTTTTGTGCATCATTAAGGCACTATCAAGAGCATGAAGAGGCCGCCGGGCACGGTGGCTCGTGCCTGTAATCCCAGCACTTTGGGAGGCTGAGGTGGGCAAATTGCGAGATCAGGAGTTCGAGACCAGCCTGGCCAACATGGTGAAACCCCATCTCTACTAAAAATACAAAAAGTAGCTGGGCGTAGTGGCAGGCATCTGTAATCCCAGCTACTCGGGAGGGTGAAGCAAGAGAATCACTTGAACTTGAGAGGCAGAAGTTGCAGTGAGCCAAGATCGTGCCACTGCACTCCAGCCCGGGCGACAGAGTGAGACTCTGTCTCAAAAAAAAAAAAAAAAAAGAGATGGTAAAGAGACCCCACAGAATAATAGGAGAAAATATTTGCAAAGCATGTATCTGATAAGGAATTAATATCTAGAAAATATAGAGAACACCTACAATTCAGCAACAATGAAACAATGCACCTGATTTAAAAATGAGCAGGGGGCCGGGTGCAGTGGCTCACACCTGTAATCCCAGCACTTTGGGAGGCTGAGGTGGGCGAATTGCGAGATCAGGAGTTCAAGACCAGCCTGGCCAACATGGTGAAACCCCATCTCTACTAAAAATACAAAAATTAGCTTGGCGTTGTGGTGGGCACCTGTAATCCCAGCTACTCAGGAGGCTGAGGCAGGACAATCGCTTGAACCCAGGAGGTGCAGGTTGCAGTGAGTTAAGCTCACACCACTGTACTCCAGCCTGGGCGACACAGGAAGACTCTGTCTCAAAAAAAAAAAAAAAAGAAAGCAGAGATCCTGGGCAACGTAGTGAGACCCTGTCTCTACAAAAAAAAAAAAAAAAAAAAAAAAAAAAAAAAAGCAAAGGACTTGAATAGACATTTCTCCAAAGAAGATATACAAATGTTGAATAAACACTTGAGATGATTTCTCAGCATCACTAATCATTAGGTAAATGCAAATCAACATAGTGAGAGCCAGTCTCTACAAATATTTTGAAAAAAAATTAGCTGGGTGTGGTGGCGTGCATCTGTAGTCGCAGCTACTTGGGAGGCTGAGGAAGGAGAATTGCTTGAGCCCAGGAGGTCAAGGCCACAGTGAGTCATGATTATGGAGTGCAGAAATGCCACTGCACGGCCAGGCGCAGTGGATCATGCCTGTAATCCTAGCACTTTGGGAGGCCGAGGTGGGCAGATCACCTGTGGTCAGAAGTTCAAGACCAGCCTGGCCAACATCATGAAACCCCATCTCTACTAAAAATACAAAAATTAGCCAGGCATGGTGGCAGGTGCCTCTAATCCCAGCTACTCAGGAGGCTGAGGCAGGAGAATCGCTTGAACCTGGGAGGCGGAGGTTGCAGTGAGCCAAGATCGTGCCATTGCACTCCAGCCTGGGCAACAAGAGGAAAACTCTGTCTCAAAAAAAAAGAAAAAAGAAAAGCCACTGCACTCCAGTCTAGGTGACAGAATGATACCATCTCAGAAAAACAACAACAAAAATCACAGTGACGTATCACTTCACACCCATTAGGATGGCCATTATAAAAATTTTAAGGCTGGGCACAGTGGCTCACGCCTGTAATCCCAGCACTTTGGGAGGCCGAGGTGGGCAGACCACGAGGTCAAGAGATTCAGACCAACCTGACCAACATGGTGAAACCCCATCTCTACTAAAAATACAAAAATTAGCTGGGCGTGGTGGCACGTGCCTTGTAGTCCCAGCTACTTGGGAGGCTGAGGCAGGAGAATCACTTGAACCCGGGAGGTGGAGGTTGCAGTGAGCCGAGATTGTGCCACTGCACTCCAGCCTGGCGACAGAGTGAGACTCTGTCTCAAGAAAAAAAAAAAAAATTTAAAAAGGAAAACAGGTGTTGGAGAGGATATGGAGAAAATGGAATCATTGTGTACTGCTGGAGAGAATGTAAAATGGTGCAGCCACTATGAGAAACAGTTTGGTGTTCCTCAAGAAGTTAAGCATAGAATTATATGATCTAGCAATTCCACTCCTTAGTTACAAACTCAAAATACTTGAAAGCAGGTACTCAAACAGATACTGACCACACAAACCAGTGTTCATAACAGCACAATGCATAATAGTCAAAAGGTAGAAACAGCCCAAATGTTCATCAACAGATGGATAAAATGTGTTATATACATACAATGGAGTATCAGCCATAGCATAGAAAGAAATTCTGACACATTCTACAAGTGAAAAAAACCAGTCACACAAAGATAAATACTATTATGATTTCATTTCTATGAGGGATCTAGACAAATTCATGGGGACAGAAAATAGAATGGTGGTTATCAGGACTAGGGGGAGGAATGGGGATTTAGATAGCGTTTACTGAGTCCAGAATTTCTTTAGGATGATGGAAAACTTCTGGAAACAGTGGTGATAGGAACACAATGTGAATGTACTTAATACTACTGAACTGTACACTTATGAGTGGTTAAAGTGGTAAATTTTATGTAATACACATTTTACCACAATAAACAAAGCCTCATTACATATAATTTGCAGAAAACCCCTCCCCCTGCAGAAATAACCAAACCAACAACCCATTTCTAGCCCACTCCCCTGACAGCTACTTCCTATTTATTTTCTTTCCTTATGCAGCACAACTCTGCAAGCTACTCACATCAAGCTAAAATAAGCGAGAGAGAGACTGACACTCCAAAACAAAAAGTTTATTTGAGAATAGCAAGGGGTTGCAATCTGGGGTATATGGTTGGGGAAAGGGGAATGAATCTTTTAGAGGTAAAAAGGAGAAGTCCGTGTAAGCTGTTTTAAGACAGAGAACATTGTTCACAGGGGCTTCTCACAGGCTCCAGTTCCCAGCTCCCTTGCAGTGTGGTGACTGTGTGAATGGCCAGAAGCCACACTTAGTCCACCAACACCACAAGCCTGAAAGCCTTTCTCTCATTTCAGGGCGGGAGGCTCACTTAGTTACGCTCAAAGCTTCCTGTGCGTTGGAGTCACCCGGGGAGCTTTAAAAACATCGACAGGTTGTGAGGACTGGTCTGCATGCTGCCTGACATTAAATCAGCTCCCATGTGCTTCTGAAGTGCAGCCAGGTTTCAGAAACACTGCTCCAGGTCAAGCCAGTGAGAAGGCATGAAGATGGAGGGGCTGTGGAGCGATTATGGAGAGAAACCATGACTAATGCATTGAAAAATGAAGCGAACTGAAAAATCAGAAGGAAAAAAATGGCAAAAATAAACTTGAATCCAGCATATGTTTCTCTACAAATGAAAAGCCTTACATGTTTTCCCTGCTATGTACAAATAGGGAGTTTCAATCTTTCGATGTTTTGGAAGAAAAATCTGGAGGGAAAAGCTGTTCAACTGCAATCCAACTTTGAGGCTTTTTTTTTTAATTTTTATTTTTAAATATATCAAAGCCTACTGCCTATTTCATTACTGAGCAATTTTAATGCTTCCCTTCCCAGGTGCAGTTCAGATGAGTGGAGATAGCACTTTTTTTGTTGTTGTTTTTTTTGAGATGGAGTCTTTGCACTATCGCCCAGGCTGGAGTGCAGTGGCGCTATCTCGGCTCACTGCAAGCTCCGCCTCCCGGGTTCACGCCATTCTCCTGCCTCGGTCTCCTGAGTAGCTGGGACTACAGGGGCCTGCCACCACGCCCAGCTAACTTTTTGTATTTTTAGTAGAGACGGGGTTTCACCGTGTTAGCCAGGATGAGTCTTGATCTCCTGACCTTGTGATCCGCCCACCTTGGCCTCCCAAAGTGCTGGAATTACAGGCGTGAGCCACCGCGCCCAGCCGACAGCATTCTTATAGTTTTCCTTTTGTCCTGTTTTGCAATTGGTTTCACACTTAAAATCTACACAATTTCTACTATTTCTACAGTTCCTATAGATGGCCTAAAAACAAAGCTAACTAAAGGTTATAAATTGGGGATCTAAGAATCGAGATATGAAAGAGAGTTGCTATAGCTGTTGTAGACATGTTTTATTCCTGCATCACCCTCAATACCTACAATGGTGCATGTGGCAAGGCTCAGTAGATACTTTTTATTTATTTATATTTTTTTGAGATGGAATCTCATTCTGCCACTCAGGCTGGAGTGCAGTGGCACGACCTTGGCTCACTGCAACCTCTGCCTCCCTGGTTCAAGTGATTCTCCTGCCTCAGCTTCCTGGTAGCTGGGACTACAGGCACCCGCCACCATGCCCGGCTAGTTTTTGTATTTTTAGTAGAAATGGGGTTTCACCATGTTGGCTAGGCTGGTCTCGAACTCCTGACCTCAAGTGATCCTCCCACCTCAGCCTCCCAAAGTGCTGGGATTACTGGCATGAGCCACCGCACCCTGGCCCAGTAGATATTTTTATATTATTATTAAGCAAGAATAACTTTTTACATGTTATTCAATTTACAATTATTCTTATTCAATTTACAATGTGCTTTCAGGAGCATCTTCTAGAATCCTCAACAATTCTTTAGTCCAGACAGAGGTTTTCCACTTTCTGGGTGAGGGAAGTTGGGCTCAGGGAGGTTAGCTGATGTACCTTGAGGGCAGATTGGGACCCAAGGTTGATAGGTGGAACCCAGGCCTCCCATGACTTTTCCATTCAACAAAACAGCCAATAAATGGTGTCTTGGCTGGGTGTGGTGGCTCACACCTGTAATCCCAGCACTTTGGGAAGCTGAGGTGGGTGGACAGCTTGAGCCCAGGAGGTTAAGACCAGCCTGGGCAACATAGGGAGACCCCATCTTTACAGAAATAAAAAAAATTAGGTGGGCGTGGTCGCATGCCTGTGGTGCCAGCTACTTGGGAGGCTGATGCAAGAGGATCACCTGAGCCTGGGAGTCTGCAGTGAGCTGTGATAGCACCACTGCACTCCAGCCTGGTGATAGAGAGCTTGCCTCAAAAGATAAAAATAAATGGTGTCTTAAATCCTGAGTCCAGCACTGTGAACAGTCTATTCTTTTATTGACACCACATCTCATGGGAGAAAAAAGCTTATTATTGCTTAGACAATATGAGATCAGAAAATACACACAACAGGGGAGCTTTGCCCTGCCACTGATGTAAATTCCCTTAGCATTTCAACTTGCTTAAAATTTAGACCTCAACACTTTATATGTTTCCTCAAAATCTCCCATGTTTCCAGTCATGTTCCTTCAAGCCTCCTAGGGAGGTGGGACCTGAAACGTAACAGAATGGTTTGTCAGAATAAACTGTAATGGCTGATTTAGGGATCCTGCTATTTGGGGGTCCAAGTGCCTGTGCTTTGAGACTTAGGCATCTTCTCTGAGGACCACAGTCACAGTGTCGAGAGCAGCCCAACAGCATTGCCTGTCCCCACACCAGAACACAAAGCAGGCTTTGGACAGATACCTCTGCCTGCACATTTTCTCTGTGTTAAATAGAAATATAAACCCTTCACATATGGAAAAAAAAAATGCTTCCACATTTCTGAAGAAATACAGAAATTAACAAAATGGAGCTTGAATAGAAGTGCTGAGCAGCTGAAAACATTCAGAATGAAAAAGGAGCAAGCAGACCACTGCAACAGTTGCCCAGAGGGGCCCTCGGTTTGCCCTGGCACACAGAGGTCTCCGGCTGGCCCTGGAGAGCTCCACAGCCACAGGCCCAGAGAGGACTGCTTTCCTCTAATGGAGCTGCTTTGGTTTACAAATAGGACAAACTCACTGCTTAAATACCTTTATTTTTTTTTTTAAATTATTTGGACATTGATAGCTCTGCAAAATACTTCTCCCATCCCAAACCCTCAAACTCCTTCCACATGTCCTCCATAAAGAAACAAAATATTTATACTTTGTGCCCATTCAAGTCTAATTTTTAAAAACATTTAAGATTCAAAATCAAATATTATTTTTCTTTCCCACAACTTGTTAGTAATTTTAAACCACGATACAACACAGTTAATGGCATTTCTTTTTAAAAATTAGCTTATCAGACTATTTTATGAGAAAAAAATCAATTCAAGGCCTTAGTGAGAATATTATATTCTCTGTTTCTGAAAGCAAAAGACATTGAAAAACCCCTTTGCTCCTCTGGAGTTTGTGATTTCCACATAACCAACAAAACCAGCACACAGATTGACTTCCTACTTAACAGTAGGTATTGTTTTGTTACTTTGGGACAGCAGCTGAAACACTATCTAAACTTGAAAAGGGTGGGTGGGTGGAAGTCCAGCACAGAAGAGGGTCGAGGCTGAGGACAGCAGAATGGAAGCTTTCTGAGCAGTGGAGTAAGAACAGCCAAACCCCTAGGATCCTACCTCATGGCAGGCTTGTTTGGGATGGAAGACAGAACATCTGCAATCTGCACTAATTTCTTAAGGATGGATACAAGTGTCAACCAAAAATATTGCACATAGTTTCAGAGGCATGTAAACCACTGAGAAGGTTCAGGAAAGCGTAACTACGGATGAAGATGATTCCCCAAAGTTCCTTCAGGAACGGAGAGAAAGAAGTTGATGTTGGTAATTCAGGAGTTACTAAGAGGAGGTGGAAAAATCCTTAATCCTTTCCCTATCCTCAGTGGGCAGACTTTTAAATGAACAAATCTTCTCATAGATGTGTCTGAAGGATCTAGTAAAGGTATCACCTCTTCATTCTTCCCAGTACAATGGGTGCACTTCATCACCTGGGTAAAAAAGGAAGGAAGGAAGAAATCCTGCCATAGGACTTGGGTTGTTTGTCTAGAACACAGCAGTGTTTGCAAATGGCCCTTCCTGCCCACTCAAACCACTACTCGGAGCCACAGCATGAGCCGTGGATGAGCTCAGGGATGACCTCCGGACTCAGTGCTCCAAGGGGAGGCCTATATCCCTCACAGGCCTGGAAAAATGCAGAAGGTATGGGCTCGCATGCTGTTGAGGGGAGAGCTGAAGAGAGTGGAATGGCACGTACGGCAGGAAGGACAGCACAGCCCCATGGCCTCCTTCACTTGTCCATCAGCTCAACCAAGGCCATCAGCTCAACAAGACCACAGTGAGCATCTCCTCACATGACAGCAGCTGGGCTTGACCACAGCCAGCCCTTCTGATGCCTTGTTGAATTTCAGGATTGAGGAGACTGTTCTGACTCATCTCTGGGAATGAATTATTTTTCCCTTTAAGTCATCGGGCCAACTTTTTAGGGTTCCAAAGCCCTGACCTTCCTGAATGGGTAGGTTGCCCCTCTGTACACAGTCCTGGGATAACAGATTTTAGATATC